>NC_000001.11:173184587-173487617 GCF_000001405.40 Homo sapiens | reverse complement strand
ACTCTCCCCTCTGTGAGGATTTTGTTTTCCAAGTTGATCTTTGGCACTTTTGGCAGGAAAGCAGTTCCCCCATCTTAACAAGAAACAGTCCTGTTTTAAACCCAGTAACAGCTGGCCACCACACTTTACATTTAATTCTGAGTATCATGGCCTGCAAGCCCTGTGTGATGGAATCCTGCCTCCTCTCATCTCTTGTCCCTCACCCCACCTTCTGCAGCTTCTTCTCCAAGCATGCTAGCTTTCCTTGTATTCCTCCAACATGCCAAGCTCACTTGTAGGCCCAGTTTCTTGCACTAACTGCTCCTTCTGCCTATAGTGCTCGTCCCTCACAAGTATACATGCCTTGGTCACATCTTCTCTGTGTTTTTCTCCAAAGGTCCCTTCATAGACAGGCATTCCTTGACAGTCACTCTCCCACCCCTGTGCTGTTATTCTCCCCATCTGTGCTTGATTCTTCCCTGTAGCACCTGTTATCACCACTTAATAAACTTGTTTACTGTTTGTCTCCACTCACTGGAATGGAAGTTCTATGAGGGCAAGGACTTTCTATTATTCACTGCTATCTCCCCAGTTCACTACTATCTGGGCTCAATAAGTACATAAATAAGTAATAATAAGTTAACTAGTGGATACAGAATTTAAGTGATTTGTCTGTCAGAAAAAAACAAAACAAAACCTGCTATTCAGGTTAGCATTATTTTAAAAATGTAGCAATGTTAAGATACTCTTGTGATGTTATCCATGTCCTAAAGATGAAAAGTTTATGAACAAATTTTGGAGAATTCTAGCACAGGTTTAAAAGAATGAAGCTTAAGAGAAATTAAATACTTAATGACATTAATACACCAGTACTTTTACAGCCATGACTTAACGGAAATGGCCAATTAAGATTGTGCGATAAATATTTTGCCATCAGGGAAGGGTTAGATAAAATTTTTTTTTTTAAACCTTCTATTAGGAAAAGGAATCATTCTGACCAATAATTTTTCCAAATTATCTAAAAGTTGGAAAGCCATATAGGGAGTTTGTGTTGTGTATAAAAGGTGTTATAAAGACCTTGAAAAGGGCCTTTCAGCAAATCTTGAACTCAGCCATGAGGAAAAATCCTCCCAGTGTACTTGCGTGCTAGAAACAGGTAACACAGACCTTGAAGTTGGCCATTTAGAGACTGGCCCTTCAGGCAAGTAGAGAAACTGCTTTTTAAAAACATCTTTACCTTCCAATCAACTGGGGTGGCAACCCTTTTTTCTGCTGTCAGCTGGAGAGAGATGACTACCCTGAGAATCTCATCAAAGTTCCTGCCAGTGGTAGCTGGGTAGAGGATAGACAGCTTCAGCTTCTTATCAGGACCAAAAACAAACACCTGTAAAGCACAGAGGGGCATAAATAGGAAGAGTTCTTTGAGTGTTATTAAAGCCACTTAGAAAGCTCTGCAGTCATTAATAATGTTCAAGGGTATAAAAACAAGACAAAAACAAAGCATCTAGAAGGATACACCAACTGCTAATGTGGATGGCTGGAATACAGATAATTTTCTTCTCCCTGTTATTTTCTAAACGTAGAAGGGAATTCTATTTGGTTCTGGCTTTCCCAGTAAGAAAAACTGATATGCAAATTTAATCGAGGGAAAGGCTGTGTCAATTGGGGATGACTATCATAAAAATAATACTAATGGGAGTTGATATTGTTCCTTGAATAGTTGTGCATTTATTCAGATGAGGGATTGGGTTTGTTTTCTAGTGGGCGGAGGACAGAACAAATAAAAATTTAAAACAGAGCTGCCTTATGAAGAAGGATATGGCCCATCACTTTAAAGACAGGGCGGTCAGGAGAGCAGTCAGGAGAGCTATGAAAAGGTTTCTCAATTCTGGAAGACATTTTAGGATAAACAACTTTTTTTTTGTAGATTTCCATGAACTATGAATAAAGCAGTTGGAAAATTTAGCTGAAAATTGCATCAGCATTACAGATAATCAGTGATATTGTCGCCAATACACAGTTATTTCATAATCGTAGATATTCCCCTATCTCCTCTAGCTGGTACCAGCATTTACACGGACATACAGCCTGATCAGTTAAGCTAACTACAAAATGAATTTGTATGACCTACCACACGAGCTGTCACAGGCATGCCCTTTTCATCCTTCTCTGCTGGATCCAGCATGCCCAACAGGATGGCAAGCTCCCGATTCCTATCATCGATGATGGGAAAAGGTAACTTTTCTGTGGGCTCTTCACAATTGTAAGCATTGATATCCTGAAACACAAGTAAAAGGGGAAAGAGGAATCTAAACCCAACACATGCTCTGAATTTCATCAGTTAACAGCCATCACCTTGCAAGACAGGAAAGAGGACCAAATCACAGTAATTTTCTTTAAGCAATTTTAATTTTAAAAAGTGAGTAGATGAACACTCTTCATTCCAATTATTGCCAGGAATAACAGCAGAGTACAGTACTTAGGTTGTAATCATGGACCAAAGCTGTTTTCATGCCCAGTTCTCTTAAATTCAGCATGCTTTTACTGCTATGAGAAAATAGCAGCAACCCCTTTAAAATTGCAATAATTTAGTTAGATCCAAATACAAGGTACCTCTGGGTACCCAAATACTGTAAAAATCATCAGATAACAATAGGTTTGTTAAATCCATCACATCTAGAAATAATGCCATATGTAAAGAAAATCTTATAGATCTGGTCCCTACCTCATAAAGCACCCTGACTCAGATGCTAAGTTACAAGACAAATAAGAAATGACCAAAAAAAAAAAAAACAAATCACAAAACAAAGCAAACACAAGAATGGAGAGTTGAATATATACTTGAAGGACAAGTCAAAAATAAATGGGTGAAGAGGCAGAAGTAAACCTAAACTAGGGTGAAATTCAAAGAGAAAACAAAGCATTTCAAGTCTGAACTAAAGAAAAATGATACACTTCCCTCCTTCCCTAGTAAAACTTTATTCATCCATTTATTTCTACTTTTCCTATCCCTGGAAGCTTTTGGAGAAAAAAAAAATCTAGTTTTGTTATTTGATTAAGCATTGATATAGCACTTAAGGTGGGCTAAGCATTATGGTAAATACATGTGGAATACAGATGAGTAAGACACGGCTCCTCCCTTCAAAGGAACTTCTCATTTGGTTAGAGATGATTCCAGTATGAAGCAGCAGCAAATGCAAGACTAATGTTAAATGGTGGATGGTAAATACTGAAGTATACGAACACTCCCATTTGTAGGACTCCAAAAGTTACAAAAGGCTTCAAGAAAAGAACAGGACTTCTATCTAGGCCCTTGAAGGATGGGTAAGATTTTTCACAGAGAAAAGAAAGGCATTCTAGGAATCAGGAACTATATATATATATGCACACACACATATATATATGTGTATATATATTATATACGTGTGCATATGTATATATATGTATGTGTGTGTGTGTGTATATATATAAATATATATATATATAAATATATATATCTAATTTTTTTTTTTTTTTTTTTTTGAGACAGAGTCTTGCTGTCGCCCAGGCTGGAGTGCACTGGTGCGAACTTGGCTCACCGCAACCTTGGCTCACTGCAACCTCCGCCTCCCAGGTTCAAGCAATTCTCTGCCTCAGCCTCCTGAATAGCTGGGATTACAGGCACCCGCCACCACACCGGCTAATTTTTTTTTGTATTTTTAGTAGAAACGGGGTTTCGCCATCTTGGCCAGGCTGGCCTTGAACTCCTAACCTTGTGATCCACCTGCCTCAGCCTCCCAGAGTGTTGGGATTACAGGCGAGAGCCACTGTGCCCGGCCAGGAACGATATTAATGAAACATGTGGGCAACTCTGTACATAAACTATTGATAGGAGAGTGAGGAACTTAGTTGGATAGAGTTTAGCAAGTAATGGAAAAGAGGATTTAAAATTGGAATAACGTCTATTGTGTGTAGGCTTGAAAGTAAAACAGGGGCTTGATGGCATAGCAGATACAAAACCATTGTGGATTTCTCAACGGAGATGTGACAAATGTGGCATTAATGAGCTCTGAAGTGGATAACAACAAATTCTTTTTATTTATTTATTTTTTTGAGGTGGAGTCTCTGTTGCCCAGGCTGGAGTGCAGTGGCGCGATCTCAGCTCACTGCAGCCTCCACCTCTCGGGTTCAAGCCATTCTCCTGCCTCAGGCTCCCGGATGATAACAAATTGTAACATTCCTTCATTTTATTATCTTAACTTTCTGTTGTCACTGGCTGCTTATGAAGTCACCAGAGCTAAATAATAATTAATATAGTCTCATGCTAGAGGCAGATTATTATATAATCAGTTGTTTGTCAAAGTTGCGGCACTGCTTCTGATAGTTCAGACTTTTTTCCTATTCAATGTAATCACAATTCTGAAAACTTCTAAGGCAGAAGCTCAGCAGGTAAAATAAACCTGAGTATGCGTCTGTCCTTTAAAAGGTATTATATAATGGGCTATAACCGCTTCCTTTGGCAATATGTCACTTTAATTATTGCTGTGCACTAATTCTCTACTCTGCCACTTGCATCATGGGCATTAGATTACACCCATGAACACCAAAGAACCTATCCTAAATTATTTGGCTTTATTCTATCCTAAATTAGGCTAAATCCTACTCTTTATCATCTTGCATTAAAAAGAACATTGATTTGAGGTTGAAATCTCATTGCCATTGGGCAGTCTTGGGCAAGTCCCTCCAACTCTCTGAGTGAAAAAAGTATGTTCAACTGCAAAAACGAAAATGAAAAATGATAGCAAAAACTACAGTTACCACTCACTGAGAAGTGTAAGGAATGAAAAAAAATTCTACTTCAAGACAGATAACTGCCCTTCTTTTTTCTCCTACACATGATTCTTCTAGTCTCAGATATTTAGGATTAACTGGCATTAACTGCTATAGGATGCAGCCACAGACCCCTAACTCACAAGTCAATACATCTTTTATTCAACTGCACGTTTGACATAGTTTCTAGTATACATCCCTCAAAAAGTAGTTATCATTATTACTTAACAGCACAGTGCAGTCAAGTTCTTAAAATGTTTTCAAGGTAAATTCAGACCACCAAATTTACTGTTCAAGTAAATTCTTTTGCTAGAAGTAGGTATTTCCTTCAGTTAATTCATTCAACAAATATTGACTGATCGCCTAGGATATACTGAGTAGTGAGCATTGTTCCAGCAGTGCACTAAACAGGAGTCTCTGTTCCTGCTGAGTTTATACTCTACTAGGAAGAAACAAACAAACTAAATAGGTAGTATGCAGAGTGCTGAGGAGAAGGGGATGGTGAACGTGAAAAGGAGTTATAATTTTAGATAATGAGGACAAGAAAGGCTTTGATGAAATGTCCTGTGAGTTGAGACCCAAAAGAGGTGAGGGTAAGTCACACAGATCCCTGGGAAGTGAGTCTTCTATCTATGATACAGGACATATTTTGAAGGTAGAGCTGACAAGTTTGAGGATAAATCAGATGTATGATGTGAAAAAACATGAAGAATTCAGAATGGCTCCTGGATTTGGGGTGTGAACAACTATAAAAATGTAGTTGCCATTAGCTTAGATGAGTAAAACTCTGGATCTAAGAATGAGGCCTAGTTAGACATGCTAGGTTTGAGATGACTGGACATCCCAGGAGAGATGCTAGGTAGGCAGTGGTTATATGAACCTGGAAGAGTCTGGCATAGAGATGAAAATTTGAGAATCACAGCACATAGATGGTATTTAAAGGTGAGTGGATGAGCTCACCAAGGGAAAGAGTGCAGACAGAAAAGAGATGAGGTCCAAGAAATAAGTTCAGGGTAACTTCAGCATAAATTAGGAGTTGGGAGATGAAGAATCAGTGAGCAGGAACAGCTAGAATGTGGTGTCCTGGAAGTCAAGAAAGGAAAAAGTTTCAGGAGGTACAGTGATCAGCTGGGTTGAATGCTGCTGGCAGGCCAAGAGGAGGGCTGAGAATTGACTGACCAATGGATTTAGCAATGTGATCACTGTGTGGTTCAACTGAAATTTTCAAATAATTAGTGAACTTTGAACCTAAGGCTTACTTGTACCTTAACCTCAAAACCAAGTACTCCATAATTTATAACTTGACCTATAATCTCAGGCTCAAAGCACATGCCAATTGATACTAACCTTGCTCCAGGCAAGATGGTCCTCAACACTGTCTATTGAAAGGGCAATCAACTTAACATTCCTCTTGGCAAATTCTGGTGCCAGCTTTGCAGCTCTGCCAAGCTCTGTGGTGCACACTGGGGTAAAGTCCCGAGGGTGGGAGAAGAGAATGCCCCATCTGAAAGGAAGAAAAACAAGGTCACAATTGAATTAAGAGTTATCACCAACATCACAGAGAATGAAAAGTCACAACTTCTGGATCAAAAACAGGCTTTCTTTTTTAAATGAATGCTTATGATGATATTTACTTTTAAGCTTTTCTGTTGAGGAGTGCTTTTCAATCTACTTACCTCCAGAGAAGCCTATGCTTATAGCCCAATTCAATCAAAGACATGAAATTCAAGATGACACATATTTAAAAAGACTAATGTTAAGGTGTTGCCTCCTTTAATAATTATGGTGCCACCCTGACTCCTTTTTGGCTAATACAATCTGTGCTATTCAAGCCAAGTAGTTCACTGAAAACACTTAATTATTTCTTCTTATCCTTTTCTACATTTTTTTCTAGCATAGACCCTGACATTCAGCTCCAATAATGGATGTCCCAGTATGCCCTGAATCCAAACAAATGCCTGACTGCAATAATAAACAAATTATGTAATCTGAAATAAATAGGTTTCTATCTTCTATTTATATGTAAAAATTAAAGTTGACACTTGGCTTCTCTGAAGCAAGTGGATATAAAATCTTTTGTAAAACCACTTTACTGATCTTACCTGCCAAACATGACACCCAATATTTATACTCTGACAAAACAATAGCACCTTCACAGTTTTACCTATCTCTTCATTTGCAGTTTCTTTTTCTTCTTTCTTCAGACCAAGCAGGTAGAATTTTGATAGCCTGCAATGTAGATTTCTACAACAGCAAATTCTTAGGTAAATACTAATATCTAAGTCATCATTGTCTAAGATTTTATAATTTTGAGCACATTTCAAGCTGTCACGAAGAAAGCTGAAGTACCATTTCCTTCTTCTTGGCAACAGAAACTACTCTTTCAACTGAAAAGGAAAATTTAACACTCAGTTCTCCACATCCCCATCAACTTAAACCATCCTAAACCAGATGATTTAGGCAGGATCCTAAACTAGTAGATAACTAAATCTAGCCTAGATGCCAAGTTGACCTTTCTGAAGTTTCCCTGAGCACAGAGAACAAGCAAAGACAAGGGCACCTCCTTCCTACTTACGGCTGCCACTCAACTCCCAAGGTTTCAAGAAGGAAAAAGATCTTCTTACAAAAAGGATGGAGGGCCCTATGGCAAGACTGGGAGGAAAGTTAGTATTTTTTTTTAAGATTGTGGAGGTGTGCACTATGTTCACTTTACTATGAAGGGCAAAAGGAAGAACATAGAGTATATCTTTTGAAGTAGATAATATCACTATGAGTAAAATCTAGGCCTTAGATTCTATGGAAAACGATCTATTTAATGGTTAGATGAGACTTAACAGAAGGTCTCCAGAAGTTGAGAAGAAATGGAACAGGGCGTTTCCTCCTCTATCGTTAAAAGGAGGATAAATTAGAAAAGTTAGGAGTTCTTTTTCCACTGTGAGTCCATAAAGACTGTTTTGCTGAATCATGCAAAAGGAACTGGTTTTAAGCCAGTTCACGTCCTTCCCTCCCTCAGAAGTGAAACTCCAGTTTACCTCATGGCTACAAATAGGATAAACTCCAAGAATGTCTTACCTTGGCCTTCCTTCCCCTCCAAGTCTTCCTACTGCTGCACTTAAGAGTAATTCAGTGACATGCTCCCATTTTCTTACCCATTTTCAAAAGACAAAAGGTTTCCTCCTTCAAGAGAATGGTTCCCACTTACTAAGCCCCAGAAGACCCCTGGAAAACACATATTTTGCTTAGTGAAGATGTACTATGAAGAAGCTGCTTCTACCACTTAAAGAAACAGCGATAAGGTAAACTCACCCAATGTAGCACCCAACCTCTTTAGTTGTTTACAATGATCAGGGGTAAGGTAGAGAAATACATTTTAATTTTTTCTTCTCAAAAATACCTGGATCAAAAATTGACAGTCTGATTTGGGATCATATACAGAATAGAAAATTGGAAAAATCAGGCAAAAATCCATGTGTTATAAACATATAAAAGGCTCAAACTTCTCTTCCCGGTAAGGTAGGGAATACTATACCTGATCCTAGGCAGACTTGTATATTAGTTAATAAATGCAGATATTTCTACCGTGTTCCTAACTATGGCTCCCTGATAAAGTACCACTTTTGATCAAATCTAGATGGATCTAGAGGCCAATAAACATTAACAAAACCCCAAAAAAGTATGGTTAGCTTAAAAAGTGACAGCATTTATAACTGTTGGCACAGTAAATACGTTTTATGCTAATATTTAATCTATACAAGCTAAGAGTTCTGGAAATAGTTTATGTTTCATGGGGATGGGGGATGAGGGCTGCAGGTAGAAATGGGAAGGAACACAACTCTAAAAATCCCAAGGATTGCTGGAGAAATATTACTACCTAGATCCTAAGTATAAGAATGGCCATAAGCTGTATTTCTAAAGTATTTTTCTGCATTCAAGGTTTGAATATTCCATTTCTCAACCTTTTTCTGGCCTAGTCCTATCTTTCACAAAGCTTAACTTTTCCCTATTCAGTGGCTGGAAAAGGGACTTAAGAGGTTATAAAGGGTTGGATAGGCATATGATGTGTAAGAATCTGTCCCTGGTTCTCTGCACAGCCCTGTCCAATCACTGATTAATTTCATAAGCCTGTCTCCCTGGATACTGTATATAAAAAGGATATAATCTGGGGAAGAACTGTTGTCAAGCCTTGGAGCCCCACAGTGTAGTGGGACCACTAGTACTCCAGAACCATAATATAACTAGACATGCCTGGAATGCTTCTGATGAAAACTAAGCAACTTCCAGTTTGCTGATTCAGGAGCTGTTAAAAAAAAAAAAGGGCAACACCGATTTACTACTCCTATCCATAATGGTAAAACTGCCAAGTCAGATCACAGGTCATCAATTTGGCTATCATCAGCAAGCTCATGTGCTAGAAGCAAGGTAGAAAGCGGAGGGGACAGTGAGGGGCAAGCCACTGGAAAACAAGAGAGTCTCAAAGTTGGGGAGTACACGTGTCCTGGAGCCTGGAACGGCCATCACTAGCAAGAATAGGCCACTCCAGCGGAACAGCGTCAGAAAGTCCTTCCCTCCAAGTGTTGCAAGTTCTGGAATCTCTGAAGGCACACCTACGCAGAGTGTTCTTGGCTCTTCCTAAAGCTGTTATCAAATCATATCTTGGCCATTGGAGGCGGCTCTGGACAAAAAGTCTTTCGGCCACCTACTTGGCAGCTAGTGGTTTTAAATTTCACATTTTGTGCCCAGAAGCCTGCAAATACCACTGCACCCTCAGATGATACGTTGGCCTTCCTGTAACCTATAGCCAGCAGCTGTGTCCTCCGACTTTGGCTTTAGACACCCATCCTCCCCAGGGAGCAAATTCCAGAACGGAGGGTGGGAGGGCGGTGCGACCCTGGGCACTAGTCCGGGGAAGTGATCGTCAATGCCGCCCCGCCCCTGCGCCCTCGGCCTGACCACGCTACCTGCACAGTTTACTAAGACGAGTTAAATGGACAACAAACCCTCCCGCGGGCGGTGAGTTTCCAGAACCCGCAGAACACAATTTTATCCTCCCCACCCCCCACCTTGGCGTGGCCTTGCCCAGCCACGCCGGAGGCGGGGAGGCCAGGAGGGATCGAGTGGCCCGCGCAGGGCAGGCCGAACGGGTGCCAGCTCCCAGCAGCGCAGCCGACGCTGAGCAGAGGCCACACGGCCTGGCGCGCGCCGGAACCAGTGCGGGGGAAGGCGAGGGCGGCGCAGGGGGCTGAGCGGCCGGGAGGACGGCAGGGAGAAGAAACAGGGAAGGCACCTCCGAGTCCGGCGCAACCGAGGCCAGGACAGGGCTACGCGGTGGCCACTTACGAGTCTCCCAGAAAGTCGTGGAAACGGATGCGGCCGACGGTGGTATTGGCCTCAAAGTTGGGAGCCACGTCCCCGAGAAGCAGACCTCCGGGCATGGCGACGGTGATGAGGGGGCGCCGCTGGGACAGCAAGCAACCGGTTGGTTCTGGCGAAGAAGCAGCCTGTCCCAGCGCGCGGAGGAATAAACGAAGGCGCGAGGGGCGGGGACTGGGGCGGCGGGGGCGGGGCCGCGGGAGGCCGGCCGCTGGGGGCCGGGCCGCGGGGGCTGGGCTGGGCGCGGGGCGGGGCGGGGCTGGGCGCGGGGCGGGGCTGGGCCGGGCCGGGCTGGGGCCGGGACGCGGCGCGAGCTGGACTACCGCGGTCGCTGTTGGTGGCGCCGCCGGGCCTGCGACTAGGTGGCATCCTTCAGACACTATAGGCCGTCTCTGCACACGTGATGCGGGGCTCGGTCACGTTGCCCCCTGGAAGCTTGAGGATGCGCCAGGTTTGACTCTGCAGGGCGTACGCGCTTTAGGGATGGAAGGAAGAGGAACGCGGCAGGAAGGCGAGCCCCAAGGTGGAGAATCGCCTGGGCGCGCAGGCTGCGGCGGCTTCGCACAGCCGCCCTGGGCGCTGCACGGGTCCGCGCGCACCCTGCTGCGCACCCACTCGCGGCCAGCTCCCTACAGAGGAGTGGAGTGACTGCTCGACTACCACCCCTCTTTTAGTGTGAGCGTCTGGAGTCCTGACCGCCCCAGCCAGCCCAGCTACGATGAACTGTCTAAGAGGATGTGGCAAGACCCAGAAGTATGGGTGACCTTATGTCAGAGGAAGTGGCTTTCTTATTGCAGCAAAAATTCCCGTACCAATGTCAGTGCTAGGGTAATGTAACTAAACTTTTATTTATTTTTATTCTGCCCTCCCCTTTCTGTTTGTTATGAACCATAAAATATTCAACACAATTATCTTGAAATCTAAATATAAAATTTAAAACATACTCTTTGAGACCTACTGTGTGCAGGTCAACTCTGTCACCCAGGGAGGTGGGCGGCTTAGATTCATTTATTTGCTATGAGCCAAGTACAAGGTAGATAAGATGCCTGTCCTCTTGGAGCTTTCCTTCTTGTGAAGGGAAACCGGTGACAGACAATAAGCACACAAACCAAAATATGTTAGACAGCAATCAGTCGTATTCAGAGAACTAAAATAGGGTTATGTGCCTAGAGGGTGACTGGGGGGCTGCTTTGGTTTGGGTGGTCTGGTCTGGGAAAGCCACCAGGATAATGTAGGTAAACTAGTCAGCTCACGGTAGGTGCTCTGGAAATGGTAGCTATCGTTTGGATGATGACACTGGCTCATGCAGTAACTCTTGCTTTGCCTGCTGTGTGCTGGACACTGTGCCAGGCCATACAGTGGAGAAACACAGTCCCTGCTGTTACAGGGAAGGCATATTTATATGCAATTATAATAAAATGTAGGGTAAATTCTGATGGGGGAAGGTGTAAATGATTGGAGTTCAGAGATGAGAAAAATCCTCTGGATGGGGCTGGCAGGTTTAAGGCAGGGGCATGGCAATGTTGAGAGTAGTGACTCACATACTGTGATTTGCGTTTTCATCACAGTGATGTGTTGGTGCGTGCATGCTAATCATATTTACCGAGTTCTTCAGTGACCCAGGACTTGCAGTAAGATTACTGGTAAAAATTTCTAGCCACTTCACAAAACCGTTTAAAGCTAATGTAATTTAATCTCTAATTTGGCTCCAAGTTTTAACAGCTCCTTGTTTTAACTCCCTTTGTAGGGAAGAAAGAGAATAGTTGGGAAAGAAGAGTAGTTTGGCCTAAGGCACTGTTAACAATATGTTGTGGAAATCAGCTAGAAAACACAATACTCTATAAATATGGAGAATGAATACAGAAACAGATTATTGATGTCTGTCAAAGGCATAATTATATTATTGTCTGTTGTAAATTAAGCAAATATAATAAAATACTCATTAGAATTTACAGTGCCAGAAGCTGTACACTGGCAATGCTTCTGCACTCTGTGAACTTGTTTGCTTTAGACTTTGGAGCATTTTAAATTGTCTTGAATTAGCTGTCCACTGAAGGGGGCCAGCCCCTCCACGCCTGTGGGTGTTTCTCGTCAGGTGGGATGAGAGACTGAGGAAAGAAATAAGACACAGAGATGAAGTATAGAGAAAGAACAGTGGGCCCGGGGGACGGCGCTTAGCATACGGAGGACCCGGCACTGGTCTCTGAGTTCCCTCAGTATTTACTGATCACTATCTCTACTATCTCGGTGAGGGGGATGTGGCAGGACTATAGGATAATGGTGGGGAGAGGGTCAGCAGGAAAACATGTGAGCAAAGGTCTCTGTGTCGTAAATAAGTTTAAGGAAAGGTTCTATGCCTCGATGTGCACATAGGCCAGATTTATGTTTGACTTTACACAAACATCTCAGTGCAGTAAAGAGCAGTATTGCCTCCAGCATGTCTCACCTCCAGCCATAAGGCGGTTTTTTCCATCTTAGTAAATAGAATGTACGTCGGGTTTTACACCGAGACATTCCATTCCCAGGGATGAGCAGGAGACAGATGCCGTCCTCTTATCTCAACTGCAAAGAGGCCTTCCTCTTTCACTAATCCTCCTCAGCACAGACCCTTTACTGGTGTCAGGCTGGGAGACGGTCAGGTCTTTACCTTCCCACGAGGCCATATCTCAGGCTGTCTCAGTGGGGAGAAACCTTGGACAATACCCAGGCTTTCTTGGGCAGAGGTCCCTGCGGCCTTCCGCAGTGCATTGTGTCCCTGGGTACTTGAGACTGGAAAATGGCGGTGACTTTTACCAAGCATACTGCCTGCAAACACATTTTTAACAAAGCACACCCTGCGTAGCCCTAAATCCATTAAACCTTGAGTCAACACAACACATGTTTCTGCCAGCACAGGGTTGGGGCTAGGGTTACAGATTAACATCATCTAAAGGCAGAAGAATTTTTCTTAGTTCAGAACAAAATGGAGTTTCTTATGTCTTCTTCTTTCTGCATAGACAACAGTAACAGTCTGATCTCTCTTTCTTTCGTCCACATCAGCATTTTGAAAACATGATTTTTCATAAAAATATCTGGATTTTTGTCTCCTGAAAGGTCAGAAGATCTAGCAACACAGCAACACCAGGCCCATGTTCCATCTGGCAAACAGTGGCTGCTGAGTAGCCTTTTAGAGGGCAATGTTCTCTGTTACTCAGAAGGTCCTCTGCCAGTTACTAACATTAGAGTAGAATTGGGAGGAAAAAGAAATAGTTCTTGCATTCTTATCTGTCAAAACTGTGCAAATGAAAGCTTAACTAAGGGCTGTATATTTCAAGAAAAAAATGATCATGTTTCTTTGTGAAAGTAGAGAATGTTCCATGAACTTAATATGCAAACAAAGTCAGAAGAACGCTGTTCTGCCTGGCCTTCGTAGGTAATTGAGTTTAACATCTGACTTATACCAAAGGTAGGTGCTCTGTGGACTGGGCCCCATTCCAGAGGGAAAATTTTAAAGCTATTTTCCTGAGGGTTAGTGAGATGTATAATGGGAAAGGAGGAGGGGAGGAAGGACAGAGGAGACATTCCAGGGAAAGACCGGAGTGTGGAAAAGGGAGAGCTTGACTAAGAAAGGATTTACTTTCCTTAGAGAGAGGGTGGAGGCTCTCCTATCAGAAAAAGTGTTTTCATACAGCTATAAGGGTCGGAGAGAACCTTGAAGTCCTTACAGTAATCTGAGGGACAGGAAAGAATGGATTTCAGGCATTTCCAGAGGGCTGTGACTCTGGGATGACTCACATCTTCTCTTCTGTCTTTACTGCTTTGACAGAAGAATAAAATGAACAGATTAGCAATGGGCATTTGGAAAAACAACAGTGCACCATGATGCCTGTCTCTCTCACTAGATTGTGAACTCCTAAAGGTTTGACTATATTTTATTAATGAATATTTGTGACCTGTTACACATAGTGGGCATGAGGACTACGTTGTACAAAGTATTAGAGAAACATTGGGTCGCCTTCCTGCAGCCACAACAGCAAAGTTTCTTGTTTGTCCACAGCTGGGAGTAAAAGAGCAAGATGTCTCTAGTTATACAGTCATGTGATACAACATTGGACCACATATACTACGGTGGTCTCATAAGATGATAATGGAGCTGAAAAATTCCTTTCGCATAGTGATGTCTTGAGGATCCTGACCCTGTGAAGCCCTAGGCTAATGTGTGCATTTATGTCTTTGTTTTTAAGTTTAAAAAGTTTCAAAAGACAATAACCTTTTAGAATTATAAAAAAGCTTATAGAATAAGAATATAAAAAAGAAAATACAGTATTTTGTATAGCTATACAATGTGTTTGTGTTTTAAGCTAAGTGTTATTACAGAAGAGTCAAAACATTAAAACAATTTTAAAGTTTATAAAGTAAAAAAGTTATAGTAAGGTAAGGTTAATTTGTTATTGAAGAAAGAAATTTTTACACATGAATTTAGTGTAGCCTAAGTGTACAGTGTTTATAAAGTCTACAGTACATTCATTCACCACTCACTCACTGTCTCACCCATGGCAACTTCCAGTCCTGCAAGCTATATTCATGGTAAATGCCCTATATAGGTGTACCATTTTTTATCCTTTTTTTTTTCATTTTTTTTTTTTAAGACAGGGCCTTGCTCTGTCACCCAGGCTGGAGTGCAGTGGTGTGATCATAGCTCACTGCAGCCTCAAGCTCCTGGGCTCAAGCAGTCCTCTCACTTCAGCCTCCTGAGTAGCTGGGACTACAGGCACATGCCACCATACCTGGGCAATTGTTTTATTTTTGGTAGAGACGGGGTCTTCCTAACCTGTGTTGCCCAGGCTGGTCTGAAATTCCTGGGCTTAAGTAGTCCTCCCACCTTAGCCTCCCAAAGGGCTGGGATTACAGGCTTGAGCCATATTTACCATGGTGTTATAATTGCCTACAGTATTCAGTATAGTAATGTGCTGTGCAGGTTTGAGGCGTAGGAGCAATAAGCTATACCATGTAGCCTAGGTATGTAGTAGACTATACCATCTAGGTTTGTGTAAGTGCACTCCATAATGTTCACACAATGACAAAATTGCCTAATGACACATTTCTCAGAACATATCCCCATCGTTAAGTGATGCATGACTGTAATTAGAGCTAGGTAAAAATCCCTGTACCAATGGGAGGAGACATATAAAACTAAAATTAATGTTAGGATGGTGAGATTGTGTTTTTTTTCAACTCTATAAACTTTCTTGTTAGATTTGATTGTCTTTTCAGAAATAAAGAAAGCTTGGGCACAGTAACCTGTACATATCATTAAGGCAGTCCTGTCAACCTTCAGTGAGTGGGGCTGATAATCTCTCCACTGCTTTTCTTTATCATCGTAATAGTTCGTTTTCATGATGCTGGTAAAGATATACCTGAAACTGGGTGATTTATACAGGAAAGAGGTTTAATGGACTTATAGTTCCACATGGCTGGGGAGGCCTCACAATCATGGCAGAAGGCAAGGAGGAGCAAGTCACATCTTATGTTGATGGTGGCAGGCAAAAAGAGAGCTTGTGCAGGAAACTCTCATTTTTAAAACCATCAGATCTCGTGAGACTCATTCAGTATCATGAGAACAGTGCAGGAAAGACCTGCTTCCATGATTCAGTCACCTCCCATTGGGTTCCTTCCATCACGTGTGGAATTGTGGGAGTTACAATTCAAGATGAGATTTGGGTGGGGATACAGCCAACCCATATCATTCTGCCCCTGGCCCCTCCCAAATCTCATGTCCTCACATTTCAAACCAATCATGCCTTCCTAACAGTTCCCCAAAGTCTTAACTAATTTCAGCATTAACTCAGAAGTCCCCAGTTTAAATTCTCATCCAAAACAAGGCAAGTCCCTTCTGCCTATGAGCCTGTAAAGTCAAAAGCAAGTTACTTCCTAGATACAATGGGGTTACAGGCATTGGGTAAATACCGCCATTCCAAATGGGAGAAATTGGCCAAAACAAAGGGGTTATAGGCCCCATGCAAGTCCAAAATCCAGCAGGGCAGTCAAACTTAAAGCTCCAAAATTATCTCCTTTGACTCCATGTCTTGCATCTGGGTCATGCTGATGCAAGAGGTGGGTTCCCATGGTCTTGGGCAGCTCCACCCTTGTGGCTCTGCATGGTACAGCTTCCCACTTGGCTCCTTTCACAGGCTGGTGTTGAGTGTCTGTGGCTTTTCCAGGCACACGGTACAAGCTGTTGGTGGATCTACCACTCTGGGGTCTGGAGGATGGTGGCCCTCTTCTCACAGCTCCACTAGGCAGTGCCCCAGTAGGGACTCTATGTGGGGGATCTGACCCCACATTTCCTTTCTGCACTACCCTAGCAGAGGTTCTCCATGACAGCCCTGGCCCTGCAGCAAACTTCTGCCTGGATATCCAGGCATTTCCATACATCCTCTGAAATCTAGGCAGAGGTGCTCAAACCTCAATTCTTGACTTTTGTGTGCCTACAGGCTCAACACCATGTGGAAGCTGCCAAGGCTTGGGGCTTGCACCCTCTGAAGCCATGGCCCAAGCTGTATATTGGCCCCTTTTAGTCATGGCTAAAAGAAGCAGCTGGAACACAGGGCATCAAGTGCCCAGACTGCACACAGCATGGGGACCCTGGGCCTGGCCCCTGAAACCGTTTTTTCCTCCTAGGCCCCCAGGCCTGTGATGGGAGGGGCTGCCGTGAAGACTTCTGACATGCCCTGCAGACATTTTCCCCATTGTCTTGGGTATTAACATTTGGCTTCTTGTTATTTATGCACATTTCTGCAGCCAGATCGAATTTCTCCTAAGAAAACGGGATTTTCTTTTTTATTACATTGTCAGGCTGCAAATTTTCTGAACTGTTATGCTCTGCTTCCCTTATGAAACTGAATGCCTTTAACAGCATCCAAGTCACCTCTTGAATGCTTTGCTGCTTAGAAATTTCTTCTGCCAGATACCCTAAATCATCTCTGTCAAGTTCAAAGTTCCACAAATATCTTAGGCAGGGGCAAAAAGCTGCCAGCCTCTTGGCTAAAACATAACAGGAGTCACCATTTCTCTAATTCCCGACAAGCTCCTCATCTCCATCTGAGACCACCTCAGCCTGGATTTCATTGTCCATATCATGATCAGCATTTTGGTCAAAGGCATTCAACAAGTCTCTAGGGAGTTCCAAGCTTTCCCATATTTTCCCGTCTTCTTCTGAGCCCTCCAAACTGTTCCAACCTCTGCCTGTTAGTCAGTTCCAAAGTTGATTCCACATTTTTGGGTATCTCTTCAGCAGTGCCCCACTCTACTGGTGCCAGTTTACTGTATTAGTTCATTTTCACACTGCTGATAAAGACATACCTGATACTGGGTAATTTATATGGGAAAGATGTTTAATGGACTTACAGTTCCACATGGCTGGGGAGGCCTCACAATCATGGTGGAAGGCAAGGAGGAGCAAGTCACATCTTACGTGGATGGTGGCAGGCAAAAAGAAAGCTTGTTCAGGGAAACTCCCATTTTTAAAGCCATCAGGTCTTGTGAGACTCATTCACTGTCACGAGAACAGTGCAGGAAAGGCCTGCCCCCATGATTCATTCACCTTTTACTGGGCTCCTCCCGTGACCTGTGGAACTTGTGGGAGTTAAATTCAAGATGAGATTTGGGTGGGGACACAGTCAAACCATATCAATCATGTTTAATGTTGTCATTATATCTACTACTCCCTATTATATCTACTACAGGACTTCTACAATCTGGAGAGAAATCAAAGTAGGAAATGTAGGAGTGAAAATGAAAGACAACAGCTAATAAAATGCTACAATGAGAAATAACTCTCAGAGGGATTTTGGAGTAGTAAATTATTATTGTTATTATTTGATTCAGGACCTCACTTCACCCATGCTGGAGTGCAGTGGCATTAACTTGGCTCACTGCAGCCTCCAACTCCTGGGCTCAAGTATCCTCTGCCTCAGACTCCTGTGTAGCTAGGACTACAAGTGTGCCTACACTCCCTCATAAAGAAAGCTGGCTACTTGGTGATTGCACAGGACCATTGATCTGGATACTGGCTATTACATGTGTTTAGTTTGTAAAAATTAATCAAACTGTATATTTAAGATAATTGCTGTTTTCTCTGTGTATTTTGCAGTACTTCAATAAGGTTAAAAAAACAAGAAGAAAAGAAAAGAAAAAGAAATTGCCACTGTGTGTACATTAGAATAGTTGTATATGAACTATTATTTTCCTGAATTGTTCAAAAAGCTCACTCCAGTGTTTCAAAACAAACTTCAGGAAGTTTCAGTCAATGTTGCTAAATTGTTAAAATCACTATAATTACCAGGAAGGTTCTTCTTACATGAAAAACATTGTTGAGATCAGGCTTTCTTTATAAAACCTTTGTTTAGATGCATCCTGGGTGTAGAGGTTCATTGAACGATTGATAGCCCATAGCCTCTGGCTGTGATTGAGTAGATAGCCCACCCAGAGATGGTAGACATCTTTGAGATTCTCTACTCTACAAAATTCTTTACATATTCACTCATTGAGATAGTTGACATCCCTGCAGCAAGTGGTACATTTGACTAGCCTGGTATCTGGTTGATATGGTTGACTGTGTCCCCACCCAAATCTCATCTTCAATTGTAGTTCCCATAATCCCCACATGTTGTGGGAGGGACTCTCATGGTGTTCTTGTGACAGTGAGTTCTCACAAAATCTGATGGTTTTATAAGAGGCTTTTCTCCCACTTTGCTCTGCAGTTCTCCTTGCTGCTGCCATGTGAGGAAGGATGTGTTTGCCTCTCCTTTTGCCATGATTGTACGTTTCCTGAGGTCTCCTTAGCCATGCTGAACTGTTAGTAATTAACTTCTTTCCTTTATAAATTACCCAGTCTCAGGTATGTTTTTATTAGTAGCGTGAGAACGGACTAATACACTGGTGATCTCTCAGTGCATGTTAGTGCTTTTCCTGAAGATCCTTCCCTCAGGATATTTGCCTTTTAGTAAGTAGCCATCAGACTATAAAGGATCCCTGAAGTTTTGACTGGGAGTCATTTTGATGTAGCCTAAAAATAGACCACTATACTTTAATTTAAAAAAATTTACCAGATAATGTGCTCAACATACACCCTTTCCATTTCACAGAGTCTCGGCCTCACCCTTTCTTCACTCGTGTGTGAGCCACACCCAGGTTCAGGGAGGGAGAAAAGAATATTGAGTGTTTGAGAAGATCAGTTGGGCATTACTTAGTGATAAAAATAATATAGTTTTTACATTTTGGCTCATCAAAATGTTCTTTATGGAGAACTTATCCAGTGGTCACTGCAGAGTGTTAGAGTCATAAATCTTTACAGTGGAAGGGAACTTTGAGGTCATATAATACAAACCCTATCTCCAACCCCCCTACCACCATTTTAAAGCTGAAGAAACTGAGTTCAAGTCAGGAATGGATTTTTAATTTTATCAAATGTCTTTTGGCCTTTAGTAACACAAAGCATGAAGCTTTTCTCCTTAATCTATTAGTGTAATACATGAATACATTTCTAAATGTTCAATCACCTTGTATTCTTAGGCTAAATCCTATTTGGTAATACGGTTTTATTAATAGATTCTTAGATTAGCATGGAGGCTGCTGCACATCCATTTATACTTCCTTATTTTCTAATAGAGTCACTGCTGTGTTCAGGTATCCATTCTCGGTGTAGCTAGCTGTCTTGGGGAAGTCGACCTCATTTCCAGCTCTAGAGATAGTCCTGACTGGTCCAAGATAATCAGTATTAATGTAACTGGGGAATTTATTAGAAATGCAGAGTATCAAGACCCATACCAGACCTACTGAGTCAGAAACCCTGGGGATGAGGTCCAGCAATGTATATTTTAACAAGTCCTCCAGGAGATGCTGATGAGCTGGTCTAAAACAACTCCATTCTGGTGATTAGGGTTGGTTCAGTTATGAGCATGTAATCCAACTCTTGCTAGTAAGCAATGACGCTTGCTAGGTGAACTTCTGCGAAAAGTGTCTTTGGCTCCTGAGTAGAAATCTAAAAGAGTTAGTGTTTCATCTTTTTCTGGAAATCATGTCTGGATGCTTGGAAATATTGCAATCATGTTGCTACCTAACCAGGAATGAAATAACACAAAGAATGACAGACCAGGAAGATGGAAAGGATGGATTCTTTTTTTAATTTCCAACTTTCATTTTAAGTTCAGGGGTACATGTGCAGCATGTGCATGTTTGTTACATAGGTAAATGTGTGCCATGTTGGTTTACTGCACAGATCATCCCATCACCCAGGTATGAAGCCCATCATTCATTAGCTATTCTTCCTGATGCTCTCCCTCTTCCCATGCCCTGTCCTCTGACAGGCCCCAGTGTGTATTGCTTCCCACAACGTGTCCATATGTTCTCATCATTCAGCTCCCACATGTAAGTAAAAACATGTGGTATTTGGTTTTCTGTTTCTGCATTAGTTTGCTAAGAATAATGGCCCCCAGCTCCATCCATGTCCCTAAAAAGGACAAGATCTCATTCCTTTTTATGGCTATATAGTATTCCATGGTGTATATATACCACATTTTCTTTGTCCAGTCTATCATTGATGGGCATTTAGGTTGGTTCCAGGCCTTTGCTGTTGTGAATAGTGCTGCAATGAATATATGCATGCATGTATCTTTATAATAGAATGATTTTTATTCCTTTGGGTATATACCCAGTAATGGGATTGCTGGGTTGAATGGTATTTCTGCCTCTAGGTCTTTGAAGAATTGCCACACTGTCTTCCATGGTGGTTGAACTAACTTACTTTCCCGCCAACAGTGTAAAAGTGTTCCTTTTTCATCACAACTTCCCCAGCCATCTGTTGTTTTTGACTTTTTAATAATAGCCATCTGACTGGTGTTAGATGGTATTTCATTGTTGTATTGATTTGCATTTCTGTAATGAACACTGATGTTGAGCTTTTTCTCATGTTTGTTGTCCACATCTATGTCATCTTTTGAGAAGTGTCTGTTTTGTCTTTTGCCCACTTTTTAATGGGGTTGTTTGTTTTTTTCTTGTAAATTTGTTTAAATTCCATATAGATGCTGGATATTAGACCTTTGTCAGATGATAGATTGCAAAAATTTTCTCCCATTCTGTAGGTTGTCTGTTCACTCCAATGATAGTTTCTTTTGCTGTGCAGAAGCTCTTTAGTTTAATTAGATCCCATTTGTCAATTTTGGCTTTTGGCGTCTTTGTCATGAAATCTTTGCCCATGCCTGTGTCCTCAATGATATTTCCTAGGTTTTCTTCTGAAGTGTTTATAGTTTTGGGTTTTACATGTAAGTCTTTAATCTATCTTGAGTTAATTTTTGTATATGGTATAAGGAAGGGGTCCAGTTTCAATTTTCTGCATATGGCTAGCCAGTTCTCCAGCACCATTTATTAAATAGGGAATCCTTTTCCCATTGCTTGCTTTCATCAGGTTTGTCAAAGATCAGATGGTTGTAGGTGTGCAGACTTATATCTGGATTCTGTATTCTGTCCCATTGGTCTATGTTTCTGTTCTTGTACCAGTACCATGCTGTTTTGGTTACTGTAGTCCTGTAGTATAGTTTGAAGTTTGGGAGCATAATGCCTCCAGCTTTGTTTTTGTTGCTTACAATTGCCTTGTCTATTCATGCTCTTTTGGGGTTCCATATGAATTTTAAAATAGTTTTTTTCTAATTCTGTGAAGAATCTCAATGGTAGTTTAACAGAAATAGCATTGAATCTATAAATTACTTTGGTCAGTATGGCCATTTTCACGATATTGATTCTTCCTATCTATGAGCATGGAATGTTTTTCTGTTCTTTTGTGTCTTCTCTGATTTCTTTGAGTGGTGGTTTGTAGTTCTTGAAGAGGTCCTTCACTTCCCTGGTTAGCTTTGTTCCTAGGTATTTTATTCTTTTTGTGGCAATTGTGAATGGGATTTGGCTGTCAGCTTGCCTGTTGTTGGTGTATAGGAATGCTAGTGATTTTTGCACATAGATTTTGTATCTTGAGACTGCTGAAGTTGCTTATCAGCTTAAGAAGCTTTTGGACTGAGACATTGGGGTTTTCTAGATATAGGATCATGTCACCTGCAAATAAAGATAGTTTGACTTCCTCTCTTCCTATTTGAATATGCTTTATTTCTTTCTCTTGCCAGATTGCCTTGGCCACAACTTCCAGTGTTGACTGGGAGTGGTGAGAGAGGGCAGCCTTGTTTTGTGCCACTTTTCAAAGAGAATGCTTCCAGTTTTTGCCCATTCAGTATGATATTGGCTGTGCATTTGTCATAGATGGCTCTTATTATTTGGAGACATGTTCCTTCAATACTTAGTTTATTGAGAGTTTTTAACATGAGGGATGTTGAATTTTATCAAAGACTTTTTCTGTATCTATTGAGATAATCATGTGATTTTTGTCTTTAGTTCTGTTTATGTGATAACTTAACATTTATTGATTTTTGTATGTTGAACAGCCTTGCATCCCAAAGATGAAGCCAACTTGATCATGGTGGATAAACTTTTTGATGTGCTGCTGGAATCAGTTTGCCTGTATTTTGTTGAGGATTTTTGCACTGATGTTCATCAAAGATATTGGCCTGAAATTTCTCTTTTTTGTTGTATCTCTGCCAGGTTTTGATATCAGGATGATGCTGGCCTCATACAATGAGTTAGGAGGAGTCCCTCCTTTTCGATCTTTTTGAATATTAAATTGTTTCAGTAGGAGTGGTATTAGCTGTTCTTTGTACCTCTGGTAGAACTCACCTGTGAATCTGTCTGGTCCTGGGCTTTTTTTTTTTGTTGGTGTTGGGGTGATCAGACCCAACACCAGGTCATGGGGGTGACAAAGTCCAGCAGAGTCAAAGGATTGAGAAAAAGACAGTTTGAGGGAGAAAGGTGGAACCAGGAGGCCATTGTTAGTGTATGGAGGCTGTGAAGGCTCTGAGCTCTGGGAGCCCATGCTATTTATTGGTAATCCAACAGAGAAACAGGTGGTGAGAATGTGGAGGTCAGAAGAGCAGGTGCATGATCTACAGCTGTGATGGTTTGGCATTTATAAGGAACATGTTCTGCTACTTGAGATAATGAAGATACAATCGAACTAGGAGCCTAGGAGGGCTAGAAGCAAGGAGCCAGCAAGTCTAGACACATTCCAGAGGACATTGTGGCAGACATGCGAGCCCTGCCTCAGCTTTCTTCCCAACACTCAGCTTTTTCCCAACAGTTGGTAGGCTATTTATTACTGCTTCAATTTCCAAACTCATTATTGTCTATTCAGGGATTCAGTTTCTTCCTGGTTCAGTGTTGGGAGGGTGTATGTGTCCAGGAATTTATCCTTTTCTTCTAGATTTTTCTAGTTTATGTACATAGTGGTGTTTGTAGTATTCTCTGATAGTTGTTTGTATTTCTGTGGGGTCAGTGGTGATATCACCCTTATCACTTCTGATTGTGTTTATTTGAATCTTTTCTCTTTTATTCTTTATTAGTCTAGCTAGCAGTCTATCTATTTTATTAATTTTTTTCAAAAAACCAGCTCCTGGATTCATTGATTCTTTGAAGGGTTTTTCATGTCTCTGTCTTCTTCAGTTCTACTCTGATTTTGGTTATTTTTTGTCTCCTGCTAACTTTGGGTTGGTTTGCTCTTTTTTCTCTAGTTTGTTTAGTTGTGATGTTAGGTTGTTAACTTGAGATCTTTTTAGCTTTTTGATGTGGACATTTAGTGCTATAAATTTCCCTCTTAACAGTGCTTTAGCTGCATTCTGGAGATTCTGGACATTGTAGTTTTGTTCTCATTGGTTTCAAAGAACTTCTTGATTTCTGCCTTAATTTCATTATTTAACCAAAAGTCATTCGGGAGCAGATTGTTCATTTTCCATGTAGTTATATGGTTTTGAGTGAATTTCTTAATCTTGTGTTCTAATTTGATTACACCTTGGTCTGAGAGACTCTTTGGTATGTTTTCAGTTCTTTTGCATTTGCCAAGGAGTGTTTTACTTCCAATTATGTGATCAATTTTAGAGTAAGTGCTGTGGCGATGAGAAGAATGTATATTCTGTTGTTTTGGAGTGGAGAGTTCTGTATATAGCTATCAGGCCCACTTGATCCAGAGCTGAGTTGAGGTCTTGAATGTCTTTGATAATTTTCTGTCTCAATGATCTGCCTAATATTGTCAGTGGGGTGATAAAGTCTCCCACCATTATTGTGTGTGAGTCTAAGTCTCTTTGAAGGTCTCTAAGTACTTTCTTTTTCTGGGTGCTCCTGTATTGGGTGTATATATACTTAGGTTAGTTAGCTCTTCTTGTTGAAATGAACCCTTTACTGTTATGTAGTGGCCTTCTTTATCTTTTTTGATTTTTGTTGATTTAAAGTCTGTTTTGTTATAAACTAGGATTGCACCTGTTTTTTTCTGTTTTCCATTTGCTTGGTAAATTTTCCTCTATCCCTTTATTTTGAGCCTATGTGTGTCTTTGCACGTGAGATGCGTCTCTTGAAGATAGCATACTAATGGGTCTTGGCTCTTTATCTAGCTTGTTATTCTGTATCTTTTTTTGGGAGGCATTTAGCACATTTTCATTTAAGATTAGCATTTTTATGTGTGGATTTGATCCTGTCATCATGATGCTGGCTGGTTATTTTGCAGGTTTATGTGGATACTTCATTGTATCATTGGTATGTCAGTGTGTTTTTGTAGTGGTAATGGTTTTTCCTTTCTATATTTAGTGCTTCCTTCAGGAGCTCTTGTAAGGCAGGTCTGGTAGTGATGAATTTCCTCAGCATTTGTTTGTCTGAAAAGGATCTTATTTCTCCTTTGCTTATGAAACTTAGTTTGCATATGAAATTCTGGGTTGGAAATTCTTTTCTTTAGGAATATTGAATACTGGCCCCCAATCTTTTCTGGCTTGTAGGGTTTCCACTCAGAGGCCCAATGCTTGTCCGATGGCCTTCCCTTTGTAGGTGACCTGGTCTTTCTTTCTGGCTGTCCTTAACATTTTTTTCTTTTTTCTTTTTTTTTTCAGATGGAGTTTCACTGTGTCACCCAGGCTGGAGTGCAGTGGCACGATCTCAGCTCAATGCAACCTCTGTCTCCTGGGTTCAAGCAAATCTCCTGCCTCAGCCTCTTGAGTAGCCTGAGTAGCTGGGACTAAAGGTATGTGCCACCACACCTGGCTAATTTTTGTATTTTTAGTAGAGACAGGGTTTCACCACGTTGGCCAGGCTGGTCTTGAACTCCTGACCTCAAGTAATCCACCCACCTTGGCCTCCCAAAGTGCTGGGATTACAGGCATGAGCCACTGTGCCCAGCCAACATTTTTTCTTTCATTTTGACTTTGGAGAATCTGCTGATACATATCTTAGGGATGATTTTCTTGAATAGTTATCTTACTGGGGTTCTCTTGTTCCTGAATTTGAATGTTGGCCTATCTTGCTAGGTTGGGGTCATTCTCCTGGATGATATCCTGAAGTATGTTTTCCAACTTGGTTCTATTCTTCCTGTCTCTTTCAGGTACCCCAATCAGTTGTAGGTTTGGTCCTTTTACATAAACCCATATTTCTCAGAGGTTTTATTCATTCATTTTCATTCTTTTTTCTCTATTCCTGTCTACCTGTCCTATTTCAGAGAGATAGTCTGCAAGCTCTGGGATTCTTTGCTCTGCTTGGTCTATTCTGCTATTAATACTTGGGATTACATTGCGAGTACTTGTAGTATGTTTTTCAGCTCTGTGAGGTCGGTTATGGTCCTTTCTATACTGGCTGTTTTGGCTGTCAGCTCCTGCATTGTTTTATCATGATTCTTAGCTTCTTTGCCTTTGGTTAGGACATACACCTTTAGCTCAGCAAAATTGGCTTTTGTCCACATTCTGAAGCTTACTTCTGTCATCTTGGGCTCAGCCTAGTTCTGAGCCCTTGCTGGAGAGGTGTTGTGATCATTTGGAGGAAAAGGGGCTCTCTGGGTTTTTGAATTTTCAAGATTTTTGCGTTGATTCTTTCTCATTTTTGTGGGCTTATCTATCTTCGATCTTTGAGGTTGCTGACCTTTGGATGGCGCTTTCATGGATTGTTTTGTTTTTTCATCTTTTTCTTTTAGCAGTCTGTTTACTCTTCCTTACAGATGCTGCAGTTAGCTGGGGGTCCACTCTACACCCTGGTTGCCTCAGTTTTTCCTGTACTTGGAGGTATCAGCAGTGAATGCTATGAAACAGCAAAGATGGCAGCCTGCCCCTTCCCCTGGAAGCTCCATCCCAGGGCGGTACTGTCCTGTTGCCAGCATGAGCACACAGTATGTAGGGGGTGGCTGGAGACCCCAGTTGGGACATCTCACCTAGTCAGGAGGAACGGGATCAGGGATCCACTTAAAGAAGCAGTTGGGCTGTTTTTGATAGAGCAGTTGTGCTGTGTTGGGGATCCCATCAGCCCCTTGTTGGTTTGGGCTCTCCGAGGCCCACAGGCTGAACTGGCTGAGGTGCCCAACAGCCAAGTTGGTGGCCCGCCTTCCCCTCTGGGCACTCTGTCCCAGGGAAAAATTAGAAGTCTGTTGGCCACAGAACATGGGCGGGGGTGGCTGGATACCCCAGCTGGCATGATCTACCCGTCAAGGAAAAGTGGATCAGGGTCCCACTTAAAGAAGCCATCTGGCCATGCCTCAATAGAACAGCCTTGTTGTGCTGGGAAACTGCTTCTGCCCTTGTTGGCTTGGACTCTCTAAAGCCCACTGGTTGGAATGGCTGAGTCATTCAAACAGCCAGCTTGGTGGCCCTCCTTTCCTCCCCTCCTCCCCTCCCCTCCTCCTTCCCTCCTCGCCTCCCCTCGGGCATGCTATTCCAGAAAGAGATCAGGATCCGTTTGTGGAATACAGGCAGAGATGGCTGGAGGCCCCGGTTGGGAGGTCCCTCCCAGTGAAGAGGAATGGATTGGGGCCCCACTTAAAGAAGCAACCTGGCCACGTTCAGGCAATGCCGCTGTAGTGTTCTGGGAAGACCCTTCCTTGTTTGAACCATATGGATTCTCCGAAGCCCATAGACTGAAATGGCTGAGTCAACCAAACAGTAGAGATGGCAGCCCACCCCTCCCACTGGGGACTCTGTCCCATCACAGGTAGGCTATATTCCAAGCCAGTAGGTCTTATTTTGTGAGGTGTTGTGGAAGTGGGACCCACAGATTGATGCTGCTTGGCTCCCTGGATTCAGCCCCCTTCCTAGGGGTATGTACAGACCTCCCACCTTGCCTGAGTTACAGACACCTCTGTTGGGGATCCTGGGGCCGGAATATGTAAAGTTCCTGGATCTCTATGCATGCCTGAGCAGCTGCTCTGCTGAGACTCAACACACCTCTGTGTGTGGGACCCAAGACCCTGGTGATGTGGGTGCACAAGGTGGTGTGGGTGCACTGATCTCCTGATCTGTGGGTTGCAAAGATCCGTGGGAGAAGCGTGGTTTCCTGGGGTTGCACACTCACTCACTGCTTCCCTTGGCTGGGGGTGGGAGTTCTCTTGGCTTCATGTTGCTCCCAGGTGGGCTATTGCCCCACCTTGCTTTTCTCTCTTCTCCATGGGTCGAGTTGTTTCTGTGATCAGTCCCAGTGTGAGTGCCTGGATATTTCAGTTGAAGGTGCTATATTCACTTGCTCCTTTCTTCCTCTCCCTGAGTGCCACAGACAGCTGCTGCTTCTAATTGGCCAACTTGGCCCCCCTCCCCTGGGTTCTTAATAACGTAATTAAACCACAACCCATCCTAAAACTTATCCTACTTCTAGATTTCTGTTGAGTTCAGAAATACCCTCATTTTTAAAGATAATTGGAGTCAGGGTTTCTGTTACTTGCTGTCAAAAGCATTCTTAATTAGACTTGCTAATATTTGACTTTGGATTTTAAGAATAACCCAATATGTATTTTATTTTTACTATTGTTTAGTATTTAGTATACTTTAGTATCAGAATTAAATTTGTCAGTGAAGTGTATTGGGAAGTTTTTCATAGTTTGTACTGGCCGAATGTTTAAATAATCCAGGAATTATCTGTTCTTTATGATGTATTAGAACTTACTGATAAAACAAACTGGAACTGGTGCTTTTTTTGAAGTTAGAGCTTTTGCTGCATTTTCAAGTTTTTCTTTGATTATTGGGATAATTTCCTCTCTTCATGAGCTAATATTAGTAATCTGCATTTTGCTAAAAATTTGTCTATTTCATGTAGATTTTCTAATTTACTGGTGGGTATTTGGAATTTTAGAATTTTAAAAATCTCTTAATGCTGAATTATTTTTCTTTCCTTGTTGTAGATATTTGCATTTTCTTTCTCTTTTTTTCTTGTTCACACTTATTAATGGTTTGTATGTTGTATTCTAAAAACAAAAACAAAATAAAACAATTGCTTTATTTACCAGGTCTATGCAATTTTGTTTTGCCATGCTTTCTAGTTCATTAATTTTGAATTTTATTTTTATTAGTTTCTCCTATTCTCTGTTGGCTTATTTTTTTTTTTTTAATTTTTTTAAACTTTCTTGAACTGGGTGCTTAGATCATTTACTTTCAATCTTCCGTATATATTAAGAAGATCACTGAAAGCTCTGAATTTTCCTTTGAGTTAAGACTTTGGTTGTATCCCATAAGCTTTGAAATGGAGTGTTGTTTCATTGGTAATTTCAAACAGTCTGTGTTCTAGTACTGATTTCCACTTTAATCCAAGAGTTGTTTAGAAAACTGTTTTATAATGTCCATGTAATTAGATTGAGTTTGCTGTCTTTTTCATACTGATTTCTTGTTTGATTACCATGTGATCTGTACCTTTAGATATTTGAGATTTTATTTGTGACTTAGTCCTTGATAAATGTTTATTACTGCTTCATGGCTGTTTAAAAAGAGTGAGTTCTTTCTGTATAAAGGATACAACAAATATTATCTATGTACATGCCTTTCTCTACTTGTTTGTTGATCTATGTATGATGTCCATCACCCCTTATCTGCTTAAGCTCTAAAGGTCTTTTCTCTTTTCCCTACTCTTTCTCTTTCTACATCATCAATTCCTGATTCTCTACTAGATCATTATATTAGCATACAAACATGCTCTAGTACAACTCTCTCCAGTATAAATATGATGTGAGCCACATATGTAATTTAAGATTTTATGGTAGCCATATTAAAAAAGTAAAAAGAAAAAAAAGTAAATTTAATTGTCATATATTTCATTTAACCCAATGTATGTGAAATATTATTTCACCCTATAATTGATGTAAAAATTATTGATGAGATATTGTATATATTTTCTCATACTGAGTCTTCGAAATGTGGTGTGTAATTTATACTTATAGCATATCTAAATTTATGCTAGCCACATTTCTTTTATATATACATATTTTTTATTATTATACTTTAAGTTCTAGGGTACATGTGCACAACGTGCAGGTTTGTTACATAGGTATACATGTGCCGTGTTAGTTTGCTGCACCCATCAACTCGTCATTTACATTAGGTATTTTTCCTAATGCTATCCCTCCACCAGCCCCCCACCCCCCGGCAGGCCCAGGTGTGTGATGTTCCCTGCCCTGTGTCCATGTGTTCTCATTGTTCAACTCCCACTTATGAGTAAGAACATGCAGTGTTTGGTTTTCTGTCCTCGTGATAGTTTGCTTAGAGTGATGGTTTCCAGCTTCATCCATGTCCCTGCAAAGAAACATTAACTCATCCTTTTTTTTTTTTTGGCTCCATAATATTCCTTGGTGTATATGTGCCACATTTTCTTAATCCAGTCTATCATTGATGGGCATTTGGGTTGGTTCCAAGTCTTTGCTATTGTGAATAGTGCCACAATAAACATACATGTGCATGTGTCTTTATCGTAGAATGATTTATAATCCTTTGGGTATATGTCCAGTAATGGGATTGCTGGGTCAAATGGTATTTCTAGTTCTAGATCCTTGAGGAATCACCACACTGTCTTCCACAATGGTTGAACTAATTTACACTCCCACCAACAGTGTAAAAGCATTCCTATTTCTCCACATCCTCTCCAGCATCTGTTGTTTCCTGACTTTTTAATGATCGCCATTCTAACTGGCATGAGATGGTATCTCATTGTGGTTTTGATTTGCATTTCTCTGATGACCAGTGATGATGAGCATTTTTTCATCTGTCTGTTGGCTGCATAAACGTCTTCTTTTGAGAAGTGTCTGTTCATATCCTTTGCCCACTTTTTGATGGGGTTGTTTTTTTCTTGTAAATTTGTTTAAGTTTATTGTAGATTCTGGATATTAGCCCTTTGTCAGATGGGTAGATTGCAAAAATTTTCTCCCATTCTGTAGATTGCCTGTTCACTCTGATGATAGTTTCTTTTGCTATGGAGAAGCTGTTTAGTTTAATTAGATCCCATTTGTCCATTTTGGCTTTTGTTGCCATTGCTTTTGGTATTTTAGTCATGAAGTCTTTGTCCATGCCCATGTCCTGAATGGTATTGCCTAGGTTTTCTTCTAGGATTTTTATGGTGTTAGGTCTTACATTTAAGTCTTTAATCCATCTTGAGTTAATTTTTGTATAAGGTGTAAGGAAGGGATCCAGTTTCAGCTTTCTACATATGGTATACTGGCCACATTTCAAGTCCTCAGCAGCCACCTGTGGCTAGTGGCTGTTATATTAGACAACTTAGTTTTCATATTTTTTCAGGTTTAAAACTTCTAGTTTGACCCAACGTTTCCTTCTCCTACCACTTATTTCTCTGTTCATGTTTCTTTCTTTCTCTTCCTTCATACATTGAAATACATCTTGTTAAATCCAGGCTGGGTGTGGTGGCTCATGCCTGTAATGCCAACACTTTGGGAGGCCAAGGTAGGTGGATCACTTCAGCCCAGGAGTTTGGGACCAGCACCTGGGCAGCATGGCAAAATCCCATCTCTACAAAAAAAAAAAAATACAAAAAATTAGCCAGGCGTGGTGGTGTGCACCTGTAGACACAGCTACTGGGGAGGCTGAGGTGGGAGGATTACTTGAGCCTGGGAGGTTGAGGCTGCAGTGAGCTGAGATCACATCACTGCACTCCAGCCTGGGCAACGGAGTGAGAACCTGACTGGGAAAAAAAAAAAAAAAAGAAAATCCAATGGAAGCTTTTCTTCAATTTCAATGCATTTGACAGAGTTGATTACTTTTTTGGAAACACTTCTTTCTCTGCTTCCGTTACACCAAACTCTCCTATTTTTTTTTTTTGTTTGTTTGTTTGCCTCTCACTGGCTACTCTCTCTGTTTCACCTCTTCTCTTACTTCTGAATGTTGGTGTGTCTCAGGAAGTTCTCTGGCTCTTTTCTCTATCTGTAGTTTCTCTGGAGATGATATCTAGTCCAGCGCCCTTAAATAACATATATATGCTGTTGATGCTAATTTTTATCTTCAGACAAGCTCAACATTTGTATAGCCATCTATCTGCCAATTTGACACCTTGATCTGAATATGTCACAGACATTTGATATATATTCAAAATTTAATTCTTAATTCTCTTTCTTTCTAACCACAACAAACTCATTCCATCCACAAATGAATATACTATTTTCCCTTTCTCTTTAGAAGGATCATCCTGATTCCTCCTTTTACTCCCCTCCCACAGGAGCCTTAACACTAAGTCCAAGCGATTCTATCTCCAAAGCATATATTGTAACTGTTCGCCTTTCCCCATCTTTACTCCTAGCCTCTATATTCAAGTATGCTTATTATTAATTTATTTCCTCTTAGTTCCAAACTACCTTTCTTTGTCCTACTTCACGATACTGGAGATGTACACTGCAAACTACATTTTTTTCTCAGATATCTGGCTTTATATTAGGTTCAGCCAATTAGGGGCTAAGGGAGTGCTGAAGGGATTCTCAAAGTTGGAGAAGGAAAAAGAGATTTATCTTCTCCTGTTATTTTTGCCTTCTCCACATGACAGTGAATGGGTCAGCACATACCTGGCCCCGGCAGTATTCCTTGTGGTGGTGAATTGTTCCTGTGGTTCCAGCAAGTGAATGTCCCCCGGAGGTTTCTTCTTCACCCCAGCAGTGGGTGACATGTTTCTGCACCAGCTGAACCATCTCCTTAGAGGCCCAAATGTTAGTCTGCTGGAGTCCTTTCTCTCTTTCTAAGTTTCCTCCTTGTTTACCTTTCCTTTCATCTTAAGAGTGATAGCTGTAGTCTGAGGTTGCCACCTCTATTACACCATACAATTCTCTTTTATCCTTTTTAGTGGTTAACCACCTTTTTACCAAGTTAACAGTTCTTCATGATTATACTTTCTTTATTTGAATTACTGTGTGGTTTCTGTCTCTTGACCGGACACTGGACTCTTAACGGCAGTAGTGATCACTGCAAGGACTGTAGCATAGGATGGATATTTCTGAGTGTAGTGGAGTGCTTACAGACAGAAGATGAAAAGCTCAGGTCCTTAAGCTCTTGGTTTAGTTCTCGGTCTGAGAACTAGAGGACTTCCATGGCAGCCCTAACAGGATCTTTTATGTCTTGTAGCCACAGGGTTGGTATTGTTAAAAATTAAACACAAAATTTAATTTTACAGGTTGCAGAACTACAACATCAGTAATTTTCTTGGGAAATTAATGCCAAGTTTCTCATGTGAAAGTTAGGTCATTGATTGGGAAGGAGACCCCAAAACTTGAAATGGGCACATATGGTTGGTCTCAAGTGAGAGTGAGAATCTTGAACCCCTGAGTTGCTCTGAGTCTCCCTTGCCAGTGGGAGTATCTTGCTCTTGTGTATCTGCAGAATTTTTTTCTCCCCTCAAAAACCCTGTAATTGCCTCTCCTGGAGCAAATACTTCACAAACAAGAGGATGCTCACTCTCCTCGGAGCCTACCTGAAACACCCGTTACTGCTGCTAGACCCATAACTAGGGTCAATTGTCATCATATTCCAGTGGTGTGGAAGTGGCAGCCAGTCTGTGAATATAACTCTGGCCCTGAGTCCCAAGTTTGCCCCTTATTCCAAAGAGTCACTGTTTGCTATGCAGAGGAAGTATGGGCCAAGATAACCTCACCAAACACCGGGTTCCAGATTCTCAAGCAGTCCCTTTCAACACCATGGTTTCAAAAAGTAAATTTGAGAGGTAATTTTAAGGCTCTTACATAGAAGAATTCTCCCCAAAGAAACATATCTATGGTGATTATTGTTCAATTCTGGACCTCTCAGCATTGTTTCCTTGCTTTGTCACTTATAAAATAAATATACTTCTAGCTTTCTGGCTGTATGGGTGATACATGGCATAGAAATCTTGGGTGGGAGAAATGGGGTGTCTGGCAGGGACAGCCCCTTTCTCTGAGATTTGTTCTCCTGAGCTTTCTGAGTGCTGAGTCATTTTTAGCAAATGGCTGCATTTTAGCTGTTGAAAAAGAAGATCTCTCTTCCAAGGAGAAGGAATGTGGGCTTGTCCTAGTCTTTAGATACTGAGCTCAAGTGTCCCTAAACTAAATTGTTTCATTTTACAGAGGGCTAGACAATTAAAGTATATAAACAGAGTATTTACATGTGTTATATAGTCAGTAACGCTGTTTCCCAAGAGTCCCCATGGGCAGATAGGTTTATTTTACAATTAACAATCACAACCCTTTGTGAAGTTTTGATTGGCAGATTAGAAGCCCAGAATTTACTCTTACACCTCTGGGGTTTTTGTGTGCCCACTTAGGTATGAAGTCAGTTCTTGTCAGTAAGCACTCAGCTTTCATTTCCATCTCATTAGCTGAGAGTACAATCCCACTGAAAACTCAACTGTGGCTTGAGGCCTAATGGGCACCTGTTAATTTTCCTCTGTTCCATAGTCCCATCTCTCAGATCAACAACCTGATCATAAAGGTAGGTGATAAAGGTAGTTACTCATAAAGATGTGTAACTAATTCACAGAGAAGCATCTCTAGTGGAGGATAAACAATTGAAAGTACATAATTCTGGCCAGGCACAGTGGCTTATGCCTGTCATCTCAGCACTTCGGGCGGCTGAGGTGGGTGGATCACCTGAGGTCAGGAGTTTGAGACCAGCCTGGCCAACATGGTGAAACCTCATCCCTATTAAAAAAAAATACAAAAAGTAGCTGGGCATGGTGGTGGGCACCTGTAATCCCAGCTACTTGAGAGGCTGAGGCGGGAGAATCGCTTGAACCCTGGAGGTGGAGGTTGTAGTGAGCCGAGATTGTGCCATTGCACTCCAGCCTGGGTGACAAGAGTGAGACTCTGTCTCAAAAAAAAAAAATTTAATTAGAAAAAACAAAGTACATAATTTTGTTTGGAGGCGCTGAGAAGAGATGATATTGGTGTTGCCTTTTTATATAAAGTTAGGTATTTAATATTTAAGACAATTTACAAAGTTAAACTTTGTGCAAGGTGCTGGTATAAAGCATTGATGAGTTTATAGTGTGATGTTCTTTTCCCTGACTTCTTTTCCTATATTTGCTCATTTGTCATTCCATTTTCTCTAAACATTTCTTCTTTACTATTTTTTCTCTTACATTATTTAAGTGTGTTACAAAAATAATTGTTGTCTATTGAGATTCAGCTATCCCAAAGCAGGAAGATATGGATTTTGAGTACTTCTTATAGCCATGGTGGGCTGCACTCCTGCATTTTGCCTTTGCCACTAACAGCACCTGCTTATGGGACAGTTAGAGGCATGGGAGTAGTAGAAGCAATGCTAGGTGCCCTACCGAGATCAATTCCATAATGTTAGACACTAAGCTGTAGCCATCTGCCCCTTCGAAGTCTATCTTTGTCTTGCTCCAGCATTAATTAGTACAATTCCTACTTCTCTCTGAAACAATTTTAGTTTTAGGTCATTCTCTCTGCCTAGCTACCTTGCCCATATGAAGTCTGGAAAATTTCGTTACGCAGAGGTGTGCCACCCAGAAGAAAATGGTTCGGAGTGGCTCCATTAAGCATAATCTGAAAACATAAAGCCATGTATTTACGATTAGTCTAGAATGAACTCTTGAGGGTTGGGGACTCTGGCTTTGTATTTTCTTGTGGCTGCCTAGCACATTATGTTTTACTTGCCCAATAAGTCTGTTAATGCTTACTTAATAAATACCAACAGCCATGAATAAAAACTAAGAAGCTAGACTGGGTATTTCAATAGTCAGGTGGACAAATTCTGTGAGAACAAACAAGTAAGAGTGACTACCTTATTCACCTTCCTTTCCAAGCTGGGGTTTGTTTTTTTATTCCAGCCTTGTAACCTAACCTGGTATCAGAAACTGTTGATCCAAGGAGGAAAAATGCTGAAAACAAGGCCAGAGATGAGAGATATCTACACCTCAGGCTGTTTCGTAACAGGTGTTTAGTAAAGACATCACTTTTAGTTTATATTGGCTCATACTCTGCAGAGCAAGTGGAACGAGACAAATCTGGGAACCTGGGCTCAGTGCCACAGTTATACTCAGAGACCTGCTGCCACTTCCAGGCTGCTGGAACATGTTGAAATTGGACTCTAGTTATGGGTCTAGTGGCAATAAGAAGTGTTTGGGGTAGATTTTGAGGAGAGTGGGCATCCTCTCTTTTGTGAGGCATCAGCTCCAGGTGAGGCAATTACAGGGTTTTCAAGGGGGTAAAAAAAGAAAAGACTTCTTAAAAGACACGGAAGGGCAAGATAGTTTCTTTTTCTACAAGTTTATTAGCTTTAGACTTTATAGTCTATGATCCATTTTGAGTTCATTTTGTATAAGGTGTGACATATAGTTTAGGCTTATTCTTCATATGTATGTATGTGTGTATGTATGCATGTATTGTGTGTATATGTATGTATGAATTTATGTGCATCTGAATGTCCAAATGTTCCAGTATCATTTGTTAAAAATACCATAATTTCTCCACTGAATTCCTTTTACATCTTTAAAGAAATCAATTGACCATAAATACAAAGGTTTATTTCTGGACTGTCAATTCTATTTCATTGATTTATCTTTTCCTTTGCCAATCCCACATGATCTTGACTACTATAAAGTCTTGAAATCAGGTAGTATGACACCTCTAATGTTATGTTTTGTTTTCTTTCTTTTGGCTAATCTGGTTATTTTGGTTTTCCATATAAAATTTTAATTGTCTAAATCTACAAAAAAACCTACAAAAATCCTTTGGATTTTCAATTGGAATTGCATTAACTCTGTAGATTAGGAGAATTTACATTTTAACAATATTGAATTTTCCTTATCCATGAATACTGTATCTCCACATTTATTTATATCTTCTTTGACTTTTTCATCAATCTTTTGTATTCAGCAAATTGATTGTGCACATATTTTATTGTTTATAACTAAATATTTTCCTTATTTTTGGTGCTATTATAAGTGGTATTTTTGAAAAAAATTCAGATTTCAATTATTCATTGCTGGTATATCGGAATATAATTAACTTTTTTATATTGACTTGTACATATGCTGGCACCTTGCTAATTCACTTACTAGTTTAAAAGCTTTTTGTAGATTCAATGAAATGTTCTACATGAACATGTTATCTATGTATGAATAAATATATTTTTGCTTTTTCCCTTCCAATATTTATATCCTTTACTTCTTTTTATTGCCTTATTACACTGGCTAGCACTTTCAGTACACTGTCGAATGTGTCAAGAGAGGACAACTTTTTCTTCCCAGTCTTAGGGGGAAAGCATTAGTCTTTCATCATGAAGTATAAAGTTAGATGTAGGTTTTTCATAGATGCCTTTTATTAGTTTAAGGAAGTTCCCTACTCTTTCTTGTTTGCTGGAGTTTTTTTTTTTTTTTTTTTTTTTTATCATGAAGTGATTACTGAATTTATTCTAAACTTTTTCTTCATCCAATAAGATATTCATGTGATTATTCTTTTTTAGACTGTTGACGTGGTGAATTACATTGATGGCTTTTCAAATGTTGAGTGAGCCTTGCATTCTGGGGATAAGCCCCACTTGATCATGCCATATTATTAATATCTTTTAAATATATTTTTGGATTCAATTTGATAATATTTTATAAGATTTTTGTGTCTGTGCTCTTAAAGGATATTGGGTTGACATTTTCTTAATTGTAATGTCTTTGGTTTTATTGGGTAATGCCAATCTCATAAAATCAATTGAGAAGTGTTCCTTCCTCTTCTTTATCTGGAAGAGATTATGTAAAATTATTATTTCTTCCACAATGTTTGGTAAACTTCATCAGTGAAACCACTGGGGCCTAGAGAATTCTTTTTGGAAGGTTTAAACTACAAATTCAATTTAAAAGTTATACATACATATATATGAAATAAATCATTGCTTTAACATAAACTTTTTTCTTCCTGAATGAATTTGGTAATTTTTTTTAATTTTAAAAATTAGTGCATTTTGTCAAATTTACAAACAGCTTTTCATAGTACTGTTCCCTTGTTATCCTCTTAAGGTCTGTGGGGTTAATAGTGATGTTTCTTCTCTCATTTCTGATGTTTCTAATTTGCATCTTATTTTTCTTGGTCATCCAGGCTAGAGGTTTATCAATTGTGCTGAACTTTTAAAATAATCAACTTTTAGTTTCATTAATTTTCTCTATTGTTTTTCTGTTTCCAATTTATTTGAGTTCTGGTCTTCTAATAATACTTTCCTTCCTTCTACTTACTTTGGGTTTATTCTGTTCTTTTTCTAGTTTTGTCACTTGCAAGCTTAGATCCTTGATTTGAGATGTTGTTCTTTTCCAATATAAGCATTTATAAATTTCTCTAAATCACCGTTTTAAATGCCTTCTGCAAATTTTGATATGTTGCATTTTCTCTTTCATTTACTTTTCTAAATTCCTTTGTGGCTTTCCTTTTGGCCCATGGGTAATCCAGAAGTATGTTGGTGTATTAGTCCGTGCTTGCATTGTTATAAAGAAATGCCTGAGGCCAGGCACGGTGGCTCATGTCTGTAATCCTAGCACTTTGAGAGACTGAAGTAGGCAGATGCTTGAGACTAGCCTCAGCAACATGGCAAAACCCCGTCTCTACAAAAAATTAAAAAATTAGCTGGGTGTGGTGGTGCATGCTTGTAGTCCCAGATACTCTGGAGACTAAGGTGGGAGGATTCTTTGAGCCAGGAAGATGGAGGTTGCAATGAGCTGAGATTGTGCCACTGCACTCCAGCCTGGGTAATAGAGCAAGACTGTCTGTCACACACAAGAAAAAAAAAAAAAGAAAGAAAGAAGAAAAGAGAAATACCTGAGACAGGGTAATTTGTAAAGAAAAGAGGTTTAATTGACTTATGGTTCTGTAGGCTGTTCAGGAAACAGCTCTGGCATCAGCTTCAGAAGAGGCCTCAGGAAGCTTACAATCATGGCAGGTGAAGCCAGGAGTGGGAACACCACATGGTGAGAGCAGGAGCAGGAGTAGGGGGAGGTGCCACACACTTTTAAATGAGCAGATCTCACAAGAACTCACTCACTATTGTGAGGACAGTACCAAGAGGATGATGCTAAGCGATTCATGAAAAATCCACCCCCATGAGCCAATCACCTCCCACCAGGCCCCACTTCTAACATTGGGGATTACATTTGAATATGAGATTTTGGTGGAGACACACATCCAAACTTTATCGGTTGGTTTCCAAATATTTGGAGATTTACTAGATATGTTTCTTTTATTAATTTTTAACTTAGTTCCATTATGGTTCAAGAAGATTGTCAGGCCTCTGAGCCCAAGCCAAGCCATCGCATCCCCTGTGACTTGCACTTATACGCCCAGATGGCCTGAAGTAACTGAAGAATCACAAAAGAAGTGAAAATGCCCTGCCCCGCCTTAACTGATGACATTCCACCACAAAAGAAGTGTAAATGGCCAGTCCTTGCCTTAAGTGATGACATTACCTTGTGAAAGTCCTTTTCCTGGCTCATCCTGGCTCAAAAAGCTCCCCCACTGAGCACCTTGTGACCCCCACTCCCATCCGCTAGAGAACAAACCTCCTTTGACTGTAATTTTCCTTTACCTACCCAAATCTTATAAAATGGCCCCACCCCTATCTCCCTTCTCTGACTCTCTTTTCGGACTCAGCCCACCTGCACCCAGGTGGTTAAAAGCTTTATTGCTCACACAAAGCCTATTTGGTGGTCTCTTCACATGGACGCGCATGAAAAAGATTCTTTGTATGACTTCAGTTATTCCAAATTTGTGAAAGTTTGTTTTATGGTCCAGAATATGGTTTAGCATGGTGAATATTCCATGTGTGTTTGAAAAAAAAAGTTTTCTACCTTTGTTGGGTAGAGTGTTTTATAAAGGTAAATTATGTCAACTGGACATAACGTTGTTTGGGTCTCATCTGTTGGTACTGATTTTCTGTCTACTTCTATCAATTACTGTGAGAGGAAAGTCAAAGTCTCCAACTATGGTTGTGGATTTATCTAGTTCTCATTTCTGTTTCTGTTTTAAGTTTTTGGAACTTCTCTTAATAGGTGTGTACATTTAAGATTGTTATGTTTTCTTGATTAATTGAACCTTATCCCATTATGCAATATCTCTGTTTATCTTTAGTAGTATTTCTTGCTTTGAAATCTACTTTGATATTAATATAGCCACTACATTTTTTCTTTCGATTAGTGTTTGTATGGTATCTCTTCTTTCATCTTATTACTTCTATTCCCATCTATGTCTTTATTTTTAAAGTAGGTTTCTTGTAGATAGTTAGGTCTTATTTATTTTTAATCAAATTTGACAAACTCGATGTTTTAATTGGTGTGCTTAGATAATTTATATTTAATGTAATTATTGATATGTTTGAATTTATTTTATTATTGATTTTCTAGTTGTCTCCTCTGTCTTTAATTCCTCTGTTTTCCCTTTCTATTGATGTCTCACTATGTTTGCTGACTCTTTTTTTCTTTTTTCTGTATTTTGCTGTCGAACCCATCAATTGATTTCTTAACTTCACACAGTGTATTTTTTTCACTTCTAAAATTTCCATTTCATTCTTTAAAAAAATCTTTAAAAAGACTATTTTTAGAGCAGTTGTGGGTTCACAGACAAATTGAGTGAAAAGTACAGAGAGTTCCCATATGCCCTCTACCCCTACACATGCACAACCTCCCACACTGTCAACATCTGGTACCAGAGTGGTACCTTTGTTACGGGTGATGAACCTATACTGAAACCTCACTATCACCCAAAGTCCATAATTTACATAAGGGGTTTATTCTTGGTGTTGCAGATTCTGTGGGTTTGAACAAATCTATAATGACATATAGCCACCATTATAGTATCATACAGAATAGTTTCACTGCTGTAAAAATTGTCTATATTCTGCATATTCATCTCTCCTTCCCTGCTAAACTCTGGCAATCACTGACTTTTTTACTGTTTCTATACTTTTGCCTTTTCCAGAATATCGCATAGTAGGAATCATACAATATATAATCCTTTCAGATTGGCTTCTTTAACTTAATAACATGTATTTAAGTTTCTTCCTTGTATTTTCATGCCTTGATAGCTCATTCCTTTTAGAACTGAATAATGTTCCATTGTATGGATATACCACAGTGTATTAGTCAGGGCTCCGTGGAGGGACAGAACTAATAGGATAGATGTATATATGAAGGGGAGTTTATTAGGGAGTATTGACTCACATTATCACAAGGCAAAGTCACTCAATAAGCTATCTACAAGCTGAGGAGCAAGGAAGCCAGTCCAAGTCCCAAAACCTCAAAAGTAGGGAAGCCAACAGTGCAGCCTTGTCTGCAGCTGAAGGTCTGAGAGCCCTTGGCAAAACACTGGTGTAAGTCCAAGAGTCCAAAAGCTGAAGAACTTGGAATTTATTGTTTGAGGGCATGAAGCATCCAGCAGGGGAGAAAGATGAAGGCCAGAAGACCGAGCAAGTCTACTTTTCCATCTTCTCCTGCATGCCTTTATAGCTGTACTGGCAGCTGATTAGATGGTGCCCACCCAGATTGAGGGGGGGTCTGCCTCTCCCAGTCCACTGACTCGAATGTTAATCTTCTTTGGCAACACCCTCACAGACACACCCAGGAACAATACTTTGCATCCTTCAATTCAATCAAGTTGACACTCAGTATTAACCATTACACACAGTTTATTTATTCATTCACTTACTGAAGGACAGTCTTGGCTGCTTCAAGGTTTTGGCAGTTATGAATAAAGTCACTATGTACATCCATGTGCAGGTTTTTGTGTGGACATATGTTTTTAACTCATTTGAATAAATGCCAAGGGATGTGATTGCTGGATTGTATGTTAAAAATATGCTTAATTTTGTAAGATGGTTCTTTTTTTTTATAGTTTCTATTATTCTGCCAATAATTTCTGTTTTTTTCCCTTTGTTCAAGAGTGTTTATCTTTACTTTGTGGAGCATAGTTACGATAGTTGCCTTAAAATCTGTGCCTGATTATTCTACCATCTTGGTCTTCTCAGTGGTAGCATTTATTGACTGTACTTTTCATGCAAATTAGTAAACTTTTATTGGTTCTTTGTACGCTGAGTGATTTTAGATTGTATCCTGGACATTCTGAGTATTTAATTTGGATGTTTTTCATTAAAATCCTCAAGAGATTTGGAAGATTGTTTGCTTATTTGAGTAGGTAATCACACTGGTTTTGTTCAGACTATCTGTACTTTATGAGTGATACTTCCAATGTTATCTCAGTTTTCGGAACCTCTACTTGGCAGCTTTGAGTATGTTCCATGCATGCACAGCTCAGGGTTAAGCCTGGGCCTGTGCTAGGTCATACACAGAGTTAGGAGATCCATTTCTCTAATCTCTTATCTCCGGGACTCCCCATAGTCACCTACCTATATGTTTTCTATTCCTCATCCTCTGGCTCAATAGACCGGGGTTCTTTTGGAGTTTTGGCTGCCTGTGTTGCTACCAGGTCCTGTGACCAGGACCATTTTGGGTGCTATGTGGAGATGGAAAAAAGAGAGAGAAAATTTACCTACTGACTTACTCCAGTACTCTCTGGACCACAGGAGCCCTTTTCTGTTTGTTTAACTAGAAAAACAGAATTTCTATTGGGATTTTAGCCGACCATGCTACTTTTCACCCTGGCTCTGCTAGGCAAGCTGTGAAAATGGGGGAGGGAATGAGAATGCAAGGATTCCTTTCTATGTTCTTCAGCTTAAAGGATCCCAGCCTTCTTTCTAGACAGAAGGGATTTATCTGAAAGTATTAGCTGTCTGCAGCACCCCCATCGCAGCTCATTTGTGTGATTGCTTTCAGCCAAAGCCTGTGAAAAGAAAGAGGAAATAAAATGAGAAACTTAATCCTGTGCAAATTGCTGTTTCAGTTTTTGACTTCTCTTCATAATCTGACTGCATTTCTTTACCTTTCAGAGTCCTTAGGTAGTTGTTTTTTGTATTTTGTCCAGAGTTTTTAGCTGTAATCAGCAGAAGAGGTAGGCTTTATTGAATTCACTCTTGACTGTACTTTCTTTTATATTCTTTTTTCACTTCTATCTGTACTACCTCTCTCAAGATACAATGACTGACACTAATCCTATCCTTTTATTCTTTGAAGTAGAAACCATGACTATCCCTTTAAAGACCACATCTGTCACTTCAGGTATTTTTACTTGTGGCTTTCATTTGCTGGCTGAGCGGGTAAAGCCTGTTTAGGAGGAATACAATTCAAGAACCTCACTTTGAAGCTAACCATAGCAAACCTAGTTTACCTCTAGAATGCAGGTGACAGTGTGCAACCACTCCTGTCATCTGTCTTTTGTATGCTCTTCATAAGCAATCTTCCTCTTCCTTCCCAGTTCATTTATTTAGCCTCTGATTCATTCTTCTCTTCTCCCACCCCTTTCTCTTCTACCAGCCAGCCTACCAATACTTATTCTCTCTGAAAGGATCTTATCCTTTACCAGAAGTTCAGTTATTACCTCTAAGAACCAGTCCCTTCCCTTTTAAATTTTCTTTTCCCTGAAAGAGTCAGTTTTATGTATTAGAAAAATGAAGGTATATGTTTTCCTTTAAAGGGATTATAATCATTACAGAAAATTTGAAAGTTTTCAAAAAATTAAAAAAAAAACCCAGAATTTCCCAAAACCTGACTATCCAAAGAGAAGCACTTAATGTTATGTGTGTGATCTTGAGTGAAAATTTAAAATTTATATTAGAACATTTTATAAATTATCCAAACTTTTTGTACGAAAAAAACAGAAAATGTAAATAATAAGAAAAAAAAGCACTCATCATCCTACCATCTAGAAGTAAATACTGGTTTTAGTTCAGAGTATGTGTACAGATACGTGTGTGTGTGTTTGTGTGTGTGTTTGCAGGCTGCTTGGTTGGTTTGGGTGGGGAATAGTTGAGCCTGATCTGGGATCACAGCCTTGCTGTGTTGGAGAAAGGGGTCGGGTGGAGTGGGTGTTGGTATGCAAAGGTTGATTTAAATAAATGGTTTCGATTTTGGTATTTGGACAAGGCTTGAAGTGGAATCTCCTGGTGAACAAAATTGGGGAATGGAAAGAATTTGGTAGTGTTGTGTTTTGTGTCTTCCTGTCCCTTTTCTTCTGATTTCCCAAAGAGCTCACCCTGTTCTGTAGACTAAATCTTAGGCCTCTGTGGCAACAAAGACTATAGGCTAATGGCTTAGATGACAAAGAAAACAAGAGTTGGAAAGGGGCTTTCTCTACATTTCAATCAGAACATAGCAGGACTGCAGCACAGTCAGCACTGAAGTGAACTCCACTGCATCAGTTTTGTAGCATCAGGGAGTTCTAGAAAACAGTGCCTTGTGTTGGGAACTAGCATTCTACCAGTAACTATGATATTGGTGGAGCAAGGGTGAAGAGAGGACCAAAGTGGAGGAACATGAAGGAAAAACAATGAGCAAGTTATTAGAAGTAACCCATGAAGACTCCAAAAAAGAATTAGGGGTGACTTTACGGGGGAGAGAGGTCCTGGAGTCAAGAGCCTGAGGGTGTGTGTGTATAAATATGTGTCTATTTATATCTATATCAATCGCTATCTATATCTACATCTATCTTTCTTCGAAAATAGGACATTTTTACATCTACTATTGTATAATATTTCTTCCCTTAATAATATATCTTGAAAATCTTGTCATATCAAATATAGAAATATTTTATCATTTTAAATGGCTGCATTATATTCCATTGACTGCATGAGGATTCCATTGTAATCATTGTATGCATGTATGTGAGTATCAAAATTTATTTAACCATTATCTAGGTTGTTTTCAAGCTATTATCAATTTCTTATTAGCAGTTCATTTTATTATTAAAATAATAATGTATTTTTCTCCTTTAAAAAACAACATTGTTCTGGCTTCTCATACTTTCAGCCATAGAATCCTTAGATGGCATTTAAAAGTTTCTGACTTATTCTTTCTCATCTTTTCTGCATAACCACATTTAATCTGTTTTCAATTTGATATACATGGCCAGCGGTACTGCCCCAAAGGGAAGAGGCAAAATGGACCCTAATAGTGCCCACATGTTGCTCACCTTCTTTCCTGCCCATCTCAAGGCTCACTGTCTGGCAAGGATCTGTTAGACTTACATATTCTGAAATATAAATGTTGTAAAACTGAGTGGCCTGGCATGGTGGCTAACATCTGTAATCCCAGCACTTTGGGAGGGTGAGGCAGGTGGATCACCTGAGGTCAGGAGTTTGAGACCAGCCAGGCCAACGTGGTGAAACTCCGTCTCTACTAAAAATACAAAAATTAGGCCGGGCACAGTGGCTCACACCTGTAATCCCAGAACTTTGGGAGGCCGAGGCGAGCAGATCACGAGTTCAGGAGTTCGAGACCAGCCTGACCAACATGGTGAAACCCCGTCTGTACTAAAAATACAAAAATTAGCCAGGCATGGTGGCGGGTGCCTGTAATCCCAGCTACTCAGGAGGCTGAGGCAGGAGAATCACTTGAACCCAGGGAGGCGAAGGTTGCAGTGAGTTGAGATTGCATCACTGCACTCCAGCCTGGACGACAAAGCGAGACTCTGTCTCAAAAAAAAAAAAAAAACAAAAACAAAAACGAAAAACCAAAAACCGAAAACCAAACAAACAAAAAAACCCGAGTGGATTAGATTTCTCAGGGACATTTTCATTTTAAAGGCAACAAAGAAGTTTTAGAAGCAAATGATTGAAATTCTTAGGTATGTGGGAGAGGTGTTGCATTTGGTTTTGTTTTGAAGGGGTTCTGGGGAGGAGTTGGGGGAGCAGGATCACTTGGATACTCTTGAACTCCATCAGGACATGACCTGTTTTTCCTGAATGAAGGTCTGATCCTGGCGGTCCTGGTCTGTGTGGTGGGAATACTATACTATAGAACGTGGACTTACTGTGCATTTACTCCCAACTCAGCATTCAGTTATTTCACAGGGGGAGCTTGAAATCGGTCAGGGTAAGAGCATTTACACCATAGAAAGCAGAAAATACTACAACTCAGGTTTTTCATCACTCTCCTCCCAACCCAGATCCAGTTATTAAACATTACCAGCACAACATTGGCTTCTTATTCCTCAGTTTACCAGGCTGTTACTCAAAATTCACTCTCCAGCCCTGCTTTGGAGCAGTTGGGAACTTCAGCATTTTGATCCACCTTTTTGGAGCCACCTCATGTGAAAGATGGATGAGACCTTCGTCAGCAAACCTGGTAAGACCTCACCAGTCCTGTCCTGAGGAATGGGTGTTAGTTTTTGCCTTGCCCTTCACCCTGGAGAGTTAAGCATACGTTCTTTGGGTGGAGGTAAAATGTGACTACTCTCTCCACACCATGGGGAACATCAGAAACACAAGTATGCAAACACACATTCTTGTTCACCTATACACAAATAAATTCCCTTTTAGAGTGAAAACCAGACACTGTTTAAAGCGCCCACTTTAAAAATGAAAACTAAGACTTCTGAAAACAAGTAATAACAACTGATCTTTGGACTTAATTTTTTTTTGAGACAGAGTCTCGCTCTGTCACCCAGGCTGGAGTGCAGTGGCTCAATCTTGGCTCAGTGCAACCTCCACCTCCCGGGTTCAAGTGATTCTCATGCTTCAGCCTCCCTAGTAGCTGGGACTACAGGTGCACACCATCATGCCTCGCTAATTTTTTGTATTTTTAGTGGAGATGGGATTTCACCATGTTGGCCAGGCTGGTCTCAAACTCTTGAGCTCAGGCAATCCGCCCACCTTGGCCTCCCAAAGTGCTGGGATTATAGGGCTTGAGCAATGGTAAGGGAGGGGAGCTATAAGGAAGGAGAGGAAGTGAGATTGAGGTAGAAACTAGGAAAAGCAAAGAGAAGGGAGGGGAAAAAGGATGAAAAAGAAGAAAAGGGTGAGAAGTAAAAGAAGCAAGTAGGGAGGAAAAGTTTGGAGAGGGTGGATAGGAGAAAAAAGTGGACTGTGGAATGGAAGATGAGGAGCCTGCTGGGCTTTGGGGTGAGTGTGGTGGTTGGAGTTGAACTGTTTTGGTTTCCTTGGGCACAGGCCCTGAGAGGAGGTTACCCCTGCTCTGACTGCACTCAGAGGTTTAGTAACAATAATATTCTAAGCTTTTATTTTTATTTCCATCTTTATTGTCTATTTTTGACAATCAGAATATTTTCTACTGGGATTTTAAACATCTTCACCTTGCGACAAAATTACTTAGAACTAAAGATTTAGAAATTTAGTGATTAATATTAGATTGTATTAATATGTATAGCCTGTATTTTGCTTTGATGGATTTTAAACCTTACAGATTGCATTAATTATTTTTAGGAAAGATTGAGAATGTGTCATTTCATAATGTCTAGATATTGCATCTTATTAAAAAATAAACCTATTTTTAGTCTACGTAGGAGCTGGTATGAGGATCACACAATGCAAGCAAATAAAATGAGAAAAGATGATTCAACAAGAGGCTTCACTGATTTACTGTTTAACTGCTTTGACCAAAGTGCTTGGTTCTTATATGAATAAGAAAGGGGATGAGTTATCCACCAGAATGAAAGTTATATTCTGGTTTGAAGCTTCTGCTGTCAGATAATATAGTTTTCTATAGTGTGGAAGAACAGCATCATCTTCAAGCAAGGTGGAATTAAGCATGGACAGAACTGTGTTTCTCACCCAGGAGGAGGGTAGGTTTTTTTTTCTTTTTTACTTCTTAAAACTTATTTTAATATTATTCTTCCCTCCCCCACCCCATTGGGAAAAGGCTAAAACAATCTGGATGGGTTTAATTAGAAATTAATACATACTGTCATTGTATAAAGTAAATCAACATTGTGGCAACAAGGGACTATTCTTGGAAAAAGTGAAACCCATATTAACAAAATATGTCATGGAAGATCCCCACATAGTGATTTCACTGGCTGCCTGAAAGACAGACAGTGTAAAGGTCGATGTTCTGCATGTTCTCTGGGGCTTGTCCATGCAACGGAAGAAGGTCTTTCCCAGACTCAGCCAAGCCTAGTTAGCTCCAACCAGGCCCTAGACCAAAAGCAAGGGAAGAGCACATCCTTTCAATAGAATAAGGGTAGAAAGGGATTCTCTGAATGTAGTAACTATGAAGCTATGCCAAAGGTAGGCAGAAAATGGGCTTGGGAGCCAGACACTCCAGGGTTCAGTAGTTCCTACCCACAGTCTTTGTGTGCTTGCTAAATGGTGTACATTTCTTGTTAACCACGTTATTAAAACTTGATCAGCATGTAAGCTTTCTTCTGTTAGATCTTTTGGCAGCAAACAACCTTCCCCCCAAGCCTCTGAATTTTGGAGGAGGGTAGGCTTGATGAATTGTTTAGAAATTTTGTGTTTGGTGGTGGCAGGAGGGGAGGGATCATGCGGCCTTCTGGTCACAAGCAAGCCTGCAGAAGATTCAGTGGCCTTTCCAGTTGACTTAGACAGCCTGTGTCCCTGGTGTCACTGACTGGCACCTATAGCAATACTTGGTGTTATTTAGCTTCTTGTCACATACAACTTTCTTCTCTTCTTTCCTTCAATTGTCCCTTTCCTCCTGACTTCTGTGAGGGATAGCAGGATTGAGGCCACAGGCTGCCACTCAGGGCATTCACTCTCTGATAAGAGTCAGTAAGGCAGAGCCACTGGTGCCCCCTGAACCCCTGCTGCAGGTGGGCAGAGGCTGGGCTGCTAGTGTGGTATCCAAAGGACAGTAGCTGTGCTCACTATGGCAGAGTCTAATTTTGAGATGTTGGGGATTCTGGAGAAGAAACATTTTGTGTGCTGCTGAGTCATTAGGAATTGACCATTATAGGTAGTAAATAGCAGAACAGAAGAAAGAAACAAGACTGATCATGAAATAATTGGAGCGAGGAGTTCTGCTGACTGTAACAATGTAAGACATTTGCATGTACATTGTGTGGTTGATTAGGAAAGAAGCTCTTTGTTCTGAAATGTCTTCATCAGTGAAAGTTGAAGAGATATGCTCAGCTGGGATACAGTGAACTCAATCTACTCCTCCAGGACTGGATCTGCAGAACTCAGATCTACCTTCCATGACAGCTTCTGGCCGTTGGCATACAGAGCTCTCCTCTCTCTCTGCACGTAGCTTGTCACTCACTCAGCTTGTATTGATGGGGTGGGGCAGTCTCAGATTGTTTTATAGGTGCAATTATTTAACTTCTTTAGATGAGGGTTGTGCTTTATGTTACTCTCTGAAGCCTCATTTATTTGCCACATGGTGGGTACATGAAGATACATGCTAAATGAAAGTTGTGCAAAGAGCTCTGAACTTGGAGGCAGATGACCTTGGACTTTTACTCAGTCTGTGTTACACATGAGCTTGGATAAGACTGATCTTTCAGCTTTCTTCAGACCTTAAGCATGAGATATAAAACAAGTAGAACATATAAATAAATAGAAGAAAATATACACAAATATTACATGATCTTTGAATTGTAAGACTCACTAAGCATAAATGCCACTGAAGAAACCACAAAGAAGAGATTTGCCAGTATGGAAAGCTTTTTAATTCTATATATCAGAAAATATAATAAAATTAAGAGGCAAATGACCTATTGAGAAAAATACTTCTACTTGGTAAGTCGAAGTATAGAAAATAAGCAAAAGATACAGTTCACAAAGAAAAAAATACAATCAGCTGATAAATATATGTGGTCAAAGAAGTACACTTTAAATCTACAGTGAGATACTTTTTAATCAGCTCAAATTTTCAGGGGGACCCATTCAGTCTTATATGATGCTGGTGGAAGTGGAAATTTCCTGGAGCAGTGTGTATTAAGAGCCATAAAAATGCTATTTCCTTGAAGTTAACAAGAAACTTGCTAGACCTGTATGAAGGATGCCAACTTAAAACAATTTATAAAATGTATTTATTTATTTTTTTCATGTTGTATAGGTTTTAATGTTTTTGAAACAAAATTAACCCATGGTAGACTTTGGTGGACAATGTGAGTCTTCTACCTAGATACTCTCTAATTTAGTCAGGGTTTAATTAAAGAAATAGAAGTACTAGGATAAAAATGTATTTGTTTTTACTGGGGGACATACCATGTTTCTGAATGGAAAGATTCAGTTTTGTAGGTATACAAATTTTCCCAAATTAATATTTAAGTTTAGTGCAATTCCAATAAAAAATTCTAGTGGGATTTTATTGGGGAGGGGCAGGTGTGATGGGAATTGATGATGTGATTTTAATTTTTCTTTTATGTTCTGAGTAAAACATTTTCTTGGGGTGCAGAAAATTTTATGATGGAAGAATAAGAAAACTAAGAATATTTTGAATAGGAACAATAAGTAGGAAAAATGTTTGCAATGGGATATTAATATGTATTATAAACCCACAGAATCTGAAGACAAGAGTGATGGACTGTATATAGATGGAACAGAATAGAGTGACCACATATGAACCCTAGTGTATGTGGGAATTTAGCATGTGATAAAAATGAAGAAAAATACAGTGAGGCAAAAGGTGGTTTTGGGTCAATTGAGAATCAGTTTGGGAAAAAGTAACAATAGATTTTTACCTAAAAGAGTACAAGAAAACAAATTCCAAATGGAATTAGTTAAATGTGGGAGAAGGACACTAAAAAACTTGAAAATAAAGATGAATGCCTATATAATTTTGTAGTGAGAAAGACCTTTGTAAGTACAGAAAAGCTGTAAAGGAAAAGACTGATAGAACTGGTTATATAATAACTTAAAGCTACAAACTAAATTAATAAGCAAATAATTAATAATAAGCTATTTACAACAAAAAAATTAACAAAGTTAAAGTACTTAAAAAAGAAAAAGCCGAGAGACCTTGTCTGGCCACCCTCAGGTTGGGTAATTCACAAGAATGACACACAGTACTCAGGAAAGCAGTTTTATTATGCTTACAATTTTATTATAGCAAAAGGACACAGATAATAAAATCAGCAGAGGGAAGCGACATAGGGCAGAGCCTGGAGGGGTCCATGCACAGGGCTTCCCATCTTCCTCTCTCTACAGAGTCATGGATTGTGTTACCTCCTGGTTACGATGTGTGACAATACATACAGAATACTGCCAACCAGTGATGCTCACCTGAGCCTTTGATGTCCAGAGGGTCAAAGCCCTCACCATAAATCACATCTCTAGACTGGTGGCCAAAGCCCTCAGGCCAACAAAGATACTCATAACACGCTGGGCATTCCAGGGGCCTAGAGATCACCTCCCGGTAGCCAAAAGCCCTAAGTTAATTCTTCACTACACAGAAACCTATCATTTTATCCCTATCAAGTTGACAAAGTGTACCAGATGCCATCAGCGCTGGGACACATTTCTGGACATTTCAGCGCTCCCCATTAGATTTCTAAGGGCAGTATTTGCAACTCCATGCCTGAGGGCTTAAAAAAAAATGCTGAAGGCCCTGTGCCCTTTTCCTTAAGTAGCCCTCACTTGGCAGTGGCTCACACCTGTAATCCCAGCACTTTGGGAGGACAAGGCAGGTGGATCATGAGGTCAGGAATTCAAGACCAGCCTGGCCAAGATGGTGAAACCCCACCTCTACTAAAAATACAAAAATTAGCCAGGTGTGGTGGCAGGTGCCTGTAATCCCAGCTACACAGGAGGCTGAGGCAGGAGAGTTGCTTGAACCCGGGAGGGAGAGGTTGCAGTGAGCCAAGATCATGCCACTGCACTCCAGCCTAGGTGACAGAGTAAGACTCCGTCTCAAAACAAAACAAAACAAAATGGTAGCCCTCACTTAATGACTTTTGGAGTTGTCATGTAAGACCTTAGCCCTTTAGGTGGGATAATGCTGGGGCATTTTGTATTATTTCCCAGAGTTTCTCTGCAAGATTAAGTTCCAGTTGCCCACTGTGATAGGTGGCTTAGTAATGCACCCTTTATTGGCTGCCTTCGCTTCTGGTTACTTCTTACCCATATCCATCCCTCTGTATTTCTGTATTACTCAGATAAACTGCCTGCACTTGAATCCTTGTCTCAGTGTCTGCTTCTGGGAGATAACAAACTAAGACATAAAATTTAAAATGAAATTCAGAGGTGGCATGAGTACATGGAAATAGATGTTCTTCTCTGCTCCTTTGTGGAGTGTAAATTGGTTCAACCTTTTTGGTGGATACTTGGGAAATATTTATCAAGTAGCTTTAAAATATGCATAGTCTTTAACTTAGTAATTCTACTTCTGAGAATGTTTCCTGAGAAATAGCTATGGATGTGTACTAGGTTTTCTTTTCTGTTTTCTAAACAATAAACTACTTTGAAAATGAGGAAAGGACACTAAATGACATTCATGGGTAAAGCTTTTATGTCTCATTATATTAAAGGTAGGATGCAACAAATAATTGACTACAGTTTTTCTTTCATAAGCAACTATTAATCTTTAAAAAACTTTCCTCAGAGGTAGATTAACTTTTATTGAATATAGCTGTTAATAAGAAATTTTAAATTGATTGCATACTGTATTAGTTGGCTTGGGCTGCCATAACAAAATACCATAGACAAGGTGTTTTAAACAACAGAAATAGAAATTTATTTTTTCACAGGTTTGGATGCTGACAGGTTCAAGATCAAGGTATTGGCCAGTTAGTTCCTAGTGAGGGCTCCTTCCTGCCTTGTAGATGTGTGCTCATGCGGCAGGGAGAGAGAGTAAGCTCGCTGGTGTCTCCTCTTATAAGGACACTAATCCTATTTCATTGGGGTCTACCTTTATGATCCCATTTAACATCAGTTACATCCTTACACCAAATACAGCCACACTGGGGGTTAGGAGTGCAACACATGAACTTTGGGAGGACACAATTCAGTCCAGAGCGTAAACTAATAAATAGCTCAGTTATTTAGTAAGTTTTAGAATGTTCTTATTTGCTCCTTTTGTTCTTTTCCAGCTCTCTGGGTCATATCTATTGATGAGTATCTCTAGTAGGTAAAGCCTGTCTCCCATCACTTTCTGGGTCCATCTATATAGGGGTTTTTGATGCCATTGTCCAAAAGACTTGGCTTTACTGCTTACCAGCAAGATAGGATCAGGACTATCAGATATGGTCATGAGTGACCACGAAGCTGAGAGTTGCAGCAGTCCCCTCAGCCTTCCATTGGTTGCCCCTGTCCTGTTTTCATGGGCCAGCTCATAGGTGGAACCTCAGTATTATTCATGCCCAGCACTCCAGTTTTTCACCAGAGATGAATCCTAGGCCATTTGGCTGTGATCCTCTTTCTTTCTTCAGTGTTTCACTATTTTGTCCCATGGGGCATTAGATTTCTCTCCCAGTCAAGAGCACATCTGACACTGAGAATTTCTCTGGATATTCTTCTGTCTGCCAAATCAGATTTCCTCAACTAAAATCCTGCGTGATCCACAGTTACATTCACCATTCTCTTTAGACACTGTATCTCAATTACCCAGATGGTATTATGGTTCCGGCCTCTGCAGAGGAGTGTCTTTGCTGGCATTTGGTCTCCATGGCATCGAATACCTTGCACACTTTTGTAGCCACTCCCATTTCATGACCCTCAAACCTCCCAAATGTTGAATGGTAACTTTTAGAAAACTACCAAGTAACGTGGATAACACATTCCCCAGCACATCCATGAACTCTCATCTGTTTGCACCCATTGTTCACTCTACTCCAATGCTATGCCTCACTGGCATCTTCTTTTGATTTGGCACTTGGTGATGAAAAAGGTGAAAGGTTAACCCACTGATTGCTCACTTACCAGTCTCACTTGCTCACTTTTCTGCCAGGTCTCCTAAGTGATCTTTCGTGTAAAAAGAAGTTTAGAAAATGCTTTAGGATAAATTGTATGAGGTTCAATAGGGACAAAAAAGCACCTACATCATAATAACAGTTAACATGCACTTGTAATATCCTAATTAGATACAAGACAAGAAAATATAAGGGAAGGTAAAGTAATTTAAAACAACTGTGCATTAGTTTTCTAGGGATGCTGTAAGAAAATACCACAAACTGAGCAGATGACACTGCAGAAAAGTGTGTCTTATGATTCTGGTGGCTAGAGGTGTGAGAACAAAGTGTTAGCCAGGTTGGCTCCTTCTGAGGGCTGTGAGGGAGAGTCTGTTTCATGTTTCTCCCTTAGCTTTGGGGTGGCTTGCTGGTAATCTTTGGCATTCTGTAGCTTGTGGCAGCATAACTCATCTTCACTTGGCATTCTCCTTTTACATATGCCTGTGTCCAAATTCCCCCTTATAAGGACACCAGCCTTACTGAATTAGGGGCTATTTTACTCGGATATGATCTCATCTTAACTGACTACATCTGCAACAACCCTATTTCCAAATAAGGCCATATTCAGAGGTACTGGGGAGATAGGACTTCAATGTATGAATTTTGAGGGGACAAAATTCAACCCGTAACAACTTGGAAGTCTTTGTGGTGGATCGAAAGTTGAGTCAGTCAGTTTCTTTTATTTTTTTTTGAGACGAAGTCTCACTTTGTTGCCCAGGCTGGGGTGCAGAGGCATGATCATAGCTCACTGCAGCCTTGATCTCCCCAGGCTCAGGTGATCCTCCCACCTCTGCCTCCCTAGTAGCTGGGTCTACAGGTGCATGCCACCATAGCCAAGTATTTTTTTTTTTTTGTATTTTTTGTAGAGATAGGGTTTCGCCATGTTGCCCAGGCTGGTTTGGAACTCCTGGACTCAAGAGTTCCACCAACCCTGGCATCCCAAAGTGCTGGGATTACAGGTGTGAACCATCTCGCCTGGCCAAGAGTCAATTTCTTAAGAGATGTTTGTTTACTTATTTATTCCTTGTTCGGGGGTAGAATTATTGTACCTAGCTGCCACCCTTAAGACTATACTGCAAGTCTGTATATGAGTAAATTTCAGATTAAGAGCACACTGTGTTTGGGGCACTTGAGACAACACTCCTTATTGTGACTACTTTAGATGGCCTAAAAGGGCAGCGTAATACGAGGAGTCTTGGGGACTGCCACAATACATTTATATTTCTGTGCCTTCAAAGGGTTAGTGAATTAGTACTCCTGAGACTTGACATCTTGTTTGCTTATTTTTATTTTCCCAGTGTCTAGTATAGGCAAAAAGTTCCTGGCAAATGGGTCAATAAACATTGAGTTAATCTTACCAATCAATGCTAAGATGTATATGTATATGTTACGTATATGTGTATATGTACATACATACATATTTTCACATTTTACCGTCTTTGAAATAAAAACTGTCTTACAATACATGGAGCATAACAATTGTCACTTTTCTTCTCTTAATAGCAAATACAGTAATGCCTTATAAGCATTGGTTTCTTAGATTTGATGAAATGGGATATTTGCACAAAATTTACCTAAGAAATTGCTGTCGTTTTTACATGAACAAGGTAGATTATAGGTAAAACACCTAAAACTGGTTTTTAATGCTCCTTCATTTTTTTTTTTTCAGGAGAGTTCTGTATTCCTCAAAGATCCCTCAAGAATTTTGTCAGTGTTGCCATAACCTCTTGTTTATTAGTCTGCTTGGGTTGCCATAAAAGAATGTACACAGACTGGGTGGCTTAAACAACAGACATTATTTTCTTACAGTTCTAGAGTCTAGAAGTCCAAGATCAGGGTGCCAGCAGGGTTGGTTTCTAGTAAGGCAACCTTCTCACTGTGTGCTCACATAGACAAGGCCTTTCATCTGTGTGCGTTTGTGGAGAGAGATCTTTGGTGTCTCGTTCTCTTTCTATAAGGTCACCAGTCCTACTGGATTAGGGCCCTACCCTTATGAACTCATTTATCTTTAATTATTTCCATAAAGGCTCTGTTTCTAAATACAAATACATTGGGGATTAGGACTTCAACATATGAATTTGAAGGGTGGAGGTACACAATTCATTTCATAACACTCTGGTTTGGATGGCAATTGTCTAACAAAGATCTAGTTGTTTTGGACTCGGGTGGCTGTGAGCTGGTCTCTGGGTTTGGACTGGATTCCTCACTGGGGAGCAACCCCTCGCCCTTTATCACCTGTTTATAGCATATTACTAGGAAGTGATGTGTCTTGCTTCACATTATTACGTGCCAAATGCTAATTGTGGAGGACCTCTTCTGCTTCTACCCTCTTAGGTCTTAGCCATTAGGTATTAGTTGTCAATCCTTAAGGCCTCCTTCACCCAGTTCTTTTAGGTCCTCTCAGGGCATTGCTACACTCTGCTGATTTCACTTTGCTACTATTATCAAGTGTGTATTCTAGCCAAGGGGGCTACATACTGAGCTTCAGCACCAGCCTGTGTTCATGATACATCATTGGTCACAAGTGAGGCTGGAGGAGAACTCATCTGCTGAGGAAGTAAGCACATGACCTGTCACCAAGGAGTCACCATTTGGCCAAGATCGAAATCCAACACTAAACTTCATTACACATCACCATCAGGTTGCAGTCCTGAACATGCATTGTATTCCATGCCTTGCGAGACCCTGAAATGTTGTCAGTGAAGGACAGCAGGCAAGGTAGTGCATGTGAAAACAATTGTTGACCATGAAATATTTTATTCAGAAATGAGTAAAAAAGAATCTTTGTAGCAGCCAGCCTTTCCCCTGGGGGAGAAAGCTCAGCAGTTGGTTTGGTCAGTTGGTTCACTGAAGGCAGATGAATTGGCACTTTGCAGTTGAGAGCCAATGCAGGCTCACGGAGGTGGCTTCTTTCTGCAGGCTGATTTTGGGCCCCCAGCAGGGCCCAAGGCCCAACAATCAGCGCATGGCTCTTAATTCTGTGCAACTAACAAATCCCGTCCCAGTGTGCTGAGAGCGCCCTCTAGTGCCCAGAAACTTCCTCAAGAATGGAGTGTAAAGACCTTTAAGGACCTTCATCAGGAAGGAACCACCATACTTTTGAATTTCAAGCCTAACCTGAAGATTATTATTTAAGGAAACCGACAAATTTTCTCAAAGAAATTATTGTATTGGAAAATATTTAGAATGCAAACACATTCTCCAAAGAAAACCAAAGACAACTACAGTGATTCATTTACTTTAGGTCTACAACAACAAAATATTAATTTAACAATACAAATAACATGCCCTTTAGCTCTTTGAAGGATGGCAATGAGGAAAACTGGAAAATAATGATCTAGCAATTACTGGCTGAACCACATTCTAAGAAATGTTAAGATAACAGGTGAACATTCAAAATTCAAATTTACCACTTTGGAGGCTGCTTATTTGCATGACAAATGGATTCTTTGTTTTACAGAAAGGCTTTCTCACAGGCCTGGGTTTTATTACCAATTAGCCTTAACCCCAGCAGAGCTTTAATTAGAATGCAAAGGGTTTGTGGGATCTGTGGGCACTGGAGGAAGAGTGTCTTATGTTGAGATTTTTATAGGATTAAGTACACAGCCTCTGAGTTACATCTGCTATATATAGCACAAATTATATAAACGTTGGTATTGCCTGTCACCTAATACAATTATTTGTGCAGACAGAGTATGACATTAATTCCTGCAGTGAACAACTCTATAGACCCTTCACCCTAATGTGTCCATTTAAATGGAGCCCTATTTGCTATGCACACACTTTTTCAAAGAATCTGTTAGAGAATGTGAATACCAAGTTATAAGCAACAAAAAAGAAAGCAACAAAATATAATGAAATCCCCATTACATCCCTTTGCCCTATAATACTTTCCCTTGACTTTGCTATAAGCATTCCTCTGGCATTCCCACTCCTGACCCACAAGATTATTAAATGTTTATTGTCTCAACTAACTATGCCAACAGGTTCGTAATATCGATACAGAGAAAGTGGAAGACTCTGTGAAAGTTATTTACATTAAACATGCAAGTGTAAAAAAGGATTGTTGAGCAACAGGAGTGAGCTAAGAAGGCAGTTGTGAATTCTGTGCATTCAAGATGAAACAATGTTATTTGTGTGTGTTAGCTGCCTGGCTGAGTAAATAAAGAAGATTCAAATTTGGCGCAGCTGTTCTTTCTCAGTGCTGCCTGGATATTAGATTCCCTGCAACCGTCTGTGTGCTTAGACCCCGCGTTCCATTGCGTAGGCTGCTGGCAGGCCTTTTTTTAGCGGAATGCAGCTGGGAGCAGGAAGGGTGGAGCCTGCTGGGGTTTGACTCAGCAGCTGTGGGCGAGGCCCTACACACTCTGTCTTGAGGACTGTGATAAAGGTTAAAAATAAAGGATAGCACTTGAGTGGGCTTCATAAGGAGTAGCAATCTAATTATAGGGCTTATTTTTACAAAGCAGCAGCTGACAGCGTCAGCCCAGCACGTCCTAAAAGTTCTTAGTAAGGCAGGAAGCTGCTACATTTGCTATGACCAATGTCACTTTAAGGGGTCTTGGCAATTACATTCTCACTCAACTTTTCCTTCTGCAACAAGGATATATGAGGGGGATTAGAGGATATTGCAAAAGCTCACCTTTTATTCAGACCCAATTAAAAACTAAACCCACTAAATCAACTTCCTCTCTCCCTTCTCAAACATTTATAAAGCGCCACCACGCGGCAGGCACAGTGCTGGGTGCTGCCATTCACACCCCACATGGTCTTTTCCCACAGCTGGTGGAGGTTGTGGCGTAGCCTGTGCTCAGTCTTGGATCTGTCTCTTGAGGACCAGTTTCTCTTTGGGCTCTTGTTTCCAAGAGCCATGGAGAATGAGCAGAGCAGCATCTAACAAAGGACGGGGTCCCCTCTCAGCTTCTCTGTCTTCACAAGTGAATGTCACACATTTTAAACTAGAACTCTTTCTACTTATTTAGCACCTAACAGATGCTACAAGAATTCTGGTTACTTTTTCTTTTCTGTTTGGGTCGGGAGCACATGTCTAAGTGTGACAAATGTGAGCAGATTATTTGGAGAGGTGAGGAAATACAAGAAAGAGGGGGGCCAGTCTTTTCTCTCTTTTGGAAAAATAATCATTTTTCGTAGAAACCAGATACTTTCATAATACTCTTTTTTTTTAAAGAAATGTTTTAACATGAAAAAAATTTCAAAGATACATACAAGTAGAGATAATAGTGTAATAAGTCCCCATGTACTTTTTGTCCAGCTTTAACAATTAGCAGCATGTGGCCTGATTTTGTTTTACACATATCCTCTCTCCTGTATTATTTTGGAGCAAATTTGATATGTTATTTCTTTCTTTCTTTCTTTTTTTTTTTCCTTAGACAGAGTCTTGCTCTGTCACCCAGGCTGGAGTGCAGTGGCACAATCTCGGCTCACTGCAACCTCCGCCTCCCAGATTCAATAAATTCTCCTGCCTCAGACTCCCGAATAGCTGGGATTACAGGCACCTGCCACCATGCCTGGCCACAAGTTTTGTATTTTTAGTAGATACGGGGTTTCACCATGTTGGCCAGGCTGGTCTCGAATTCCTGACCTCAGGTGATCCTCCTGCCTTGGCCTCCCAAATTGCTGGAATTACAGGCATGAGCCACTGCTCCCAGCCAATATGTTATTTCATCTGCAAATATTTCAATATGTAGTTCTATAGATAATAATTCCTTTTTAAAAAGTAACCACAAAACAATAAATTCAACTAACATTAGCAATAATTCATTAATATCATAAACTAGTCAGTATTTAAATTTATAATTATCTCATAAATGCATATGCACAATTTTTACAGCTTGTTTGAATTAAGATAAAAATCAGCTGCACATATTATAGTTGGTTCCTTTTTCTCTTAAATCTTTTATTCCATAGATTCCCCTTCCATGTCCCTCTCTGTTTTGTTATCCTGGCAATCAGTTGAAAAACTGAGTACTTTGTCCTGTAGATTTTTATGGATTGGATGCCTGTGGTCCTCTGTAACAGTATCCTCCATTTTCTGTTTCTTGTAAATTAGTACAGTCATGCCCCTCATAACAAAATATTCTGTCAACGATGAACCATTATGGATGGTAGTCCCATAAGATTATAATAGAGGTCGGGCGTGGTGGCTCACGCCTGTAATCCCAGCACTTTGGGAGGCTGAGGCGGGTGGATCACTTGAGGCCAGGAGTTGGAGACCAGCCTGGCTAACATGGCAAAACATTGTCTTTACTAAAATAAAAAAAGTAGCCGGGTGTGGTGGCGGGTGCCTGTAATCCCAGCTGCTTGGGAGGCTGAGGCAGGAATCGCTTGAACCTGGGAGGTGAAGGTTGCAGTGAGCCAAGATCGCACCACTTCAGCTTGGGCAACAAAGCAAGATTCTATCTCAAAAAAAAAAAAAAAAAGATTATAATGGAGTTGAAAGATTCCCATTGCTTAGTTATGTAGCCATTGTAACATGGTAGCACAACACATTACCTTTTCTATGTTTAGATATGTTGCAATACACACTATTGTGTTACAGTCGCCTACAGTTTTCAGTACAGTAACATGCTGTACAGGTTTGTAGTCTGGGAGCAATAGGCTGTACCATATAGCCTAAGTGTGTAGTAGATTATACCATCCAGGTTGTGTAAGTACACTCTGTGATATTTACACAATGAAATCACCTAATAACACATTTCTCAGAATGTATTGCTGTCGTTAAGGGATGCATGATTATAGTTGACTCTAGAGACTTATCAGAGTCAGGTTTCATTTTTCTGTCAAAACGACTTCATACATGGTAGAAAAATCTCATGTCTCTCTTTTTTCCCGATGACATTCTTTACACTGTCAGTGTAGTTTCTGAACTTAGTTGCAATCTGTAAGAGAGGGTTTCTTGACTTCATCACTATTGAAGTTTTGTACCAGCTAATTCTTTGTTGTGGGGTCAGTGGGGGGGCGGGCTCTCCCGTGCATTGTGGAATGTTTAGCAGCATCCTGGTCTCTACCCACTAGATACCAGTAGCAGCCACTCCCCAGTTGTGACAATCAAAAGTATCTCCAGACATTGCCAAATATCCTTTGGGAGGGTAGGGAAAAATCATCCCTGGTTGAGAACCACAGCTGTAGACTAACCATTAGTTATTCTGAAAGGTTATCTGTCCACAGCCTTTAACGTTTCAAGTGCTAATCCATTGACCATGAGACCTAGGCCATTCACTATGATTATTGTATTGATTTTTTGTTGGTGCTGTGACAAATTACTACAAATGTAGTGGCTTAAACAATACAAATTTATTATCATACAGTTCTGAAGGTGACGAGTCCAGATTGGGTTTCACAGGGCTAAAATCAAGGCATCAGGAGGGCTGTGTTCCTCCTGCATGGCGTTTTTCTTTGTCTTCAGAGCCTACAGTATAGCATCTTCCAGTCTCTCTCTCTCTCTGACTGTCTTGCATCCCCCTTATAAGAACCCATGGGAGCTGTGCGCAGTGGCTCACGCCTGTAATCCTAACACTTTGGGAGGCTGATGCAGGAGGATCATTTGAGCCCAAGAGTTTGACAGCAGCCCTGGCAACATAGCGAGACCTTGTCTCTACAAAAAAATGAAAAAATCTGCTGGGTGTGGTGGTGCGTACCTGTAGTCCCAGCTACTCGGGGCCGAGGTGGGAGAATTGCTTGAGCCCGGGAGGTTGAGGCTGCCGTGAGCTGTGTTGTGTCACTGCACTCTAGCCTGGGTGACAGAGCAAGACCCTGTCTCAAAGTAAAATAAAAATTTAAAAAATGAACCCATGGGATTACATTGGGCCCACTGAATAGTCCAGAATAACCTCTGTATTTAAAAGTCCTTTATTTAATCATAGTTGCAAAGTCCCTTTGACCATGTAAAGCAGCACATTTACAGGTTCTGGGGATTAGAATGTTAAAGCTCAGAAAACAACACTCCTAAGTATGGCATTTTGACATGCTGAGTATTTTGAACTAAAGAAGCAGCCATGGAAACAAGGTATCTCTGACCACCTCCTGTCCGCTGTCTCTTGCCTATCTGCCTCTCCTGAAGCACAGGGAGAAAATTTTTCTGAAGTTCCCATATCTGACAAAGGGAAGCACTTTTTCTGAAGTTTCCATATCTGACTAAGGGAAGCTCCTCCAGAAGGAAGCAACTGACTTGAGCCCCACTCCCTATAATCTCATCAAACAGGGAAGACTGACTCGCAGGAAGGAACGTTAGAGTTGACGCCACACCCAGAGCCCAGACGAACTTTGTTTCAGGTTATTATCTGAGTATATAAACTTCTATTGATACAGCATGTTGGATTATTGGGTACTCACTTTCCTGTGATGCTCCATGCACTTGATAAGTCTATATGCCTTTTCTCCAGTTAATCAGTCTATTATCAGTTCATTTTGAAGACTCAAACCTCAACAGGGGAGAGAAAGAGTTCTTTTGTCCCAGTAAGGACTTTCACATCTTTTGGGGACCATATCCACATAACTGAGGCCAGAATGTGTGAAAAATTCATCAAGAGATTTACAAGGAATGAATGCAGGTTGTAGAATGTGGGAACAGTCCATGGTTTGGTCACAGTGTCCAGGCTCAGCCTCCTCGCTCTAGTTCATAGAACCACCTGGAACACACAAAGGCTGTGTGTGCATTAACCATTTACTCTATCATGTTTCTTTCTTGAACAGGGCTGCATTTTTAACTGCCTGATGTCCTTTTCTGTCTGTTTTTATGATTGCTGGCTCCTCCAGCTGTGTCCCAAACAGATTCATTGACTTTGCTTCTAAATCTGCTCTTCTTCCCCATATCACTAGTTATGTTAATGGCTTTGCCATCTTCCTAGAGCCAGATTTCAACCTCATTATTTACCTCATCTAACATGCAATTATTTGCTAAATCCTGGGGATTCCATTTCCACAGGAGCTTTTCAATCTATCCTTTCTTCCCTATTCCCAGTGCTATTCTCTTATTTCAGGCCTCAAGTTGCTATTTGTGGATTATGAAATAGTCTTTCTAAATGACCCCCTAGCCAGTCTCCATAGCTTGTTTTTCCTTTTCTGTCAATGGTCACACAGAAACAGCTATTCTTATGGAGCACTCTAAGTCAGTAATACCCTTAACCTTCAAACCACTCCCTGAGCTGCACTGAGCCAAGTGTAAGCCAGAAGGCAGAAGTTCAAATTCACAACCTATAAAAAAATACCAAGACATCATCGAAAATCAAATCCACAGGGAACTTTTGTACCCAATTAAAAGAAAGGAAAGGACTCAGATTAGCTGCAGGGTCATATGTGGCTGGGTGGAATATTGACAATTCCTGGGACAGTGGAGGAAAGGCTAGGAGTCATTGCATGACTCAATGCTCAACCTCTCCTTTGAAAAACTTGAATATTTAAAGAATAAGAAATATTTAAAGAATCTCTGATTGAAGGTGTGCCACCTTATTGCATGCCTGAAAATCCACCTGTCTGGTCGCATTCTTCAGATGAAGCAACTGAGGCTCAGAGGATTTAAGTAATTTGCCTGAGGTCATGTAGACAGTAAGTGGCAGAATTGGAATTCTGTTTTAGGAATTCAAAGTTTCATATTCTTTCCACTGTATGACCTGGTTTCATCCACATTTGCAACTTCATTTTCCATTCTTTTCTTTTTATCTTAATGTTGCAGTAAAACCAAATTCCTCACTCTTTTTTGTGGGACCTGGAACTTTTCCACCTTTATATCTTTTCTCATGTGGTTCCCTCTGCCTAGAATGGCCCAGAACCTATCTTAAGCCGTGAAAATTGTACCCTTGAAAATCCAGCATCAACAGCATTGCTTCCAGGAAGGGAACAGACAGTTTCTCTCTGGCTTTAATGCACCCCTTTCATAAGAACTCATAGAATCACATTGGGCCCACCGGCCCACAAAGATCCCTACTTTGAAGTGATAAGCACTAGTAGCAGCTCATAGCTTGTTTATGGCTGTTTCCAGTTTGTGCCTTTCGTTATAGATAGTCATGCATAGGTCTTCCTCTTTTAGTGAACACATTGTTCACGAGGGAAGAGCTGTGTTTGATTCATCTTTATGCTTCCCATAGAGTCTTGCCCATGAGAAGCACTCAAAATACGTGTGGACTAAAGAAGCAAGTAAAGAGAAGAAATACTTTGTCTAGAATTGCCTATTTCTTTCTGGTGTGGTCTGAATGTGTTCCCCCAAGTTCATATGTTAAAACTTAATCACCAATGTGATAGTATTAAGACGACAGGCCTAAGTCCTGAGAGCAGAGCCTTCCTGGATGGAATTAGGGTCCTTACAAAAGAGCTTGAGGGAGTGTTTGTTCTTTTCTGTTCTTCTGCCATGAGGATACAGCATTCACCCCCCTTTTTGCCCTTCTGTCCCTCCCACCATGTCAGGACACAGTGCGTAAGGTACCTCCTTGGAAGCAGAGACCAGGCCGTTTCCAGCCACCAAACCTGCTGGCACCTTGATCTTGGATTTCCCAGCCTCCAGAACTGTGAGAAATAAATTTTTTATTGTTTACAAATTACCCAGTCTCAGGTATTTTGTTACAGTGGCATAAACAGATGAAGACACTCTCTAATTATAAAGGAATTGCCAAGGATAATATTAAAGGCAGACATAGAAGATAGGCATAGTTTTGGTTCACTTTGCTTCCGTGTCTTTGTACAAATTGTTACTTCTCCATCACCGGTGGGATGTTCTCCTTCCTACCCCATATGCTTCCACCAGTTCACAGCTACCAGTTTCTTCAAGACCTGGCTCAAAGCCTAGTCCTTCCTAGGGGACTTCTTTCCTGAGTCCAGACCACTGCAGTTGCCCCTTTATCCAGTGGTCACAAGGCATCCACACAGGCTGACAGTTGCTACCTGATCATCATCACCAGTCATCAAGCTGTTATTGCATACTTGGTATATGAAAGGCTCTATGTCATGTGCTGTGGGGGAGGGAGGGAGAGCTTTGCAGAGGAAGTGGGATTCAAGCAGGGTCTTGAAGGCTGTGTTTTAATTAAAGAGGTGGAAAAGAAGGGGAATAAAATAATGGACAACATTGAAGATCAACTTCTACTCTTCTTGTTATTGGCTATATAATTTTGAGAAAAATCTTTTAATCCCTGTGGAAATCCATTTTCTCATATGTAAGGTGGGAGTAATAAAATCTATTATTTTAGATTTAGGGAGGGTGCTTATGAGGATCAATGTGAAAGCCCCATGTATTGGTGAGAATGAATTTATTTGCAAGTGATATTAATAACTTAATTAAGATATAACATGTAAGGAGGCTGAGGCAGGAGAATCGCTTGAACCTGGGAGGCGGAGGTTGCAGTAAGCCGAGATCTCACCGCTGCACTCCAGTGTGGGCAACAGAGCGAGACTCTGTCTAAAAAAAAAAAAATGTACATATATATATGTATGTAACATGTAACATCTCTTCAGTGGTTAACATGAAGCTGACAAACCTCCTTTCTCCACGACATCAACTCTCTCATCTGGTGGTGTCCACCGTCTTACTCCTGTTGGTTGAAGATGGAAGAAGTCTTGCATTTGTACTTCCTTGTGCAGGGGCCCACATATGGGTGTTCCGTCATTCCAGTAACTTTACATTGCTTGGTAATTGACTGGTTTTCCAAAGAGAAGGGAACTGAATTGTCTCCCCCTCCTCTGCACACACTTTGTTGTTTTAAGTCTGCACCTTTGCTTGCTGTTGCCTCCACTGCTTGGAATGCGCCATCTTCTCAGCCTCAGCCTGGTCAGCAGTTACTGGGTCAGTAAGAGTCAGCTGAGGTCTCACTCTGTGAAGTTTCCCTGACCTCATTTTGACCTCCTAGACTGGCCAAGGTTCCCCTTTTCTGTACTCCCATGCCGTACTGGGTATTGCTCTCTCCAGTGCACAGTTATCACACCATACTACAAAGACCTGCCTCTCTCACTGGGCTCTCCATCCCTTTAAGGCTGGCACATAGCACTCACTCATGACATGGTTGTTGAATGAATGAATGGCCTTCCTCCATTCTCTCCCAGTCCTTTTTTTTTTTTTTTTTTTCACTCTGGGCACCACCATTCCTTCTCTCTCATTCTGCATTGTTTATGGCTTGTTAGTTATTAATGCAAAGCCATTTCTGGGTCTCTAGACCCATTGGTAATGGCCATTGGTAATGTCTCTAGGTGTTAATAATAACACTAGCTCACATCTACTGAGCACTTACTATTTGGCTGGCACTGTTCTAAGCACTTTGCATGTTTAAACTCCTTTAAACGTTCCTTTGTTGCCGCTTTTTTTTCTGCTAGGGACTAACCTTGACATTGTGGGGGAGAGGTGTTCTCGTATAGCTGTGGGACTGTAACATGGCTTTATTTTCCTATTATGTGCAGGACAGTAAATCCTGCAGAGGAATACAAGTTGACTAGGTCTGTCATCACTCAAATACTGGAAGATATGGCTGGGAAAAAACCAACAACAAAAAGTTTTGATATCCTCATAGTGCAATGACATTACAGTTTTATTTTGTTTTGTTTTTTTCTTTATGCGTAGTTCTAAATTACTGTATTATGTTTCAGGTAATTAAGCCAGAAGAACAAATTGGGATGGACTGTTGTATTTACATTTCAGTTTACTAGAGGTAGCCTTGAAATAGTTACAAAAATATGAATATCAGTGGGGAAAAAAATAAGGGGGATTTTCATTTTTTTTTTTCCAGAAACGATAAATTGGCAAGGAAGACAGATACGGGAAAATCAGTCATGAGAATTTGTCTTTCAGTGACTCTTTCTTGGCTGGGAAGAAAAGCTTTTCTTCTATTTAGTTGAGAACAGTGACAAGGATTATTTTACTTGAGGATGGCAGATTATTTTACCAGCAGCTGGCAGATGAGAATAATTCCCTAGACAACAAGGAGGGGCAGTATGGTAGGGAGGGAACCCGGTTCGGAGGGTCTGGGGTTCACAGCTCCACAGTGCTGCTTACCAGCTCTTAGCCTTCATTACATTGCTTACCTTCCTGGAGGTTCAGTTTCCTTATCCATAAAATGGGGGTCAGGTTGCCAAATTTATCAAATAAGAATCTAGGATGTCCAGTTAAAGCTGAATTTCAGATAAATAATTATTTTTTAGTGTAAATATGTCCCATAAAATATTTATGTCCCATGCAATAACTATGTCCCTAATGGTGCGTGGGACATATGCTAAAACATTATTTGTTGTTTATCTGAAATTCAAATTTAACTGTGCGGCCTATATTTTTTCTGGCAACCCTAAATGCGGGCAGGGGCAGTGGTGGTGACATGTAGGGATGGTGTGAGGATAAAATAATACCACAGTTAGGTTTTATCGCAGTGTGTAGTCTGTGTGTAGTCAACACATAACTATAAGTAGTGACTGTAACATAACTGTAACTGGTGCATAGTAAAAAACAAATGGATATTATTAGTATAATAGTTGTTATTAATAAAGGTCTTTAAATGACAATTGGCCATACAGGAGCCTTTGGGGAAAAGTTTCTGACTCTAAATTAAGGGAAGGTAAATTATGATCAAGATCTGGGAATAAGATTTAGACTTACACAGTAATAATTTGAGGAAGAGAAAGACTTAGTAAATTAGTTATGTAATTACATAATTAACAACTTGGGAGGTTTTCTTTACACGTTTATTCCCTAGGGCATCATCTTTAAATTATATTTAGTTTTTGCTAAGTTGACCAGTTTGTGGTTTTAAGTGTTTACTTTCTTTTCTTTTGAAATGTAGGGAAAGCATATTTGACATCATCTTAAAGAAATTATGTAGCCATATAAAACCGGAGGGTAGGGTCTACTGGCCAGGAAAAAAAAAGGCCTTTACTGCCACCTGGTGGCCATATTCTTTAACTGCAATGTGCCTAAGTGAGGCTGGAAAGGAAAGCGTTGGAAAACATGCTAAACCCAGAGGGCACCAAGGCCGCGTCATGACAGTAAGAGCCGTCAAGTACTGTGTCCTTTCCCTCAGTTCTCAATCTCTCACAGCTTGAGGCTTGAGAATTAGCAGCTGGCTACGAGAGGTGGAGGAGAGAAAATGGTGAAGTCCATGCCTTCCTCCTTGGTACCGAGTTTCCAAACCTGAAGTGAAGGAGTCTGAGAGGGGAGAAGCTTCAGGTTGAGTAGACTGTTTTTTACTTTTTTTTTTGTTTGTTTGTTTTAAAGAGCCTCTTTATTTAATGGCTCAGAGTGGCTAGAAAATCCGTGGTATTGGTTAGCTTTCATCTCAAGTGCAGGGACAAGGCAAATCCAGAGAGAGGAGTTGAAAGGACAAAGAAAAAAGAAAAAAAATTGCTTTTTACGTGCATTTTGCTGCATGCAGCTCACTCAATAAACATGCGTTAAATGCATAAATATATCATGAGGTAAAAATCGGGGGAAAGGTGATGCATTGATGCTGATAGAGGACAGGCAAACTGCATTCCATTTGGACCGCAGCCTCTCATCCCCCCCCCCGCCACACAAACTAAGGTCAAAATCAGGGAGGGAGTCCAGGGTAAAGTTATCAGTAGAGTCAGCTCTAGGAGCTATAGTTAATCTATTTTAAAAAATCTTAAAAAACCCATAAGTCCATTATAGCAGGGACATAAAGCAGTCCTAGCCTCCTGACCCTGACCCAGCCATGGCAATCAGGGCTGCTTCCTTTTATTCTCCCTTGTGTCCTCATGGGTCTTTCCAAGCCCTGCAGGGAAGGGTGGAAGCTGGTTCCATCAGTGCCTCTCCCCCAGCTTCCACCCTCCTCTCTCTTCTGTGACCTCTCAGTTTTCCTTCTCTGTACCCCAAATCATGCCTGTCTTAGTCCATTGCTGTAACAGAATTCTACAGACTGGATCATTTATAAAGACAAGAAATTTATTGCTTATAGTTCTGGAGGCTGGGAAGTCCAAGCACATGGTGCTGGCATTTGGTGAAGGCCTTCTTGCTGCATCCTCACGTGGCAGAGGGCATCACATGGCAAGTGGGCAAGAGCAGGCTTGTCCGCTTGGGTTACTCTAACTCTTCTTTTTTTTTTTTTTTTCTGAGACGGAGTCTTGCTCTGTCACCCAGGCTGGAGTGCAGTGGTGTGATCTCAGCTCCCTGCAAGCTCCGCCTCCCAGGTTCAGGCCACTCTCCTGCCTCAGCCTCCCAAGTAGCTGGGACTACAGGTGCCCGCCACCACACCCGGCTAATTTTTTTGTATTTTTTTGGTAGAGATGGGGTTTCACCGTGTTAGCCAGGATGGTCTCGATCTCCTGACCTCGTGATCTGCCCGCCTTGGCCTCCCAAAGTGCTGGGATTACAGGCGTGAGCCACAGCACCCGGCCAGGTTACTCTAACTCTTCTTATAAAGCCACCAGCCCCACCGTGGGGGCCACACACTCATGGCCTTATTTAATCTTAATTACCTCTCAAAGGCCCTACCTCCAAATGTCATCGATATGTGAATTTGGGAATTAAGTTTCCAGCACATGAAATTTGGGGGTCACATTCAAACCATAGCAATGCTTAACCTTAGAATACTGCCTGGCATCTGCCCAGGCTTCCACAGCCACTACCTCTGGGACATGTTGGGATCTCTGTTTACATGTAAGGCTCGCCATGACCATTACACATCTGTGAGTCAGTGTAGGGTCCTGGTGGAAGCCCGGTCTTGGAGTCCCTCCATTATGTTTGCTACCCTGGCTCTCCACCTTCAATTTCTGGCTTCTCATTTTGGACTATGATGATTTTCTTGTTGTTAATTTTTTTTTTTTTTTTAGTATGAAAGTTTTCAAGACGCCTACAAGTGGAAAATGCACTCCTCCCAGCCAAATCAAGCTTCGCCAGATTCCTTACAGCTGTGTGCAGTGAAATGACTAATGAAAGAGCCCTCTGCTGCTGGTGGAACTTTCACATATGGCACTGTTATGCCACTCAGCAGGACCCGACCCTGGTATTTACATATTGGATGTCACCCCAAAAGCCCCTGACCAGGGGGTTTCCGGGATGTAATAAGAATGCCACTCTGGGCTTTGGAAGGTGCACCGTATGCACACCCATACTATAGGGCAGGGGTTAGCATTTCAGACCCCTGTTCCTCCCTTGACAAGCAAGTGCTTTTCTCCAGGGAAGACGTTCAGGTTCATTCATAGATCCATTGGTGCCGTGGGCAGCTCAGTAACAATAGCTCTGCTGCCTACCAGCTGCTGGTGGAGGTGTTGAGAATACCTAATGAGGAAGTCAGGGCCCCTGCGTGCTTCAGCAGAGCTGGATGCCTGGCATGGCAATCAATGGACACAAACCTTTGGATAATTTCCGTCCTTGGCGGTGTGTTCTATAGCATAGGTATGAAGTGGGTGCTCTGGGAGCTCAGAAGAGGGGCTCTTCTCTTAACTTATGGGTGGCCAGGGAAGGCTTCCTGGAGCTCAAATGACTGAGTGGAGTCTTCAACATTAAAAAAAAAAAAAAGAAAAAAAAAGTGCTTCCCTCCCACCCCCAGTTAAAAAGGTAATACACCTCATTGAAATAATTTAAACTTTACAGAAATGTGTTCCTTTAAAGTTCAGAGAGTAAAGAGGAAGTAATAAAGCTGAAATAGTAGAATTTCTAATTAACTGGAGCCTGTAGCTTTCTTCCTGAAAAGGGAGTGGTGTGTGTGCATGTGTGAGTGTGTGTAGGTGAATCTGTAAAGGATGGAGTAGTACTAAAAAGAGGGAGGTGAAGACGGAGGTGAGATCTCATCTTTGTGCCCTGAACCTCTTTGTTATAATGTCAGGCAATGAGAGAAATCAGTACTCACCCTCTATGGGACTCTGGCTTTTTCAAACTTGGTTTTCTAGGTTTTGGTCTTGGTTATTGATGGCTTGTAACTTCAGAGTCTCATTGCTGGCCACGCTTCCACGTGGTTTATTAAGATGTTTTCCTAAACAAAATTGATCTCTCCCTAAAAAAATTATAGGTCTAGCTGTAAGATGTTAACAATATTTAACCTGCTACAATGCCAATAAGAGTTCTTGTTTATTGAAGACTTTTTTTGCACCAGCTATGTGCTAAGAGCTTTACATTTGTTACCTCATAACATCAACCCTCACACGAACCTTATGAAGCGGGTATTTCATTATTCCCACATCCCAGATAAGGAAGCTAGGATTATTATTGCTGCACCCGCAAAGCTGATAATCAGTGGGGCTCGGCCCCAAACCGAGGTGTCTCTGACTCCTGGGTCTATGCTCACAAATGCACCATTCCTCTGCATTATTTCTCAAAAATATTTGGCTATAGGAGCATTTTCAAAAGTGAGCACCACTTACCTCTTAGTACTGTTATTAGCATTCCGTGGGACACAATTTGGGAAATACTGCCCCAGGAAAATACTGCCCTGTCTTTAAAATAGAGATAATAATACAATCTCCATATTGTGATGATTAAAAGACGTTTCAGGAAATGGGTGCTGAGGATACTTACCTTCCACCAGGAATGTGTGTGTGCTTTAAAAATAACATTTGTGGCCGGCCACAATGGCTCACAACTGTAATCCCAGCACTTTGGGAGGCCGAGGCGGGTGGATCGCTTGAGTCCAGGAGTTTGAGATCAGCCTAGGCAACATGGCGAAACCCTGTCTCTACTAAAAATACAAAAATTAGCCGGGCATGCTGGCGCACATCTGTGGTCCCAGCAATTCAGGAGGCTGAGGTTGCAGTGAGCCAAAATGACATCACTGCACTCCAGCCTGGGCAACAGAGTGAGATCTTCTCTCTCTCTCTCAAAAAATAAATAAATAAATAAATAAATAAAAATAAAAAAATAACATTTATAATGTCCTCAGTGAAAGGAAGCAATGTTTTGGCCAGGATGATAATGAAGATATTGTTACTGGGCTGGGAGACCCTTGGGCCCTGTTGGGGAGGGCCCTGTAAGCTGCCACTGCCCACCCTCCACAGGTGCCCCTTTGGTCCCCTTCCCTCTCCTCTGCCCTCTGGTTCTCTCCGTCATCCCTCTGTAGTGCTTGTCTTTGTTCAGGAAGATGCTCCATTTGCCTGCCTCTGGGCAGGGGACTTGCTTTAAGCCACGCTGCTGCCTACTCAGGCCAGCCCAGGATGTCTCCTTTGCAAATTTGGACCATGTTCTGAGCCCCAGCTGTAGGCCAGAGATCTGTGACATATTGGGCAGACCACCCACAGCCCAGCTGCTGCCACTGCTTAGCCTACATGTGCCCAGAGAGCTACACTATCACCACCCACCACATCTCACCGACAGACCCTGCCTTTAGAGACAAGGACCAACCTAGGAGAGCCTGGGTTGGCTCTACCTCCCTGGGCATTGATTTGGACAGCTCACCAACTCCCAAAGGAGCCAATCTTCTGGCCTGGTTGGCTCCCAACCTACTCCCTGCCCCATCGGTTTGCTGCAGAGGCCCGGTGGACCTGGCAGTCCCACATCATGACATTCCTTTTCTTCCATGCACCAGTTTTGCACAGCTGTCATTTTTCTTTCATAATTTCATCAGTCCCACAGATACGCACATTTAGGCAAAAATACTATGAACAAAACAGACAAACAAAAACAGGCCCTCAACCCAGCTCCTGAATACCAGTTAGAAAGAGCATTTGCATTCTTCTCAGTAAATATCAAGCATACTAAAAAAGAAAACAAATTGTTTCACTTACATTCTTACTTGCACCTGTGAGGGAGCCATTGTTACTGTCATTTCATGCATGGAAAGGCTGAGGGTCACAGAGGTTAGCTGATTTGCCTAACGTCGCAGAGCTGAGAACACCAAAGTCAGGGCCAGGATAATTATCCAGTGTTTGTCCCTCTGCCAAGTGCTGCCCCTTGGACTTGGGGCCCTCAGGCCATCAAGACTGGGGCCCTTTGCTCCTGGAGTGTCCCAAATTGATAGTGTAAGGGTGGTTCCGATTGAGTCTGACATGCTGCTAGGAACCCTCTGTTTTCTTCCCTTTATTCTCTTCTATCTTCCTTTTCCTAAGGCTCATCCCACTGTCCATTCTTCATAGGCTTCAAGGTGCTCTTTGACTTTTCTCTGTAGCTAGGCCATGGGACTTTCAGGTGTCACCCATCCTCCCACCCACTCACTTGCCTCTTGACAGTGCACCAGCTGAGGCACAACTATGTGTTGGGGAGATATGTAAGGAGAAATGTGAGACGTGGTCTTGCCCCTAATAAACTGTTAAAGAAAAATTATCCTGATATCTGTGAAAAACAGCAACGAACACTTTATTCAAGGCTATTGCAGTAAGGGTCAAGATTATTGCAATAGGTGAGAGGATTGAAACCCAAATACATCAGGGATAAGGGGGGATTTACAGCCAATCAGCACGCTGGGGGAGTGGATGGAAAATTACTAACAGGAACTTGATTAGGTGGAGGAAGAGGAGCTTGATTGGATGTTGAGGGTGAGAGAATCTCAGTAAATGGACTTAACAAGATTCATTGCTAAAACTTGGCTCATCAGGTCAAGGGCAAGGCCTAGTTGAGAAGAAGGCTTCAGGGAACCCGACTAAAGTTTGGTCAAGGAGGGAGTCTTTGCCAGCACTCACAAAGTCATATGAGAGTCAGGACCCAAACACAGGACCCAAGCTGCTACGAGGCAGTGATGTGCCAGCCATGGCATGGCTGAAGCTTGGAGAGGAGCCAGTGGATATATCTGGGTTATTCCATCCCCTCGCTCCAGGGCTGACTGGCAGACAGTCACACTGGCTTCATCTCAGGTTCATTCATTTCTCACTGCTCTATGATACACCATACTTTTCTTCTACTTCATACTTTGAAGCTTGAATTTCCAAGATTTGATAAGAAAGACTGAAAACCATAAGCAGACTGAAAAGTGCCAAGGCTTTATCTAGATCTTGGACAAGAACTTTAACCTCATGTTTCTTGTTTGCAATATTGAGACAATACTTGTTACAGATTGAATTGCGTCCCCCAATAATTCATTTATTGACTTAACCTGCAGTATGACTGTATTTGGAAACAGGGCCTCCAAGAAGGTAACGGTTAAATGAGGTCATAGAAGGTGGGGCCCTAATCTGGTGTCCTTGTAAGAAGAGGAAGAGATACCAGAGATCTTTTCCTCTGTGCACACACAGAGGAAAGGCCATGCAAAGACACAGTGAGAAGGTGGCCGTCTGCAAGCTAGGAAGGGAGGTTTTACCAGAAACAGAATTTTCTGGCATCTTGACCTTAGACTTCTTACTTCCAGAACTGTGAGAAAATAAAAATGTCTGTGGTTTAAGCCCTCCAGTCTGTGGTACTTTGTGATGGCAGCCTGAGCACACTAGTACAATACCTATCCTGTGGGTTTACGATGAGAACTGAACATAAGGTGAGTTGAGGACCTAACTGCAATTCACACGTTGGCTTGTCCCCCTTTCCTCCTGTCATGTGATTTGTAGGGTGTTAAGGGTCTTTTGCCAGCAGACACCTTCCTTGTGACCATATGATGGTGTGGAAAATTCACACAGTAGAAGCATTCTTTTGGATTCAGGCTTTGCTTCTCTGTATAAACTAAAAGGGGGAATTTTCTGAAAGCATGTTATTATCAGTTAGGATTCCTGGTTTCAAGCAGTGTACATGGATTGGCTGGTTTAGGCCAAAAAGGAACTATTGAAAGGATATAGACTGGGGTACAGGATTGGCAGGAAGGATGGAGGATCAGATGTGGGGCCTGCCAGCTGGCAAAAGGGCCAAACGTCACACCTTAGAATGGGGCGTGAGGACTGCAGGGCTATGCTGCTGGGCGCCGGCTGCTGCTGCTCGCTCCTCTGACCCTGTGAACACTGGCCTGCTGTGACACTGCTGGACTAGACTCTTCTATGACCAAGTCCTCCACACCGATGTGCCCTGTGGTCTCTGTGATTCTGGAGCGCTGCTGTCTCCTTGGCTGAGCTTAGATCATGAACACTGGCATTTTCAGCACTGAGAGTGGGAGGCAACTCTGCCTCCTGTCAAGATTCATAAGGTGGGGAACTTCCCCAAACAATTAAAAGCAGGCTCAAAATGCCAGATGGTCAAAAAGAATAACAAGTTCCCCCACAGATACAGGGAAACCTTTCAGAACCCCCACATAGGAAGTGCAGCTTCACTCACAGGAGTGAGAACAAAGAATTGGAAAGCCGACGGCTGGTTACTCTGCATCTCTCTGCCCCTGTCTCTCTGTCTCTGTGTCTCTGTCTTTCTCTCTCTCCTATATTTTCCAGCTCCACTTGCTAAAGGTAAGGCCCACCTCTGTCCTGACCATTAGAAATTAGTTGTCTCCCTTAGAACATCTTTTTCCTCATCTTCTGCAAATACTTTTCAATCCCCCTTGGAGATTCCCTCCTCTGTCCATTTTTGGTCTGGGTGGGCTCCATCCTCAGCCCTCAGGATGGGCCATAGGACCCCGTCCCAAGCCAATCAACACACTATTCCCTTGGATGCAGGAGTGAGTATGTGACCTAAACAGCCTCGATTCCCACCCCCTTTTTTATTGAACTCAAACTTATCTGTTGCAAAGTGTACAAAGTATACAACTTGATGAATTTTACATAAAATCCGTTGTATACATCTGTGGAATCATTACTGAGATTGAGATACTGATCATTTCCATCAGCCCAGCACCTCCCCTTGTAGTCCTTCTCTGTAATACTCCACTCAAAGATAATCACTATTCCGACTTCTGTTACCATTAATGGAAATTTTACCCATTTTTAAATTCTATATGAATGGAATAATATGTAATCTTTGGTGGCTGGCTGTTGATCTTTCTGTTACTGACTTGCAGCAGTTCTTTATTTTGGATATGAGTCCTTTGCTAAATACATATATTGCAAATATATTTTCTTAGCTCATAGTTGCGTTTTGACTCTCCTAACGATGTCTTTTTAGGAATATTAGTTCAAATCGCTAGTCTTTCCTATGGTTAATGCTTTTAATTTGTTCTATTTAGAAAATCTTTTAATGCTTTTAATTTGTTCTGTTTAGAAAATCTTTGCACACTCTGAGATCATGCGCAAGTTAATGACTTTGAAGGACGAAGAAGTAAAATGTTTTTGTTGCATTTGAGATTGTGAGGCAGTGAGGCTGAGCCAGAAACGAAGACAGAAAGCAGATAGACTTGTAGGGCTGGCCTTGAGATGGGGCACTGTCACAGGGTGAGTCTGAGCTTTGCAGGCACTGTCTATTTACTATAGTTGTGGCTGAAATCAGAGGCAGGCCAAGTGGATGAGACATGGGGCAGTTGACCTCAGAAGAGATTCCTTTAACTATTTCCTTTTTTTTTTTTTTTTTCTTGAGATGGAATCTTGCTCTGTTGCCAGGCTGGAGTGCAATGGCGCAATCTCAGCTCACTGCAACCTCCGCCTCCCAGGTTCAAGCAATTCTGCCTTAGCCTCCTGAGTAGCTGGGATTACAAGCGCCCACCACCATACCCAGCTAATTCTTTGTATCTTTAGTAGAGACGGGGTTTCACCGTATTGGCCAGGCTAGTCTCGAACTCCTGACCTCGTGGTCTGCCCGCCTCGTCCTCCCAAAGTGCTGGGATTACAGGCATGAGCCACTGCACCCGGCCAACTATTTCCTTTTTAAAATTTTTTTATTTTTATTTTTTGAGAGAGTCTCACTCTTTGGCCAGGCTGGAGTGCAGTGGTGTGATCTTGGCTCACTGCAACCTCTGCCTCCTGGGTTCAAGTGATTCTCATGCTTCAGCCTCCTGAGTAGCTGGGATTACAGGTGTGTGTCACCATGTCCAGCTAATTTTTTTGTATTTTTAGTAGAGATGGAGTTTTGCCATGTTGGCCAGGCTGGTCTCAGACTCCTGGCCTCAAGTGATCTGCCCACCTCAGCCTCCCAAAGTTCTGAGAATACAGGAGTGAGCCACTGCACTCAGCCTAACTATTTCTTGATCAAATATTTTATTGAGCTCTTCTGCTGCAAGATGACATCCTCATGGAATTTATATTCTAGAGGATTTTAGAGATTATTTTAAAATACCTTCTTATAGTCCAGATTAGGAAGCCAAGGTGAAGACATGAAAAATAATTTGCTTGTCATCACAGAGCTAGGGAAGAAGCACAGCTAAACCAGAACTACAGCTGGAACCCAGGTCTCCTGGATTGAACTGTCCCCGCCCCTGCCCCTGCCCCTGACACTAGTCCAGCAAAGAAAGACCTGAGGGGTGCTGGTGATGAGTGATGACTGCTCTGCCTCAGGCTGAAGATAGAAGCAGCCTATCTCAGGTGGGTGGAAATTTTCCTTTCTTCCTTTGACCATGGGCAAAGTGATATGCCCTGGTCCGCAGCAACAGAGACTTCAGGAAGCCCACACACGTCAAGCGGCCAAAGCGGACCAGTGTCAGCAGGGGGAAATCAGAGGGACTTCCCCCAAGTCCTTCCTGTCAAAGAAAGAAGCATGAGAGGCCTTCATGAAGGTGAAAACCACACATTAAGGACTAGTCCAGACTGGGTACATGTCTCCCCAGTGCAGCTGCTACCCCTTGGGTTTTACCCCAGGACACTGGGTTCCGTCCTGTCATGGTGGTCAGTGCTGGAAAGTTGGGGTTTAAAGCTGTACACAGAGCTTCAGGCAAGTCCTAGGCCAAAGTTCAGTCCAAGGAGCACCAAGGTCTTCTCACTAGCAGCAGGTAGGAAATGATGGACATTGGATGATAACCTGGAGGCCAGTGACATGGTGAGACCACTTCTGACTCCCTCATTTCCCATCTCTGACATCACATCTCCACCACGTGGGCTCACTTAGACATGCTCACAACTATTAAGGTACCACTGGGGGCTTCCTATGACCAAGTCCCTTTAAATGTCTTTTGAATGTTCCCTCCCATTGTGAGAGGAAGGTAGTAATAAGGTGGTACCAAAATAGAATCTTGACACCCATTTACAACTTTTATTTGAGAAGAAGAAATGGGGAGTTGATGAGTGAGTATACGGAGAACCAGTGAGTGAGTGAATGTATATATGTATCTATTTACTTTCCTGGGCCCCAGTAACCTTATTCCTTGAATTCTTGTTGAACCGCAAATTTAGAGCTTCTTTGTAGGTTAGTCTGGTGATTCACTGTTGGTTTGTGGGTGTCAGACATGCAACTGTGACAGCTGTCATCATCTTCTGTTTATGCTGGATTGTGGACTTCTTAAGATCAAGGCCTGTGTCTTTTTTTATTTTTTATTTTTAAATTGAGGCAGTGTCACACTCTGTCACCCAGGCTGGAGTGCAGTGGTGCAATCACGGCTCACTGTAGCCTCAACCTCCAAGGCTCAGGTGATCCTCCCGCCTCATTTTTTGATTTTTTGTAGAGATGAGGTCTCACTATGTTGCCCAGGCTGGTCTCAAACTCCTGGGCTCAAGTGATCCATCCACCCTGGCCTTCCAAATTGCTGGGATTGTAGGTGTGAGCCACTGCACCTGGTTTTTTAAAAAATTTAAGTTTATGTTTTATTGAAGTATAATATGTATACAGAAAAGAGTACAAACCTTGAATGCAGCAGGAGGGTGTACATGTACATAAAGGACTTACACCCGTGCACTCAGAGCCTAGATCAGGAAGCATGGAGAGCTGCGGGAGCTCCTCAGGGCTTACTGCCAGCCACCACTTCCCCTTCATCCTCCTGCCAGCGTAACCACTGCCTGCACTTCTCACACTGTAGATTAGATTTGCATGTGGGAGTCATATTTTTATGCCAGAAAAGAATACTTGATTTTTAAGAAAAAATCACTAAAAGCAAATGTCCTTCAGGGAATACACAATAGTTCAGTTATAAATTCTGTAGTCTTGGGCTTTACCTTAAAAAGTTTGATGACTTTCAATTTAATTTTTTCTTCTTATTTTGAAATAATTTCAATCCTAAAGAAAACTGGCAAGAATAGTATAATGACTTTTTTTTCTGAACTGTTGGAGAGGAAATTATTGCATGATGCCGTATCACTTTAATATTTGAATGTATCATTCCTGGACCCAAGGACATTCTTCTATATAAAAATAATACAACTATCTAAGTTATAAAAGTATTAATAACATTAATACATTACTAACATTGAATCTGCAGACACCATTCCAGTTTCCCCAGCTGTCCCAATAAATGTGATTATCGCAGAAGTTCAGGATCAAGCACTGCATTTGGTTGTTGTGCCTCTTTGACCCTCTCAGAGTAGGGGAGTTCCTCAGTCTTTCCTTGATTCCATGACCTTCACATTTTAGTAGATTACAGTTATTCTGTGGAATGCTCCTTCATTTGAGTTTGTCTCATATTTCCTCAGAATTAGATTTAGGTAATGCTTTTCATTTTTGGTAGGAATAGCAGAGAAGTGATGCTGTGTATGGTCTTCTCATTGCATCCTACAGGTGGTGCACAATTTCAGTTTGTCTTATTAATGGTGATGTTCACTTTGATCACTTAATTAAGAGGTGTCTGCCAGTCCTCTTCACTGTAAAATTATTATTTTTTAAAAAAATTTGTAAATATTTTACGGAAGGTACTTTGAGACTATTTAAATATCCCATTCTGGCCAGGTGCAGTGGCTCATCCGTGTAATCCCAACTCTTTGTGAGGCCAAGGAGGGTGGATCACTTTAGGCCAGAAGTTTGAGACCAGCCTGGGAAACATGGTGAAACCCCCCGTCTCTACTAAAAATACAAAATTTAGCCAGGCATGGTGGCGCATGCCTGTAGTCCCAGCTACTCGGTAGGCTAAGGTGGGAGAATCACCTGGGCCTGGGAAGTTGAGGCTGCAGTGATCGAGCCACTGCACTCCAGCCTGAGTGACAGGAGTGAGACCCTGTCTCAAAAGAAAAAAAAAACAACTCCATTCTGCATGAAATGTTCATCCATTAGTTTTAGCATCCATTGATATTTCTTGTCTGAAACCATACTATTATGATGGTTGCCAAGCAGTGATTTTTTAAATTTAATTATCCATTCTGCATTTAATTAGTTGGCATTCTACTATAAGAAAAAACTTACTTTCTTCCTTATTAATCAATCAATTATTTATATTAGTATGGACCCATGGAAGCTTATTTTATCTATTGGGTTCTAATCTGTTTTCATCAAATTGTTCCCAATTTGGCCAGTGTTCCTATCATTCTTTGTATATTTTCTTGCCTGTTCCTATCATTCTTTGTACATGTCCTTGCCTTCTGGAACAACAAGATATTCCAAACTCATCTTGTAATTTTCCTGCCATTTCTCCTGAGGGGCCTGGCTCTTTTTCATGGAAAATGGTATTTAGAAGTTGTCTTAGTCTGTTTGGGTTGCTATAACAAATATCATAGACTGGTTAGCTTATAAACAACAGAAGTGTATTTTCCACAGATCTGGAGGCTGGTAAGTTCAAGATGAGGGTGCCAGCATGGTTGGGGTCTGATGAGGGTTTGCCTGTGAGATGCAGATTGCCAACTTTCTGGCTGTGTAAGGGGCAAGGCAGTTCTCTGAGCCTCTTCTATAAGGGCATGAGTCCCATACCTGGACCTCTGCCCTGATGACCTTATCACCTCCCAAAGTCCCCACCTCCTAATACCATCACTCTGGGGATTAGGATTTAAATATATGAATTTTGTAGGGGATAAAAACTGTCAAACCATAGCAGAAATCAAAATATGGATGATAGCTGTGTTCATTGCTATTGGGATGTCTCTGCTCCCAGGCTCTCAATGTATAGAGCTAGGACACACACACACACACACACACACACCCATTTACATCTAGTTTTATATCTGTATATTACAGGAAAGCATGAATTCATGCTGATAGTGATGATTTTAATCTACAGCAGCACAGATTCATTCTAGTTTTCACTTTCCAGATTTGTAACTTTTTTTTTTTTTTTTTTTTTTTTGAGGCAGAGTCTTGCTCTGTCACCCAGGCTGGAGTGCAGTGGCATGATCTCAGCTCATTGCAACCTCCACTTCCTGGGCTCAAGTGATTATTCTACCTCAGCCTCCTGAGTAGCTGGGATTACAGGTGTGTGCGACCACACCCGACAAATTTTTATACTTTTTATGGAGACGGGGTTTCGTCATATCGCCTAGGGTGGTCTCAAGTGATTTGCCCACCTTGGCCTCCCAAAGTGCTGGGATTATAGGTGTGAGCCACCGCGCCTGGCCAGATTTGTAACTTCTTTTTCTGACTGTGAGAAGCTGGTTACCTTGATCTACCCTCAGGTTCTGACACTCCACACGGACTGTGCTAATATCCTCCTCATCCTTCTTGGGCCCCAACACCCCAGCCAGGCTGTTTGGTCTGCTTTTCTCCCCTCCCGCACCACCTGCCTCCCCAGTGGCCACTGCCTTTGCTCCCTGCACAGCCATCAGCCTTACTCCACTCAGGTGCCAGCAGTCTGCACCGAGTGAGGCAGTCACCCTTCTCATCCTGCTGCTGCTGTAATATCCTGCCTTGCCATTGCTACTGTCTCCCCATCCCCCCAACTAGATTCCCCTCCTCGCCCTGCTCAGAACCCAGTACCACCCAACAGGCCGCTGTCACTGTTCACTTTCACTTTCACCCCACGGCCACAGGCTCTCCATTCGGAAGCTCTCCGTAATTACCTCTCAGGATTCCCACACCTGGGAATTCTCTCCAGGTCCCAGCTACTTTGATCAGCTCCTTTGAGTAACATTTGGACCGATTCATTCAGGACAGGAGGCAGGAAGACAGAGACTGTCGCAGGGCAATCGCCCCACTGGGCACAACAGACACAGAGCCCAGGGCCCAGGGTAATTTTAGGGTCCACGACAATGTTTTCATATTAATTGCTTTTAAATTCTGAAGAAATAGTGAGTATAATAATTAAGAACATAGCAATGAATCCGGCCTGAATTATATTTATCTTTAAGACAATGTAAAATAAAAATTTTAATTTTTTTAATGGAAGAAGGGGTCCATGAAGGCAAAAGTGCCTAGGACTCATGGAAGTTATAATGCAACCCTGTAATGTCTTCGTTAGCTATGTAGGCCAAATTCCCTGTAGAGTTCCTGGAACATAGTAGGTATTTAATAATTTTTGTGAAATAAGTAAATAAATAAGTGGTCAAGCACTGGGGCATATAGCTCTTGTTTTTCCTATGGCAGACAAGAATAGAGTACAGTAAATAATAATTAATGATGACCTGTTTACTCAAATGAGTGCTTTTTTTCCCCCTAGTAGTTCAGAGCTATCCATATATTTATTTGTTGATTCAAATATTTATTGAGTGCCTACTATATGCCAAAGCCCTGCTTCCTTTGAGTGTGTTTGTATGGTATTGCACAATGTCTACCTCAGTTTTGGGAAAGCAGGGTGTGTCTACAAGAATATAGCCTTGAACTAACTTGCCAGTGTGAAAACTGATCTGGGCCCACCCTCCTTACCAGATAACTCAAATGCACAGGGCCCACAGGTGAGAAGTGGGTCGAGATCAAACTCTAGATCCAATAACACACACCCACGTGCCATGCAGCCTTTTCTGTCCTGTTGAGATGAGCTAACTCCATATTTCGCAGTATGAGTCACAGTTGAAAATGCCTACAGCATCATAACTGGTTTAGTTACTAGTTCTGTCAATTGCTTTTTAAACAATAATAAAATCAAATCCAATGCTCATGCTGGAAATTTGGATTTATCAATGAGGTACAATGTGAGATGCATGAGATGTTTAGGGCCAGAATTGTTTACCATCTACTCTTTTTATGTAATCTTTGAAAACTTGACAACTTCATTGTGCCAATCTTATTTAATTTAAATGAGTTGTACATGATTCAGACAGTGAATAAACCTAAATTTACCTTGGTACTATGGAAAGGTACCTGGCAAACACATTAATAATGTGTGTATACTTGATTGTATAAGAAATGTTTCATATACTTAAAGTAACATCCCACTTTCAAGTGCCCTCAAATATCTTGGCACAGTGGTTTCCATGTGAGCCCTTAATAGATTCTGGCTCAGGGATTGGTAAACTGTGACCTGTGGGCCAATTCCAGCCTGCTGCCTGTTTATGTGGCCTGTGAACTAAGAATAGTTTTTATACTTTTAAGTGGTTGAAAAACAAAAGCCAAATATATTGTGATGTGTGAAGATTATATTACATTTGAGTTGCAGTGCCTGTAAATAAAATTTTACTGGACCCCAGCTACACCCATTTTGTGTGTTAGTGTGGCTGCTTTTGTCTTATGAAGGCAGAGTTGAGTAGTTGCAATGGAAACCATATGGCCCACAAAGTCGAACATATTTGCAGTCTAGCCCTTTACCTTGGGACTTGCCGTTGGCTGTTTAGGTACTTGGGATGCATCAGTGAGCAAAACAGACAGAAATCTCTGCCCACAGGAAACTTACATTTAATAGGGGAAGATAGACAATGAACATAAGTAAATTATATATAGCATGTTAGAATGTGATAAATGTGAGGCAAGAAAATAGAGCAGAGTAAAATGGATAGGGGTTTTGGGGAAAGAAGGAAGATGTTATAGTTTAAAAGAGGGCAGTCAGGGCTGGGCAGGGTGGCTCACACTTGTAATCCCAGCACTTAGGAAGGCCCAGGCAGGTGGACCACTTGAGGTCAGGAGTTTGAGACCAGCTTGGCCAACATGGTGAAACCCCATTTCTACTAAAAATACAAAAATTATCAGGGCATGGTGGTGCATGCCTGTAATCCTAGCTACTTGGGAGGCTGAGGCAGAAGAATTGCTTGAACCTGGGAGGTAGAGGTTGAAGTGAGCTGAGATCGTGCCACTGCACTCCAGCCTGGCGACAGAGCAAGTCTCCGTCTTAAAAAAAAAAAAAAAATGGCAGTCAGGGATGGCCTTATTGTAGAGGTGACATTTGAGCAAAGACTTGAAGTAGGTGAGGGCATGAGCCATGTGGGTGACTGGGAAAAGCATCCCAGGCAGATGAATAATTACAGTTCCTTATAGGGATGTTGTGTGGATTAACAAAATGATACATTTAACTAAGAATAGTACCTGGTACATGGTAAGTTCTAAAAAAATAGTTATTTGCCTTAGCACAGCTGGCTGTAGGTGCTACTTCCCTCTCTGCAGTAGGCTGCTGCTCTGAGTTACTCCCTGTGGGTAATTCCATGGGGGTCCTGATAACTTAGTTTTATGTGTCCCAGGATTAGCCATCATCCCTGGGGCTTAGCTCTCAGGGACAGAGTTGTCCCTAGAGAATCATGGTCCCAGGAGATATCATATCTGTGGTCTGCATAGTTATACAGATTCCAAGAGTTTGTCACTGCATGCAAGGCAAAGGGACTTGCCCCATTATCACACAATAAGTCAGCAATGGAGCGTCAATAGACATGGGGTCACGGTCTCTTGCTTCCATGTCTAGTGCTCTATGTTCCTGGACTGCATTCCACGCTCTGCAATGAGCCTATCCTTATATATCTTATTTCCTCCAATAGATTTTCAGGTCTCTTTGTGCCGGTATCATTTCTTACTCTTTTATATTTCCCCCTTCAGGCACTAAACAAACAAACACAAAATGAAAAAATGAAAACTCTCTTTTTTTTTTTTTTGAGACACAGTCTTGCTCTGTCGCCCAGGCTGGAGTGCAGTGGTGTGATCTCAGCTCATTGCAACCTCTGCCTCCCGGGTTCAAGTGATTCTCTTGCCTCAGCCTCCCAAGTAGCTGGGATTACAGGCACCCGCCACCACACCCAGCTAATTTTTGTATTTTTAGTAGAGATGGGGTTTCACCATCTTGGCCAGGCTTGTCTTGAACTCCTGACCTCGTGATCCACCTGCCTTGGCCTCCCAAAGTGCTGGGATTACAGGCGTGAGCCACCGCGCCCAGCTGAAAACGCTTGAAAGACTACTCAGTTGAAAGACTACTCAGGGTTTTGTTTGATGATACCATTTCAAATCTCAATTGTTACGTATGTAGATCTGTCAGAAAATGTCAGTGTGGAATTGATTGTCCTCTGTTCCCTGCACTTACATAAAGCATGGGGAGGTAAATTATCCTACAAATTAGGGAGCTTCTAGAAAAGACCCAGACACTTACATTGGCGAACTCCTTTATGTTGCAAAGCTCCTGGAGCATAAAAATGCATCTATGTGTTTGGGCCTTGATGGTCTCTGCTGGCTAGCAGTAGCATCAGGCTGCTAGATAACAGATGGCATTTCTAGGGTGAAAAAATGGCCAGATGATGCCAGACAAGCACTCAGGTATCCTTTGGCCTAGTCTGGAGTGTTACTCAAAGTGTGGTCCATGGACCAGCAGCCTCAGTTATCACCTGAAAACTTGTTAGCAATGCAAATTCTTGGGCCAGGTGTGGTGGCTCATGCCTGTAATCCTGGCACTTTGGGAGGCTGAGGCTGGAGGGTCACTTGAGCACAGGAGTTTGAGATTAGCCTGGGCAACATAGGGAGATACCATCTCTACAAAAAATAAAAAATTAGCTGGGTATCGTGGTGAGCACCTGTGGTCCCAGCTACTCAGGCAGCTGAGGTTGGAGGATCACTTGAGCCTGGGAGGTTGAGGCTGTGGTGAGCCGTGATTGTGCCACTGCACTCCAGCCTGGATGCAGAGTGAGACCCTGTCTCAAAAAGAAAAAAAAAAAATGCAAATTCTCAGGCCTCACCTCAGACTCCCTGAATCAGAAACTCTGGGTATGAGGCTCAGGAGCCTACAAGCCCTCCAGGGGATTGTTTGAAAGCCACTGGCTACTTTTCTGTCCTTACAGATTTCTGGCCCAAACTCACCCTTCTCTGCCATGTGCCTAAGCTATATGATGGGGTCATCAAGGAGCTTCATTTGCTGAACATGGTGATGACCTTGAAGCAGGATTGATGAGAAATAGTGCTCTGGGGAAAGGTGAGATTTGTACCCCTTTTCCAGTTGGCTTAATACGTTCCATCTGACTGATGAAGGTGGGATACATGTCAGTGCAGAGCATGGCCCAGGGCATATTACAAAATTAGGTCAGGTGTGGAAATAAAGGGAACTTCAAAATCTGAAATTATTACCTCTGGTTGGGTTTTGGTTGTGGCAGGATGTATACACAAGCTGGGCTGTGACAGCAACAGTATGGAGTCCCAGAAGCTCTACTGTGGTTTGTGAAGGCTGAGATTTGAAAAATCCTCTTGCAAGGCACAGAAGGCCAATTAATAGTAGGTGAAGTGGCTTCTCCAAGGTCCTATGGCAAATCAGCCTATGGTAAGTACAGGTATTATTATTTCTGCCTCTCAGGATTGCAGATGTGTTGTACCTTTGGCTGAGGTGTGGGAAGAATAACTTAGGAATGCATCTTTGACCTAGGGTAAAAGAATAGACATTTATTTGCCCACAACCTGCTCCCAATAGAAAGTTTCTGAGCATAAAAAAAGAAGCTTAGGATTTGAGGCCAATGGTTAAAAATATCATTGTAAAGAAGCCATGAATTTTGAAGACATATTAACAACACAAGTGCAAATGGAAAATACGAAACTGACAGAGAGCTCTAGCTGGCACAAACTTTACACTGGCCACATAACAAGGCAAAAATAAGGATGATCTAATGTCTGACAAACCATTGCCCATATAAGATAGGACATTAGCAGCATTTTTCAACAAATGGACTTGTTATTAATGACAAGCCTTTCCCAAATATATAGTTGTATTAACCTGAGTTCTCCAGACATATATGTATATGTGTGTGTATATGTATGTATATGGGTGTGTGTGTGTGTGTTGTGTATGTGTGTGGAATTGACTTATGTGACTGTGGAGGCTGAGAAGCTTCATGATCTGCTGTCTGCTAGCTTGAGATACAGGAAAGCCAGTGGTGTAGTTCAGTCTGAGTCTTGAGGCCTAAGAAGTTGGGGAGATGATGGTGTAAGTCTCAGACCAAGGGCAGGAGAAAACAGATGTTTCAACTCAAGTGGCCAGGCAGAAGGAGTGAGTTCTTCCTTTTTCCACCTTTAGGTTTTTTCATGTCCTCAACAGACTGGGTGATATCAGTCCTCATTGGGGAGGACAGTCTGTAGATCCAAACACCCATTTCATCTGTAAACACCTTGACAGACACACTCACAAATAATCTTTGGCCAAATATCTGAGCTTCTGTGATCCAGCCAAGTTGACACATAAAATTAACCATCACAAGTCCACCCCTTGCCAACTTGATACTCATACGTGCCTCCTGAAACCATACTTAACCTCCAAATAAAGATGATAACAAGTTCATAATTCCACATGATATTACTATCCTGTAGACAACAAAATGTATAACCTTTTTCCCAGAAGAGGAGTTAAAGCACTTGAGTGAGGTTTACCCTTCTTGAAATCTTATAACTTAAACACTACGATGTAAAATTAACAAAACTTAAATACTACGATTAAACAATACATTTTATGTTATATAATAAGGGAGTAAGAGAGGAAAGAAAGCAAATATATATGTATATATATATATGCACACACACAATTGTATTCATAACAAAATAAGGAGGAAATAATCATGACAATTAGAGTCCTTGTTTCTGTAAGTAGTCATGTGGTCATTGCTGGCATTTATAACTACTTTCTATCACTACTTATTCGTATTGCCTTTGCCTTCAGCAAGTTTCTCAGTTGGTTGTGATTCTTTTCCTGGTGAAGTGACCCCAACTTCATTAGTGAGGCATCTGGGCCATTAGTAGTTCTGTCTGGATTGTGCTGTAGTTTTCCACTGACCTAATCACAGGGCAGAGTAATAGTAAGAGATGCCCCCAGGGATCTCCTGTATGAGAGATATACTCTTCCTTACTCCATTGTGAGTAGTAGTTCATTTTCCCTTGGGAGTAAAGATCAATCACCCCAGTCAGCAAAGGAACTCCTTTTTTTTGTCTGTTGATTCAGAGGCATGAAGAGCCCAAAGTGGCCAGGTGGCAGTTTTAATTTCCAATTCAATGGAACCATTGTTGTTCATTGTCTCCTGGTTGAAGCATTTCTCCTTTTGAAATTAAGACCTCTAGGCAGGCAGAACATAAAGTTGAAGGAACAGGAAGGAAACATTTTACTGGTGTAACTGGAGTAACAGTAAGAGGTGACACTCCTGTTCCTATCCTTTGATTCCTGGACCTGAGAATCCTGGCTATGGGAGAAACAGCACTATCTATTCCTTGCTGATTCAGAGCATATATAGTTTTCTGGGGGAGTCTTGCCCAGTTCTGCAGATATTGCCACCTAACTAGTGCTATAATTGAGTCTTCAAAAGACCATTCCAATATTCTGTCAAATCAGCTGCTTCAGGATGGTGGAAAACACGGTAAGACAAGTGAATTCCATGCTACACTTTATTTGCTGTGAAGTGAGTTCTTTGATCAGAAAAAATGCTGTGTGAAATGCCATGACAGTGGATAAGTCATTCTGTAAGCTTATGGATGGTAGTTCTCGCAAAAGCGTTGTGTTCAGGGAACACAAATCCGCATCCAGAGTGTCTATTCCAGTAAGAACAAAACACTGCCCCTTCCATGATGGAAGCCATCCAGTGTAATCAGTCTGCTACCAGGTACCTATCTGATCACCTTGGGGAATGGTGCCATTATGGGAACTCAATGTGAGTCTCTGCTGCTGGCATATTGGACACTCAGTGGTAGCTGTAGCCAGGTCAATGTTGATGGAAGTCTATGTTGCTGAGTCTTTGCATAACCTCTATGCCTGCCACCATGGCCACCTTGTTTATGAGCCCATTGGGTGATGACAGGGGTGGTTGGGGAAAGAGGCTGACTGGTATCAACAGAATAGGTCACCCTGTCCATTTGATTATTAAAATACCCCTCTGCTGTGATCACCCTTTGGTGAACATTCACATGGGACACAAATATGTTCACTTTTTTTTTTTTTGTCCATACAGAGAGGTCTGTTCACAGACCACTTCTTTAAATTTCTTTGTCATCAATTTTCTAACATGTTTTTTCCAAGTCAGTGACCTTCCAGCTAAACCAGTGGCCATAGATCATGAATTACTGTATACTTCTATGTCTGGCCATTCCTCTTCCCAAGCAAAGTGGACAGCGAGTTGCATTGCTTGAAGTTCTGCCCACTGTTTCCCTTCACCAGTATCCTTCACAGATGTTCCAGAAAGGGGATGTAGTGCTGCAGCTGTTCACTTTTGGTTGGTGCCTGTGTATTATGCAGAATCATCTGTAAACAGTTCTGGGTCTTCTTATCTGTCAGCTGTTCTTAGAGAACTTTGCATGAGGGTATAGGTGCAGGTTGGCAGAGGGCAGTAGAGCAGGGGTGAGGACCATGGATATTTGGCCATTTCTTCATATTACTTACTTGTGCCTCAGGGCCTGTTCAGACCCAGTCCCATACACATCACCCCGTCTGATGATGGAGTGCTGCTGTGTACACCCAACTTTATGGCTTGGTGGGTCAGATAACACTTCATGATGTGCAGCTCAGGCTACATGGTAATTTGGTCACCCACAGTTAAGTGTTCAGCCTTGACTAAGGCTCAGTAGGAGGCCGAGAGCTTTCTCAACAAGACAGAAGTTATCTGTGCAGGACTGCGGGCTTTACTTCAAAATCTCAAGTGTTAATTGGTCTGGAGCAACACACCAAAATGAGAATATGTTGCCTCCAGAATCCAAAGAGGCCCAGTAGGCATCGTGCCTCTTTTTTGGTTGTATGAGGGGCCAGATGCAAGAATTTATCTTTCACTTTGCAAGGGATGTTTGGATGTTTCCCATACCACTGTACCCCTAGAAATATCACTGACGTAGGGCTGGGCACGGTGGCTCATGCCTGTAATCCCAGCACTTTGGGAGGCTGAGGCGGGTGGATCACGAGGTCAGGAGATCAAGACCATCCTGGCTAACACCGTGAAACCTCGTCTCTACTAAAAATACAAAAAAATTTAGCTGGGTGTGGTGGTGGGTGCCTGCAGTCCCAGCTACTTGGGAGGCTGAGGCAGGAGAATGGTGTGAACCTGGGAGGCAGAGCTTGCAGTAAGCCGAGATCACGCCACTGTACTCTAGCCTGGGTGACAGAGCGAGACTCTGTCTCAAAAAGAGAACAAAAAAAAAAAAAAAAAAAAAAGAAAAGAAATATCACTGAGGTAGAAGGCCCTTGAATTTTTGTTGAATTTATTTTCCATCCTCTGACACACAAATGTTTTACCAATAAGCCTAGAGTAGAATCTACTTTTTGCTCACTAGGTCCTCAATGTAATGGATCAGTATGATATCTTGTGAAAGAGAATGTCATCAGTGTAATGGATCAGTGAGATATCTTGTGGAAGGGAAGGTGCCATGATCTCTGAGAACTAAGTTATGTATGACAAAGGGCTGAGGAGAGACCAGACCCCTGAGGTTGGACAGTGAAGTTGTACTGATGACCTTGCCTTAATAAAGCAAACTGGTTTTGTTGGCCTTATGGACAGATATGGAGAATAAGGCATTTGGCAGATCAATATCTGCAAACCAGGTACCAGGAGATGTGTCAATTTGTTCTAGCAATGAAACATATCTGTTATAGTAACTATAATTGGAGTCACCACCTAGTTAAGCTTATGATAATCTATGTCATTCCCCAAGACCCATCTGTCTTTTCACAGACCAAATAGGTGAGTTGAATGGGGATTCGGTGGGTACCACTACCCCTGCATCCTTGAAGTATCTTAGTGGTGGTGCAAATCTCTGCAATTCCTCTGGGAAGGTTGTGTTGCTTTTGGTTTACTATTTTCCTAGGTAGTAAACCTGGGGAAAAGTGGAAGCCTTTTCCAAATGGCTTCCATTTGATCTTTCCCACCAGGATAGCTCTCACTTCACAAGTCAGTGAACCAGTTTGTAGGTTCTGCCAGCTACTGACTATATCTGTTTCAATTATGCATTCCAAAACTGGGGAAATAACCACAGAATGGGTTCAGGGACCCACTGAAATAGTTCAGGGCCCACTATGAGATGAACTGAGCTAAATTCCACTGATCACCTGACTTTCATAATCCACTACCCTGATTGGAGGGCCACAGTGACATTTTGGGTCACCTGGAATTAGTGTCAGTTCAGAGCCAGGGTCCAGTAGTCCTGAAAAGGTCCAATTATTTCCTTTTCCCCAATGTACAGTTGCTTTGGTAAAAGGTCAAAGGTCCCTTTGGATAAGGCGGGGAGGTGTATTAATATAACTTTTAAGTAGTGAATAGGATCCTTCTTCAAGGGGACCTGACCTCCCCTTCATTCAAAAACGATCTCGTTTGGAAATTGATTGAAGGGGTTTGGCTCTCTGTTTTTATGATACAGGTTAGACTTTGTTCACTTAACCTAGAACTTTTCTGCTTATCCAGATCAAGTAAGAATTTACTAGGTTTACTACCTATTTTACTTCTAGGAACACCGTGATCAGCCAGCCAATGCCATAGGTTTTATATGTCAGACTACTCAGCTTGCTGCTGTGACTCTGCTGTCCATGATGGTAACCATGCCCACCTTGTCTTTGGCAGTTAAGTGTTGCTGCTTGGCCCCTGCCACTCAGGATCCAATTACTCTCACTGCATTTAATTCTTAACTCAGTGGCTGCAGCTTCCACTGTGAGGTGTGGCCTACAGAGAAGAGCAATCACAAGGCTTTTCAGGGATGCTAGGGCTCCTCTCACAAATTTATTTCTCACAGTATTAGTGAAAGGTCTATCTTCTGGGCCCTCCCAGTGTGAATGAGCAGGCCTTAAATGACAAATCCGCTCTAAGATTCCAATTTCCCTAAACCCTTGAATCTCTTCCTCTATGTTAAACCAATGCAGGTGTGATATATAAATTCCCTCACTGTGGGCCAACTTTTGGTCCATGTTTCAGCTGATCAGTCAACAAAAATGTAGAGCCCTTTCTAATTCCTTGAGCTCAACATTTAATGCAGAATTTCTGCTTAGTGAGCCCATATCAATAAACTTGATTGCATTAAACTTTATGTTCTTTCCACCATTTGCCCAAACCGTATTTTTTTGTATTGAGGCAGGGTCTCACTCTGTTGCCCAGGCTGGAGTGCAGTGGTATGAACATAGCCTACTGCAGCCTTGACCTCCTAGGCTCAGTTAATCCTCCTGCCTCAGCCTCCTGAGTAGCTGGGACCACAGGTGTGCATCATCATGCTGGCTAATTTTTAAAATTTTTCATAGAGATGGGGTCTCACTTTGTTGCCCAGCCTGGTCTCGCATTCCTGGGCTCAAGTGATCCTTCTACATCGGCCTCCCAGAGTGCTGGGATTACAGGTGTGAGCCACCATGCTTGGCTCCAAACCTTTAATATGCATTTCCATTTTTGTTCCCTGGATTTGTGACTGTATAAATGAGAAAACTCAAGTAGTTGTTTTGGAGTGTAGCACACCTCCTCTTGGGTCACACTTTGTACCTCACCTTTCAGGGCATACTGGGACAAATGTAGTTATAGGTATAGAAGCAAAGAGAGGTGGTGAGGGTGGGTCCTGAGGTGAATCAGCAGCCTTGAAAGACAGTTGCCTGGGGTGGTGCCATGACAACTTCCTAGGAAATTCAGGGTTAATCCCTTTGATTGGGGTGGAGAGGCCACTCCCACTGGGGGTGGGTAAGTGCTACCACTGGTTGTTGGGAGGCCACTTGTACTGTGGGTGGGAAGGCTGTTCTGCTGTGGAGTAGGGGAGCCTCTTCTACTGGCAAAAAAAACTACTAGAATTTAGGAACTCAGTGTTCCCAGCATCATCAAAGTTTTCTCACCTGTCCCCATCCCAATTTATAAGATTCTACACTTTCCTACTTTATGTCCTCACTTTAACAGTAGACACCCTGTGAGGCTAGTAGTTTAACTTGTGTTGTATTTCAGCCAGTTGCAACATGAGATTCTGTTTTTGATTTTCAGCAATCTCAGCTCTTTGGCTCTAGAAAATAATGGCTTCCTTCAGGGCACACATAGAAGCCTTTAAGTCATTTATGCAGTGCTCAAGCTGAGAGTTCAAATTCCTGAATTAATCCTTTTCTTACACCATTTTGGTCAGCAATATTAGGTGTAAACAGCCAACCTCATTATAGTCACCAGTTTTCCCAAAATTTTCTCTCTCTCTCTCTCCATATATATATATATATATATATATATATATATATATATATATTATATACACAGTCACCACATTTTTTTGATGCTTATAAGTGGTTGACTAGGAGTATCCAATGCAGATATTTTGTGTATCTCTATTGCCAGAGTATGCCATGAATTATCAGTGCTCTCTTTACTACTGAAAATAGTCATTAGTATCTTCAAATCTAATCAAATTAGGGAGCCAATTCCAGAACCCTGGAACCAATTCAGAAAATTCATCTGTAGCATTTTGTTCCCTTAGAACCAATCTCAGAAACAAACAAAATCTATATTAGTTAAGGTTCTCCAGAGAAACAGAATATGTCTTTATAGCTATCTATCTATCTATCTATCTATCTATCTATCTATCTATCATCTATCTATCTATCTATCTATCTATCTATCTATCTATCTATCTATCTATGTGTCCTCTATTATCTATCTGTCTGTCTGTCTGTCTGTCTGTCTATCTATCTATCTATCTATCTATCTCTATCTATCTAAATATTAAAGATTTATTGGGAGGAATTGGCTCACATGATTGTGGAGGGTGAGTAGTCCCATGATCTGCTATCTGCAAGCTACAGACCTGGGACAAAGACTGGAGGTGGCAAAGGACCTTGAAAGGGATAAGTTCAGAGGCCAGGGAAGCCAGTGGTGTAATAGAATCTGCATCTGAAAACCTCAGAAGCAGGGGAAATAATAGTGTAAGTCTCAGACCAAGGGCAGGAGAAAACGGATGTTCTAGCTCAAGCAGTCAGGCAGAAGGGGTGAATTCTCCTTTCTTCAACCTTTTGTTTTATTCATGCCCTCAATAGATTGGACAATGCCAATCCTCATTTGGGAAGACAATCTGCTTTACTTAGTCCACAGATTCAAACGCTAATCTCATCTATAAATACTCTCACAGGCATACCCAGAAATAATGTTTAGCCGAATATCTGGGCACCCTGTATCTAGTCAAGTTGACACATGAAATTGACAATCACAGTAAAGTATCTGGAAATATAAAGTAAGAATAGCATGAGGCCAGCTTGATTAGCAAGACCCTTGACAACAGGTGCTTAGAACATGAAACAATCATTTCAATATTAAAGTCCTGCAGTCCTCAAGTCAGGATCAAGTCTTAACATTTCACCAAACTCATGAACATATTTTTAGGAGTGATGTTAGTTTTTTTTTTTTTTTTTTTTTTAAAGATGGAGTTTTGCTATGTTTCCAGGCTGGCCTTGAACTCCTGGTCTTAAGGGATCCTACCAGCTCAGTCTCTTGAGCATATAGGACTACAGGCATGCACCACTGTGCCTGGATTTAAATTTTTTGCTTGTAATATCAAAAAACAAAAAGTTATACACCATGGATAAAAAGCATATCCTTCTTGCTGAAATAATGCAGATATAAATGGCTAAAATAATAATTCAAAGGAAAATGGCATGAAATTAAATAAAACTTTTTTTCTTTGTCAGGAAATAATATTGGAAAATATTGCCAAATGTCCTATGAAGAAACAATAATCATGGCAAGTTATGCAGTATGGGATGCTTATTGCATAAGTTCATTGAAAGTACAGATGTTTCTCACATGTCTCAGCTAATAGCACATTCTGGATTTTGTGTCCGTAGTGGATCACAGGAAGAACTGCATTTGAAAGTGAACCACTACAGGAAGGATATACAGATAGTCTCAGTTGTAAATGATTTACTTAAAATCATCATTCTATGGGAAAACTGTATAATCTATAGCATTTTTTATCTTCTTTGGATGAATTCTAAGAAATGCTGCTCTTGCAATCTCATCTATTGTGCTACAGAACTTTACACCAAAGTGTAGCAGAATCTCAAGGTGCCAGCTGTGAGCTCCCAGGAATAAATAGTTGAACTTGTGTTCCCAGTTAAGGGGTTTGGACCTTACCATGGGGGTACATGGATCAGATTTGTGATTTGGGATGGTCATAGGCTGGAAGTGGCAAAGGGCGAAAGGAGCAAGTTCAGAGGCAAGGAGACAGTTGTGAGGCAGGGCAGATGAGCTGGGTGGATGATGGATTCCTGAACTACGGATGTGGCAGATAACAAAGTATGTTGAGTGAGGGTGAGAAAATGTCACGAATGACTCACACGTTTCTGGCAGTGAGTTAGGAAGCAAGGACATGTGAAGTAGGTTTCTGGGATACACATAGAAGGCAGAATGAGCTTTCAGCAGAACTTTTGACTTGCAGCTCCTTTTCTGTATTTTGCTCCCACATCTGGGTATCCTTTTCCACACATTTTAGGAGCTTGGTGCCCTCATCTACGTCTCTGGCTATTCAGCCCTTCCATTCCTACCCAAGCCTACATATAGGCCCCCACTCCACCTCGATTCCTTCAGTGTTCACGTCTCCCTTGTATCCTTTTGTCCCCCACCCTACCCACCAAACATTCATTCCCTTTAGGCTCTGGGTTAGGAAAATAAAATGGTCTGGAGACAGAATATTCCAAAATTTACGGCCTTGTGCTTCCATTTCAATAATTTTATTTGGAGTAAAATCCCCTTCTTTAAGGAGTTGTAATGGCAATTCATCAGTGTTTTATATATGTAGCTGGAAATTGTAGATGGTATAGCTGTAATTTTTAAATATTATACTAAATATAAGGCTTTTCCTCCTACCTTTGCTAATCTGTTTTCTATCCAAATTGCCTGATTTAGTGATTATAGATGGTCTTTTCTAATATTGTTTGTCTAATCTGAAGAAAGTCTGACATTTTGCCTTCTAAAATGCCAAGAATAAGTTTCTTGAGAAAGATATATATTCTCCTCAAAGGACTTACCTAAATGTTTTGGCATCATTTCTCAGTAAATGTGTGCTCAATGAGTAGCAATGAATAAATGAATAGATTCTTGGGACTTAAGCTGTTAGTAATACAAATAATAGTTACCAGTTGGTGAATGCCAGGCAGCCTACTATAATTTACATCTATTACTTCTAATCCTAAAAATAATGATGTAATGCAGAGAGTTGTTTGGGGGTAGGGATAGGGCTCTACAATCATTTTTTCCCTTTTTGTTTTCTGGGTTTCTTTCTTCAAACTGACTAGTAAAACTTGGTTTGGTTGTGCAAGAAGAGTACTGTGTTTATTCACATTTATTAACATTTGGAAATATTTTTATGTAAAACATTTAATACTTAAACTAATTCTATGAGATAGGCATTAACCCTCACTTGATAGAGGAGGAAATTGGGGCCCACAGGGTTAACAAGTTAGACACAGAGCTACTAGTAGAGTGCAGGCCTTTCGACTCTGAGGTGACATTGAGTTAGAACTCCATTTGTCACCTGACTCTCATAAGCCTTTGCTCAGACTGGCATATTCTAAAGTGATATTTTGGGTTTCAGGAATTAGTATTATCTCAGGGTTTGTAGCCAATATTCCCCAAAGATTTAAGGATATTTTTCAGATAAATGCTTGCAGGTCCATTTGGGTAACTTATGGAATTTAAAGGTCATGATGATTGAGCATTCTGGCTTACGTAAAGTATTTGTTTACAAGGTCCTGCTTTTTATTTTTATAATAAAAATCACCCTAAAACCTCTCAATTTTGTCCTTGAAGGCTCCATGGTCTATAAGCCAGAGTTAGAGATCTCTTGAGTGTCAGGCCACTGATTGCTACATATATTTCATGGTAATTGCTAGTTGTTCTCACCTCCATTTAGAGGTTAGTTTAGACTGTCCAGCTGGCAGAGTGGCAGGGTTAGACTGATTTAGATCGAGGAGGAATCAGAAATGTAGGAAGAGGGAGATAAAACTGACTTTCTCAGGGGGTGGGAGGAGAGGAAGATGATTTACTAGCTCAAGACCAAGTATGAACAGGGTCACAGTGGATTCAGTGTCAGTCTAAGACCTCTTAAGGAATTTAAGGGGGATGGGAACTAGTCTTGAGAATATAGGGCTGAGCCAATATTGGAAAAACTTTTTTTTTTTTTTTTTTTTTTTTTTTTTTTGCTTTCTAAGGAAGATAGACTATGCTAATGGGAAAGCCATACATATGATGAATTTGTATATATTCATTTGGAAATAATCAGAGAGAGCTAATCTAGTGTGCATGAGAGAGAGAGAGAGAGAGAGACAGAAAGAAAGAGAAATTTGAAGCTGGAGATGGGGATGCATAGGGACATGGAGAGGGAGAAGGAGGGGACCATAAAGTGGGGTGCTGCATAGGGGAAGGACCAGAGGAAGAATGTGCTGATGGCATGATTGTCTGAAGGCTGAGAATAGAAATGTTGAATACAGATTTTTAACATGTCTGCTGTAGTTATGCACACTTTATTAAGCAAGAGGAAAACATGGCCAGTTTCATAATTTATAGTTTTTCATAAAAGAAGAATGTTGAAGGCTGGGCGCAGTGGCTCACACCTGTAATCCCAGCACTTTGGGAGGCTGAGGCAGGAGGATCACCTGAGTTCAGGATTTTGAGACCAGCCTGGCCAACATGGTGAAACCCTGTCTCTACTAAAAATACAAAAATTAGCCTGGAGTGGTGGCAGGCACCTGTAATTCCAGCTACTCGAGAGGCTGAGGCAGGAGAATCGCTTGAACGTGGGAGGCAGATGTTGTAGTGAGCCGATATTGTGCCATTGCATTCCAGCCTGGGCAACAAGAGCGAAACTCTATCTCAAAAAAAAAAAAGAAAAAAAAAAAAGAAGCAGAATGTTGAAATTAAGTTGCTAATAATACAATTAATAAGGTATTCTGTCTTTCCACTTGCTTACAAAGTTGAAGAAATATAGTGATTTAGGTTTGAGAAGAGGAAATAATTTGGAGGACAAATTTGGTTTTGTCTTAGGGGACCTACACTTGAACAACAAAGAATAATGAGTACTTCCATTTCATGCAGTATGGTGGACTAGATTATCCATTACCTCTTCCAGTGCAAAACACCCAGAAATGCCAGACAGAGTACAACAAGTATTCTTTTCAATGCATAGTTGAATTTATACAAAAGAAAGGAAAAATCCCAGGGCCAAAACTTGAGGGTAAAATGAAAACTTGGAAAGGTTGTAGGTCTCAAATGCTTGGGGTTTAATGGCTTTCTAAGGCCTTAGGTTCAGTGGAAATGAAATTGAAATGCCAATGCATAGAGACCTACAAAGGCAGCAACAGTAGTGAACAGGGAGAACTAGAAAATGACTACTTTTGGCTGGACACTGACCTGAAGAAAAGTGTTTCTTAAGGAATGAATGCTAATACTATACTAGTACTGTAGTATAACTATAGTACTAGTCTCACATGGTTTTGAGGTTCATATTTGTATTGTCCACATGCTCTAATAACATCCAAACCAAGAAATTACCATATATGTAAATATTTGGACATCTGGTAGTAGCATACGCAAAATCTCTCTGGAAGGACTTACCCTTAACCCAGGCCCAACAAAACATCCACAGAATTAATTGCTAGGAATTTCAGATATTGGGATTATTCAAGTCTTTAAAATAGTTATGTTCAAAATGAATAAATATATTAATGAAGGAATAAAAAAAGAGAAACAAAGCTCAACAAATAGAAGAAGCTAGGTAGATTTGAAAAAAGAATCAAATAGAACTTCTAGAACAATATAGTAGTCACTGACATTAGAAACTCAAAGGAAGAGTTATGGAGCAGATTAGATGCAGCTAAAAAGAGAATCAGCAACTTAGTTAAAATCAGTAAGTTAGAAAGTTTATGAATAAAGAAGAGTGCACCAGAAATAGTTAAAAAGAGATTCTTTCTTTGGATAAATGAATACATCTTTTTGGGTTATATTGGACTAGAAGATCTTCATTCTCTAAGGTGACTTTTATACATTTCTGTTCTGATCCGTGCTATATTATAAAGTCAGGCTTGCTTGTATGTTTTTGTATATGTGTATGTGGAGGCCCTTCACTGCAACTCTCATATATAGATGACAAAAATGGGAGATCTCATTTGTGGGGGATCTCAGAGGAGTAACAAGAAAGAAAAAAAGGAAAAAGAAATAAAGAGAATGGTTTTCAGACTCTGAAAGAGGAGAGAATTATTTAGATATTTAACATATTTAGAACTATTTTATTAGTTCAAAGATAAAGTGATGTTAAGAAAAGTTAAAAATGAAATTTTCTGGTAGTCATAGACATGATATTGATTTCTCTTACCCTGTCATTGACTGCTAGATATCTAAATAAATGTGGGTGTCCTGAATGCCTCAGTGATATCTGGAAGGTAAAACATGCAGCATGTTTTCAAGAGTGTACAGCAAAAGGAAGAGTTGGAAAGTGTAATTAAATGATGATAGCTTTAGTTTTTCCTATTTTAAATTCTCAGTTAGTGTACCTAATACACTACCATTCGTAAAAAGAAAAAATATGTAATGCACATAATTATATATGCACATAACATACAGGGAACTGGTAACAGTGGTTGCCTCTAAAGAGAGAAACTGTATGCCTAGGGGATAGTTAGGATTGGGAGAGAGACTTATTTCTCACTGTATGTCAGTAGTTCTGAAACTTTTTAGTTTCTGGGCTCCTTTAACTCTTAAGAGTCACTAAAGAGGCCCAAGAATTTTTGTTTATGTGAGTAAAATTCCTATCAATGTTTACTGTATTAGAAATTGACACAGAAATCTGAAAAATATGTATTTACAGATTCATTAAAAATAGCAATAATAAACCCATTATTTGTTAACATTTTACATGAAAAATAATTATGTTTTGTAAAACAAATACTAGTGAAAAGAGTGGCATTGTTTGACATTTTTATAAATCTCTTTAATGTCTGGATTAGGAGAGACAGCTGGATCCTCATGTTTGCTGCTGCATCCAGTCCGTTGTGATATCACACATCATGGTGCCTCTGAAGAACACTATTGTGCAATTTTGAGACAATTAGAGTGAAAAAGGCAAATAGCATCTTAGCCTTATTATGGACATACTTTCACCTTGTGGACCCATGGAAAGGGTCTTGGGAACCCTGTGAGGGCCCTGGACTATACTTTCAGAAATGCTGCTATAAAATCTGTTTGAATTCTATACCTTGTGCATGGGCCACTGTGTCAAAAATACATGCAAAGTACATAGACACAAACATACATAACATGCATATGCATATATAAATGTACACATTTAAAGGTGCTCTCTTTCAGGCTTTCTGGAAGGCAAAAAGAAAAGCAATTGAAGGTTGGTATGGAACAAGTGTACCACAGTTTTGATGTCAATAATACTATCTCCAGCTTTAGAAGGGAAACTAATATATAACTATTTATTATATTTAGCATTTATTGAGTGCTTACTATATGCCAGGCAGTGTGTCAAGAATTCTAGATGTTTTCTCTTATGTAATCTTTTCCTGAACCAATGTGAAAGGTGCTATTATTTTCTTCACTTTACAAAAGAGAAAACAGACTTAGAGAAGTTCAGTAAAGTGTCATATATCATGCAACCATTAGAATCTCAGAATGTCCAACTCTAGAGCACATCACTCTCAAAAGCTGGACTCTGAATGGTTTTCCAATCCATCCTTCACTTTCATTCAACTCTGAAAATCATTTTTTTAGTGTGAGAATAAGGTATTTTATGGCTTTAAAATATGCTCAGTAATATGAAATAGGTTTCTTTTCTTGATATATGAATAAAGTTAATGGTTAATGAACAATTTTTTTTACCATATTTCAATTAAAAATTTAAAAATATCTTCTTCTCAGCTCTAAAAACCTGATATTTTAGCCCTGAGGGATAATTTCAGGCTAGTTAGGACTCTGAACATACAGCTGACTGAGGCACTTGAAAATACAGCAATGATCTCAATTGACTATCAGTTTCAGGAAGGAATCTCTTAACTCAACCTGTCTTTCAAAAACATAAGCATGTTCCCTCTGCCTTAATGCATCTTTGCTTTATAACAAAATACCTATGACTAGATAGCTTATAAATAATAGAAATTTATTTCTTACGGTTCTGGAGGTTGGGAAGTTGAAGATCAAGGTGCTGGCAAGTTCAGTGTCTGGTGAGGGCTGCTCTCCTTCCAAGATGGTACCTTGAATGCTGTGTCCTCATGTGGGGGAAAGGCTGGCCATTCCCTCTAGCCCTTTTATGAAGTATTAGTCCCATCCAAGACGGTGGAGCCCTCATTGCCTAATCACCTCCTAAATGTTCCACCTCTTAATACTGTTGCATTGGGGATTCAGTTTCAACATGAATTTTGAAGGGAACACAAACATGCAAATCACAGCATTTCATTGCTGGTTCTCCAAAATTCATGCCCTTCTCACATACAAAATACCTTCATTGCATCCCAATAGCCCACACATCTTAACTCATTCCAGCACCAACTCAAAAGTCTAAAGTCCAGAGCCTCATCTAAGTATCATCAATATCAAACATGGCTGAGAATCAAAGGTGTGTTTCATCCTGAGGCAAATTGCTTTCCAGCTGTAAACCTGCGAAATCAATCAAGTTAGGTGTCTCCAAAATACAAGTAGGACAGACATTTCCATTCCCAAAGGAAGAAATAGGAAAGAAGGGAGGAGTAATAGGTCCCAAATAAGTTCAAAACCCAGTAAGACAAACAACATTAAATCTTGAGGCTTGAGAATAATCATTGACTCCATATCCCGTCTTCTGAACACACTGGGGTGGGGATTGGGCTCCCAAGGCTTCAGGCAGGTCCATCCCCATGACTTCACAGGATGCAGCCCACACAGCTTCTCTCGGAGTTGGAGTCAGATGCCTGCAGCTCTCTCAGGCTGATGTTGCATGCTGATGGCTCTACAGGTCTCAAGGGCAGCCCTGATCCCACTATGCATTACCCCAGTGGGGGCTCTCTGTGATGGCCCCAACCCCATGGCTCTCTGGACATTGACCTAGTGGGGACTGTCTGCTGTGGCCCCACTCCCATGGCTCGACTAGGCATTGCCTTAATGAGGGCTTTCTGCAGTGGCTGTGACCCCACAACTCTACTGGACATTGCCTTGGTTGGGGGATTTCTGTGGTAGCTGTTCTCTGCCTGGGCCTTGAGGCTTTCTGAGGCATCCTTTGAAATCTAGGTGGAGGTAGCTGTGACTTCATAGCTCTTGAACTCCGTGCACTTTCAGAGTTGACATACACAGACACTGCCAACGTTTACCACTTGTGCTTTCTAGAGCAGTGGTCTAAGCCACCTCTGGGCCCACTTGAGCCACAGGTAGGGCAGTTGAGGAGCATTGCACCAGAATGTGGGGAACAGAGACTTGAGGTAGCCCTGGGCATGAGCCCCAAGGCCCCAGAGGCACCCTGGGCCCCTCACTTGCCACTGTTCTGCCTTCACGGTCCTCGAGGCCCATGGACACTCTGGGCCTGTGATGCAAATGGCAGCTTTGAAGATCTCTGAAATGCCCTTGGGGTCCTTTTTCCCTTGTCTTGATGAATAACATTTGACTTCTGTCCACCCATACTAATATCCTTATCAAACGGTGACCTGGCCATACCCTAGTGTTCTCTTCCTAATACACCTTTTCATTCTTTACATGACCAGGTGAGAATTTTCCAAATCTTTTAAGTTTTGCTACCCTTCTGATGATAAATTCTTTTTTTTTTCTTTTTCTGAGACAGAGTCTTGCTCTGTTGCCCAGGCTGGAGTGCAGCAACATGATCATCATGGCTCACTGAAACATCTGTCTCCCAGGTTCAAGCAATTCTCGTGCCTCAGCCTCCCAAGAAGCTGGGATTACAGGCATGTGCCACCACACCTGGCTAATTTTTGTAATTTTTAGTAGAGACAGGGTTTTGCTATGTTGGCCAGGCTGGTCTCGAACTCCTGTGCTCAAGTGATCCAGCTGCCTCGGCCTCCCGAAGTGCTGGGATTACAGGCGTAACACAAAATCTCTACTAGCTTGTTCATGTAATAACAATTGCTGCTGGATGCCCCTAACATTACAGAAATTGTGTCAATGGCTTGCTGTGCTTTCTCTCTGAGTATAACATCATCACTAATTTTGTGGCTGTTATTAGCCTTTTTAGCTATAGAGTGACCTGCACCTGTTTTTTGCTAAGAGGGTTGCAACTTTGAATAATATTTCTTATAGTTTTTTCTTTTCTCTGTCTTTAGGGTTAAAATAATGCTTTCTTCCTAGAAGGCAGTATTTGCCCTTGTTATGAAAACAATTCACCGGTGTTTGGAGATTGTTGGAAAAGTTTTGATGACCTCATGCCACTAGTTGGTAGAATTTCATAATAATTGGTATAATTAGGGCCAGAGATAAATGCATCAAGAACCCAATAAAATTCATTGTTTGAATAAAGGATTCATTGTCTTACTTCCTATTTATACTTTCCATTTTTAGCTGCCTGGGAAAAATCATTTTACCCACAGAGTCATTTATCCCAGCAAATGCAGATTTACTTAAAAAAATTAGTACTAGAGTCCTGTTTGCTATTTATGCTTCCAGTTATTTTGAGTTATATCATTTATGATGCTGATTTCAGCACTATGACTACACTAAAACCATATTTGAACTATATACCCATTTTTATGAATTGGGATATAAGGCAACAGAGTAGAGATAATAAAAATTTATATTTAACATAGGTAAGTAGTAGCACATAAATATAAGAACATATTCATGAGAAAAAATGGGTCTCAGTTGATTGATTGTTAGTAGCAGTGACATGACATGTGCAGCCCTTATAGTGTATATGCACCTTATTGGAACATTTGAAAAAAAGAATATGGCAAGATTTCTGTAAGTTGTATATTAAAAATTTGTTTCATCGCTTTTTTTTCTCTAAATTTGCAGTAGCACTTCCAGAATCCTTAGTAGACTGTCAGGAACCACCACTGGTAGAGGGAAGACCACTGCATATGCTCTGGTGCTGGAAGAGGGGGTCAGGGTCATGAAGAGAATCATGCGGTGGGGGAGGGCAAGGATGGTTCCTAGAATTTGGTGCTTTTTATAAAATAAATGTGTTTTTTGCTTTAGAGCTACTATAGTAACTCTAAAGAAGGTGAGAACAATATTGTGTACTGCTCTTGGGAATACCTTTAACAACCTTTGTTCTCCCCCAACACACACAAATGTTTATTCCCAGTGGGGCTGACCTTGACCTGCTTCTCCCGATCTCATTTACTCTACTGTACTTTTTATTTCTTTCCATAGTACTTATCATCCACTAATATGCTACTTTATTTATTGTGTTTATCATTTATTTTCTATCTCCCCCTTCTAAAATGTGAGTATCACCAGGGTAGGGATATTTGCTGATCTTTACACTGATGGAGCAGTTCCTCACACCCTTTAGCATGCAATAAATATTTATTCAATGAATGAATGTACTGAAAACCAGTTAAGTGTAGGCAATGTCAAATGCATCAACTCGTTTTCTACTTGCTTTGACTTACATGAAGTGGCTAATATCCCCACACCTACCAGAAAATGGGGGGTAAAGAAGATGATGATGGTCATCATGATGACGATAACAACATAAGTTGTCATTTGCTATCTTTCCACTGTGTGCCAGTTGATTTATTAATATCACCTCATTAAATCCTCAAATTATTCCTGAGTGGTAGGCATTTTGATCCTCATTTTATACGGTTGGAAACTCAGTTCTGAAGGGGTAAATAATATGCTCATGACAACATAGCTGGGAAGTGGTTGAATGAGGACTTGAATCTCTGCCCCTGTGGTCCCAGTCCCTGGTTTTCTCCGTAAGTTGCCCCTTTGAAGAATCTGTTTTAACACTGTTGATCTGAAAAAAAAAATCTACAGTATGATTAAATTGCTTAATTCTCTGTGGGAATTCAAGATTTTCTTATTCAGAGCATTGTTCCATTCTTTCTGAGAATAACTGGTTTAATATTCAAACAGATATTCCCAAAACCACAGTGTCTCTTTCCAGAATCTGAAAAGGAAATGAGGTAATCTTCAATATGTGAATGAATGAATCCCAAGCTATACAAACCACAGACAGACATATCAGCTTTTTCCATTTTGCTCTCCTTTTTGTTTGTTAAGTATGATAAAGTAAAATTTTAAAAATGTTAATGGATCTTGGTTTAAATGATACCTCACTAAATAAGCTATTCACAAAATTTGGTTGGTCTACTACCTCTACTCAATAAACATTACTGATGTAAAGTCCTATTTCTCTGAACACATGCACTTTTATTTATGTAGACAGTTTTTCAACCTCAGCATGGATTGCTATTTTGGGCAAAGAATTCTTTGTTGTGGCAGGGGCTGTAAGGTGTTTAGCAACATAGTAAGATGTTTAGTTACATCCTTGGCTTCTACTCACTAGCAGCTAATTAGATCCCCCCACTCCTGATCTCCTGCACCTAATACTTGGAATGACAAGATTTCATCTCCCAACGTATGTTGGGGATAACTAAGATGAAAGCATGAAACAGTGTCAAACAGAGATCCCAAGCAGAGTACCAGAGCTCAAGTTTGTTTTTTAAAAAGATAATTGCCATTGATTTTGTTCTGCAAAGATGCAAAATTTCAGCTGCTCACTTCTTAGTTTTGACGCACCTTTGTGTGTGTGTGTGTGTGTGTGTGTGTGTGTGTGTGAAAACAGTAAATCTCTTAGAATGGTGCCCCACCCATATTAAGGCCTTGATAAATGCTAGCTATTGCAATCATGAAGGAGTGGTGCATAGTGGCTCTGAGGGTAGGTGATATGGTAGATATGACATAGTCCAGGCAGGCAGGGAAAGGTCCACTTTAGGAAATGCTGATCACTGTGGATTGTGAAAAAGAATAGGAATCAGTCAAGTATTTGAAGAGGAACACTGTAGGTTAAACGTCCTAGTCCTAGCTGCACACTGGAATCACCTGGGGAAGACTTTTCTTTTTCATGGTATTTTTAAAAAATTATACTTTAAGTTCTGGGATACACGTGCAGAACGTGCAGGTTTGTTACATAGGTATACACATGCCATGGTGGTTTGCTGCACTCATCAACCCGTCATCTACATTAGGTATTTCTCCTAATGTGTCCGGAATTGGTTCCTTCTGGTGGTTTCTTGGTCTTGCTGACTTCAAGAATGAAGCTGTGGACCCTCACGGTGAGTGTTAGAGTTCCTAAAGATGGTGTGTCCGGACTGTGTTCCTTCAGATGTGTCCAGAGTTTCTTCATTCTGGTGGGTTCGTGGTCTAGCTTGATTTCAGGAGTGAAGCCACAGACCTTTGCAGTGAGTGTTACAGCTCTTAAAGGTGGTGCGTCTGGAGTTGTTTGTTCCTCCCGGTGGGTTTGTGGTCTTGCTGACTTCAGGAGTGAAGCTGCAGACCTTCGCAGTGAGTGTTACAGCTCATAAAGGTAGTGTGGACCCAAAGAGTGAGCAGCAGCAAGATTTATTGTGAAGAGCAAAAGAACAAAACTTCCACAGTGTGGAAGGGGACCCAAGCAGGTTGCTGCTGCTGGCTCAGGTGGCCAGCTTTTATTCCTTTATTTCACCCTGCCCACGTCCTGCTGATTGGTCCATTTCACAGAGCACTGATTGGTGCACTTACAAACCTTTAGCTAGACACAGAGCACTGATTGGTGCATTTTTACAGAGTGCTGCTTGGTGCATTTACAAACTTTAGCTAGACACAGAGCGCTGATTGGTGTGTTTACAATCCTTTAGCTAGACAGAAAAGTTCTTCAAGTCCCCACCCGACCCAGAAGCCCAGCCGGCTTCACCTGTCAATCCCCCCTCTAAACAGGACACCCCAGCTGCTGTTGGGAATTGGGCAATGACTGCTGTAGCTACTTCCTGCTGGATAGGGGTGAAGAAGAAGCCCTGCAGTTGTAGTGTCCTCCAGAGGGGAACTCTTTAGGCCAGTGAAAAGGCCAATGGGTTGGTTCAGGGGTCCTTGGTAGAAGTTGTTAGTTGAGCTCATTTGGGGTTCCATTTGTAAGACCGTCTGTAGCTTGGTGGCCTTGATCCTGGAGGAAACACATTTGACAAGGAGGTTAAAAATTCAGGGCCCAAAGACAAGTAATAGCAAGATGGCTGTCATGGGACCTAGAAAGGGGAGAAGCCATGTTGCCCAACTCCACAGGTTGGTGTAAGAGTTTGAGAGGCATTGTCTGATTTCAGAAGCCTTTTCCTGTAAATGTCGGGTGGCATCTCATACTATCCCTGACTGGTTAGTGTAAAAACAACACTTTTCCCCTAAGAAGGTGCAGAGTCCTCCTTTCTCAGCAGTGAGGAGGTCTAGGCCTCGGCGGTTTTGGAGTCACTGCTGCCAAAGAGTCTATTTGGGATTGTAGAGTAAGGATAGATTTCATTATTTCTTGCAGACTGTCTGAGAAATCCTTTGAGAGTGTGTGGTAGTAGGATAATTAAGTAGATAAACTGGCTATTCCGGTTCCTGTAGCAGTAGCCATTCCTAACCCTATAAGTAGGGGTATTAGTTGTATGGCTTTGCGCTGACAGACTTGAGCTTTGAGGGGTACTGATAGGGTCTGATTTCCTTGGGCAATGTTAATGTTGGGACTTAGAAAAACTAAGGTGCAGGTGCCTGTCCAGTTAGTGGGGAGGCAGATATAGGTCGACGTTCCACATAAGAAGAATATACCTTAGCTGGGTAGACAGAACTGGTTGTGTATGTTAAAAAAGGTGGGTGAGTTTGTTGTTTTCTTTTCCCCATATTCCTAGAGTACTTGCCAAGGTAGCTCCGGTGGGTGGCTGGAAAGGGGCGTTGGGAGAAAACCGAGTGGCTCCCTGTGTTCTGTTTTCCCGTTGGAGAAAAAATTGTTCTGTATCTACTAGGAACCATTCGAGAGAGTGATTGAAAGAGGGGATGAGGAAGCATTCACTAGTGGTGGGGACGCTGCTGCAGGGTGTCCCAGGGGTGAATGGTCATGCAGGTAGTATGTTTGCCATTACAAAACCTGGACTGTTTGTTAAGCAGGGAGGAGATGATGATTTTTGGAGGCCCTGAGAAGCGGACAAGTCATCTCAATGGAGCTGTTCGGGTGACTCAGAAGTTACTATGATCAGCTGGGGCTTGAAGTTGTAGGGTGTAATTACACTGATGGGGTCTTTTAGCCTGATTTGGACTGGGTGGGCATTTTTTGCCCTTCCGAATTGTCCTTCCAATGCCCAGACTTCAGAGTTGATTCCCTCCTCAAGCAGGGGACTACAAATGGGTAACTTGTTCCCCATATTCATGTAGATAATAGCTCCAACTTTGGCTAATATGTCCCTCCCTAATAAGGGTGTGGGACTTTCAGGCATAAGAAGAAATGCATGTGAAAAGAGCAAAGTCTCCCAATTACAACTGAGGAGGCAGGAGAAATACCTGGTTACAGGCTGTCCCAGGATTCCTCGGATAGTAACGGACCTTGAGGACAGTCATCTGGGACAGGAGATTAACACTGAGAAGGCCACGCCAGTGTCCAGGAGGAAGTCAATTTCCTGGCCCTCAATGGTCAAACGTACCCGGCGCTCAGTGAGTCTGATGACATGAGCTGGCGCTTGCCCTGGGCACACTCAATCCTGTTGTTGGATCATCTGGTTGGGGGCTTCTGGCCCAGAGAACCATTGCAGTCTGGGGCAGTGCATCTTCCAGTGACTGCCTCAGCATAGGGGACATGGATGAGGGGGTGGCTTGTTTCTCATTGGACAGTCTGTTTTAAAGTGTCCTTGTAAACCACACTGATAACAAGCCCTACTGGGTGATTGGCCTGCTCCATTTTCTGTCCTCTCTGAACCACCAAGGTTTGTTTATCTGAGGGCCATGACTAAGGCTGCGGCCTTTCTCTGATCTCACTTTTCCTTTTGGGCCTGTTCTTCTTGGTCCCTATTACAGAACACTGAGGTTGCCAGGTTTAATAACGCCTCCAGAGTTTGTTCAGGGCCCAGGGCTCGCTTTTGGAGCTTTCTCCTGATATCTGTGGCTGATTGGGTAATAAACTTATCTTTTAGGATCAATTGACCCTCAAGGGAGTCAGGCGACAGGGGAGTATATTTTCTTAAGGCCTTCTGTAGCCACTTGAGGGAGGCAGAAGGATCTTCTTCCTTTCCCTGAGTTATGGTGGACATCATTGAATAATTCAATGATCTGCTTGATCTGCTTTAAATCAGAGAGGGAGAAGGGGACATGTACCTGGGCTATTTCCTAATTCTCCTTAGTCCTTCTAGAACACAAGTCAGCAGATGTTTAAGACTCCAGTCCCCATGATTTGAGTTGAGGTCCCAGTGGGGATCCATACTGGGGACGGCTTTCTGACTGGTAGGGAATTTGTCCCTTTCTTTGGCTGTCATTGTATCATTTACTTGACTAAGATACCAGATATCTCCAAACTCTCAGGCTGCAGCTAAAGCCGCATTCTTTTCATTAAAGGCCAGGGTTTGATCTAACAATAGCATGACATCTCTCCAAGTGAGATTGAAGGTTTGCCCTAGACCCTGTAGGACATCTGTATATCTATCAGGATCATCTGAAAGCTTCGCCAGGTCTGCCTTGATCTGCTTTAAATCAGAGAGGGAGAAGGGGACATGTACTCGGGATGGGCCAAATTCCCCTCCCCCTACAGCTTGAAGGAGACAAAAATGATAGCCTGTGGTGGGGGGGGAGGGGGGTTCTTGTGGTCCCTTGGGTATTTCTTTGCTTATTTCCTTATGGGCGGGGGAGATTAGCGGAGGCTTATCATTAATAGGAAGGGGAGCTATAGGGAGGCTGGGATATGGGGGTAAGCTGAGAGGTCCTCCTGTGGGATGTAAATTGCAAGCTTTGCATAGTTGTGTATTCTCCCTCGATGAAAAGAAAGCTTGGACATAAGCTATTTCACTCCATTTGCTTTCCCTCTTACAGAAAAGATCAAGCTGCAGGATAGTATTGTAATTTATACTTCCCTCAGGTGGCCATTTTTCCCCATCAGAGAGAGAATATTGGGGCCACGCCATAGTGCAGAAAAAAATGAGCCACCTCTTTTTCAGGGTTTGTGAGTCAAATTGGTCCCAATGGCTTAGAATACATTTCAGGGGTGAGCCTGTTGATGCCTGAGTGTTTCCCATCTGAAAGACAAACCGCCCGTGGTTTTGGTTTGTTTGTTTCTCCCCCTGCCCAAGGACCCACAACGGTCCCTGGACCCTGCTGTTCAGAATAGTTGTGCTCCCGGATGCAGCAGCAGAAACACCTCTTGCCCAAGAACCTGCAATGGTCCCTGGACCCTGCTGATCAGAATAGTTGTGCTCACTGATGCAGTAGCAGAAACACCTCTTGCCGAAGAACCCGCAACGGTCCCTGGACCCTGCTGATCAGAATAGTTGCACTCACTGACACAGCAGCAGAAACACTAGTTTTCCTCCTAGACCACAAGGAGGACCGAGGAAGGTCGGATTTAGTCGCCCTTACTGATGCATTCTCGAAAACCTGCACCCTTGCCTGTCCTCCTAGACCACAAAGAGGACCAAGAAAAATTGGATTTAGAGGCCCTTACTGACACATTCTCGAAAATCTGTTAGAGTCATAAGCATTCTGCTGTTAGTATTGGGACTTTAACCATGTCCTATAAAGATGTTATGCCCCCAAAATTAAGTGGAGGGCCGTACCCTGAGGGAGGGGAGGGATCTTCAGAGTTGGAAGAGTGAAGCCTTTTGTCCTCACTTATATGAATAGGAAAGATACCATTTCTGAGGTTAGGCCTGCGAGTCTGAGGAGGGATCCTAAAATTCCAGATAAGATAGTGCCCCACCCTGGCAGGGCTTTGGGCAAAAATTGTGTCTTTCTGGTTAGTGAGCCCAGGTGCCTAAAGAAGGGAATAGAGTCCTGGAGAGAAATCATTCTTGTAGGAGAAACTAGAAAAGCACCAGAGACAGAGAGTGGTTTTTAGAAGTGGGACTATCCTCAGAGAAGAGAGGCAAGAGGAAGTTTGTCTGACAAGCATTAGGACCCAGGACGCAAGGGTCAGGATCGATAGGATAGATGGGCTAGTCTCGCTTGGGCGTCGTGACTTTGAGAGTTCCACTCATGGCCGCAGGGTCATCCAACTTGTTGTCGGGACCCCAGAGCTGAATGGCCTTCCTCTCTGTCGACCCTTGGCTCAGCGCAGAAGTATAGGGAAAGTGCAATCTGGCTCGGGGGTTGTTAGAGAGCCCTTTTCCAGAAAGCCTGACGCTCGTGTTTTTAGTCCAGTGGCCATGCTAGTCCCTTTTAACTGGCCAACAGGTGCCCGGTATTTAGCCCCGAAATTCTAAGGAAAAATAGGACAGAATAGCAAGTGAAAGGGGTCCAATGGTACTCACCGCTTGGTGATTGTACATTTGTGGTTGCCAAAATGTGTCTGGAATTGGTTCCTTCCGGTGGGTTCTTGGTCTTGCTGACTTCAAGAATGAAGCCACAGACGCTCACAGTGAGTGTTACAGTTTTTAAAGATGGTGTGTCTGGAGTTTGTTCCTTCAGATGTTCAGATGTGTCCAGAGTTTCTTCCTTCTGATGGGTTCATGGTCTAGCTTGACTTAAGGAGTGAAGCCGCAGATCCTCGCAGTGTTACAGCTCTTAAAAGTGGTGCGTCCGGAGTTGTTTGTTCCTCCCTCTGGGTTTGTGGTCTCACTGACTTCAGGAATGAAGCCACAGACCTTTGCAGTGAGTGTTGCAGCTCATAAAGGTAGTGTGGACCCAAAGATTGAGCAGAAGCAAGATTTATTTTGAAGAGCGAAAGAACAAAGCTTCCACAGTGTGGAAGGGGACCTGAGCTGGTTGCAGCTGCTGGCTCAGGAGGCCAGCTTTTATTCCCTTATTTCACCCCACCCATGTCCTGCCGATTGGTCCATTTTACAGAGTGCTGATTGGTCTGTTTTACAGAGTGCTGATTGGTGCATTTACAAACATTTAGTTAGACATAGAACACTGATTGGTGCATTTACAAACCTTTAGCTAGACACAGAGCACTGATTGGTGTGTTTACAATTCTTTAGCTAGACAGAGAAGTTCTCTGAGTCCCCACCCAACCCAGAAGCCCAGCTGGCTTCACCTCTCACTAATGGTATCCATCCCCTAGACCCCCACCCCCTAACAGGCTCTGGTGTGTGATGTTCCCCTCCCTGTGTCCATGTGTTCTCATTGTTCAACTCCCACCTTTGGGTGGGGACATGTGGTGTTTGGTTTTCTGTTCCTGTATTACTTTGCTGAGAATGATAGTTTCCAGCTTCATCCATGTCCCTGCAAAGGACACGAACTCCTCCTTTTTTATGGCTGCATAGTATTCCATAGTGCCACATTTTCTTTATCCATTCTATCATTGATGGGCATTTGGGTTGGTTCCAAGTCTTTGCTATTGAGAAAAGACTTTTCAATATGTATAGGCTTAGGGCACATGCATGGGTATTCATAAAACATCCCTAGAAGGTTCTTTTGCATAGCCAGTGTTGAGAACCATGGTCATAGGAAAGCACTCATTGAGGGAGGAGTAACATGTAGGAGAAACAGAAAGCCAGAGGGACCAAGCACAGAGAGGGTTGGCTTCCATCATCTTGTGTCTGGAGTTCGTTCCTGCCAGTGGGTTAGTGGTCTCACTGACTTTAAGAATGGAACCATGGACCTTTGCGGTGAGTGTTACAGCTCTTAAAGATGGCACGGACCCAAAGAGTGAGTGGTAGTAAAGTTTATTGTGAAGAGCGAAAGAACAAAGCTTCCACAGTGTGGAAGGGGACCTGAGTGTGTTGCTGCTGCTGGCTGGGGGTGGCCAGCTTTTATTCCCTTATTTGTCCCCTCGCATGTTCTATTTTTGTCCTATCAGAGTGCCCTTTTTTCAGTCCTCCCTGCGATTGGCTACTTTTAGGATCCGGCTGATTGGTGCATTTTACAGAGTGCTGATTGGTGCATTTTACAGAGCACTGATTGGTGCATTTTACAGAGTGCTGATTGGTGCATTTTACAATCCCCTTGCTAGCTACAGAGTGCTGATTGGTGAGTTTTACAATGCTAGCTACAGAGTGCTGATTGATGCATTTTACAATCCTCTTGTAAGACAGAAAAGTTCCTGAAGTCCCCACTTGACCCAGGAAATCCAGCTGGCTTCACCTCTCAATCCCCTCTCTAAACAGGACACCCCAACTGCTGTTGGGAATTGGGTGATGACTGCTCTAGCTACTTCCTGCTGGATAGGGGCAAAGAGGGGGCCTTGCAGTTGTAGCATCCTCCAGAGGGGAACTCTCTAGGCCAGTCAAAGGGTCAGTGGGTCAGTCCAGGGGTCCTTGGTAGAAGTTGTGAGTTGAGCTCATTTGGGGTTCCATTTATAAGACCATCTGTAGCTTGATGGCCTTGATTCTGGAGGAAACAAATTTGACAAGGAGGCTAAAAATACAGGATCCGAAGGCGAGTAATAGCAAGATGGCTGTCACAGGACCTAGAAAGGGGAGAAGCCATGTTGCCCAACTCCAGAGGTTGGTTTAAGAGTTTGAAAGTGAGGAGGTCTAGGCCTCAGCGGTTTTGGAGAGTCACTGCTGCCAAAGAGTCTATTTGGGATTGCAGAGTAAGGATAGATCTTGTTATCTCTTGCAAACTGAGAAATCCTATGAGAGTATGTGGTAGTAGGATAATGAGGTACATAAACTGGCTATTCCAGTTCCTGTAGCAGTGGTTATTCCTAACCCTATAAGTAGGGGTATTGTATTGCCCTGCACTGATGGACTTGAGCTTTGAGGGGCACTGATAGGGTCTGCTTTATTTTTATCCTGGCAGGAGCCACAGTATATAGTCCTACTGCAAAGAGTATGGTTAGTGTGCTGCTTAATAATGTGATGAAACAGTAAAAGGATTGCAGTAAAGGGGCAAAGAGAGGTGTTAAAGATTTATGTATGTTTTCACTTATCTTTTTTAAGTCGGAAGGGGTTTTTCCTCAGAATCAGCTGTAGGAGTCTTTTCAGTCTGGGATATTTCCTTCCAAAATAGGAGACACAAGTCCTCCAATGGTTCACAGGTGTATCGAGGCTGGTCTGGCTGATCTTGGGTCTCCTGAGCTTACAGTCATGCAGGTTCCTCAGGGGGTGTCCAAAGTTTAACTCCGGTGTGGTGAATCTAAGATTTCACTCCTGCCACCTTAACTGCAGTGGGGGTAGAGAGGATTACCGAGTATGGTCCTTCCCACAAGAAATCCATAGATGGGGAGGTAGAGGGGAGGGACTTGACCAACACTAGATCTCCTGGTTGGAACAACTCTGTTCCCTTGTCTCTGTGATATCCTTTGGGTAGGTTCTTAAGGTTTTGTTGATATTTTGCCAAGGAAGTTATTTCCTTGACCAAGTTGGCCATTTCCTGATCAAGTAGGAGGTCATTTGTGAGAAAAAGTCACCCATATAGCATATCATATTGACTGAGCCCCATGTTGTGAGGAGAATTTCGGATTTTTAACAAGGGCATGGGCAAGAGAGTAGGCCATGGGAGATGAGTTTCTTGTGTTAGTTTCCTTAAGTGCCTCTTGAGTGTTTCATTTGCCTTCTCGACCTTCTCTGAGGATTGTGGCCTGCAGGTGCAGTGAAGGTGATATTGTATCCCTAGCACCCTGGAAATTCCCTGAGTTGCTGTGGCTTTAAAAGCCAGACCATTGTCACTTTATAATCTTTGGGGAAGCTCAAATCTAGGAATTATTTCATGAATTAGGTCTTTAACTACTTCCTGAGCCTTCTCTGTCTTGCAGGGGCAGGCTTCTATGCAATTTGTAAAGGTGTCAGCACAGACCAACAAGTATTGAAATCCCCTTGACTTAGTCATATGGTTGAAGTCTAACTGCCAGTCCTCTCTGGGATAGTGCCCTATTCTTTGTTCCCCCAGAGGGGCCTTATGATGGACCAAGGGATTATTCCTTTGGCACACCTCGCAGGCTTTGATTACTTATTGGATGGTCCAGAGGAGATTTGGCCCTGTACAAAGGGATTTGGCCATTTGATGAGTGTTCTCTATACCCGTGTGAAAAGTTTGGTGGAGGGTCTTAAGTATTTTCCACTGGCTGGCTTGGGGTATGAGTACTTTTCCCTCTTCTGTCATTAACCACCCTGAGGAGAGAAAACTATGCCCCCGTGAAAGTCCCCATTCTGTTTCAGTTGGGGAATACTGGGGCTTAGTCTCTTGGAGGGGGTTGTTCCATACCAAGGGTCCTTCCATAGGTATTTCTAATGGGAGGTTCCTCCTGGCAGCAATTTTGGCCTCAGCATCTGCCCGATGGTTTCCTTCTGCCTTTTCTCCTACACCTTTTTGATGGCTTTGGCAGTGTAAGACTGCCACCTCCTTGGGTTTTTGTACTTTGTGCAATAACTTCATGATTTTCTTGTGGTATTTATTGGGGGTTCCCCCAGAGGTTAGGAACTCCCTTTCTTTCCATATTGCAGCATGGGCATGTAGGATTAGATAAGCATACTTGCTATATGTATACACATTTATTCTTTTTCCCTTTCTCCGTTCTAAGGCTCAGGTAAGTGCCACTAGTTCTGCTAACTGGGTGCTGGTCCCTGGGGGAAGAGGCTTACTTTCAAGTACTGTTACATCACTAACTATGGCATAACCTGCCCTTCGTATCCCATTCTCCACAAATGAACTTCCATCGGTATATAGGTTAAGGTCAGGATTAGCTAAGGGGACTTCTAAGAGATCCTCCTGGGTGGCATAAGTCTGGGCTACAATTTGTTGTCCGTCATGCTTGATTGGTTCCCCATCCTCTGGGAGAAAAGTAGCAGGGTTAAGGGCCACACACATGTGTATTTGAAGCACCAGTCCCTCAAGGAGTAGCGCCTGGTATCTAAGCAGTTTGTTGTATGATAGCCATAAATTTCCTCTGGCACCTAGTATGCCATTTACATCATGAGTAGTCCAGACAGTGAGATTCTTTCCTTGTATTATTTTGATGGCCTCTGATACTAAGATGGCCACCACTGCAACTACCTGTAAACAGTGAGGCCAGCCTTTTGCTACTACATCAATTTCCTTACTTAGGTATGCCACTGGTTGTGGGGTTGTCCCACGAGTCTGAGTAAGGACTCCAAGAGCTATTCCCACTCTCTCTGTGATGTATAAATATAAGTTTTGTCCTGTGGGAAGGCTTAAGTCTGGATCTTGTACTAGGGCCTGCTTTAAGGTTTTGAAGTCTGTTTCTGCCTCTGGTTCCCATTCTACTAGATGAGTATTTGCCCTCTGGGTCTCCTTGATTAGAGTATGGAGTGGCCTGGCCATCTTGCTGTATCCGGGGATCCATAGTCAGCAAAAACCAGTGATCCCAAGGAACCCCTGCAACTGTTTTAATGTCTTAGGGTGAGGACAAGCCAGTATAGGCTGTCTTCATTCTTTGCTGAGGGTGTTGGTTCCTCTGGCTAAGATTAGGCCTAGATATTTGACTTGTTGTAGGCAGAGCTGGGCCTTCAATTTAGACGCCTCGTACCCTTGATTAGCTAGAAAGTTCAAGTGATCTAGAGTAGCCTGCTGGCATGAGGCTTCTGAACTGGTAGCCAAAAGTAAATAATCCACATACTGAAGGACCAGAGTGCCTGGACTTGAGAAGTGGCCTAGATCTTGGGCCAGTGCCTGACCAAACAGATTAGGGCTATCCCTAAACCCTTGAGGCAAGACCGTCCATGTAAGTTGGGACGTGTGGTCTGTGGGATCCTCAAACGCAAAGAGGAACTGGGAGCCAGAATTCATGGGAATGCAGAAGAAGGCATCCTTGAGGTCCAGAACAGTGAACCATTCTGCTTCCTCTGGTATTTGAGAAAGCAGGGTATAGGGGTTGGGTACAGCTGCATATAGAGGAATTACTGCCTCATTGATTAGTCTAAGATCTTGCACTAGTCTCCCCTAACCATTTGGTTTTTTTACTCCTAGATTTGGGGTGTGGCAGGGACTGTTGCATTTTATTACTAAGGCTTGAACTTTTAAATGTCTGACAATATCCTGTAACCCTTTATGAGCTTCAGGTCTTAAGGGATATTGCCTTTGATAAGGAAAAGGAGGGGGGTCTTTTAGCCTGATTTGGACTAGGCAGGCATTTTTGCCCTTCTGAATTTTCCTACCAATGCCCAGACTTCAGGGTTGATTCCCTCCTCAAGCAGGGGACAACAAATGGGTAACTTTTTCCTCATATTCATATAGATAATAGCTCCAGCTTTGGCTAATATATCCCTCCCTAATAAGGGTGTGGGACTTACAGGCATAACAAGAAAGGCATGTGAAAAAAGCAAAGTCTGTCAATTACAACTGAGGAGGTGGGAGAAATACCTGGTTACAGGCTGTCCCAGGATTCCTCAGATGGTAACGGGCCTTGAGGACAGCCGTCCAGCGCAGGAGATTAACACTGAGAAGGCCACACCAGTGTCCAGGAGGAAGTCAATTTCCTGGCCCTCAATGGTCAAACGTACCTGGGGCTCAGTGAGGGTGATGACATGAGCTGGTGCTTGCCCTGGGCACCCTCAGTCCTGTTGTTGGATCATCTGGTTGGGGGCTTCTGGCCCAGAGAACCATTGCAGTCTGGGGCAGTGCATCTTCCAGTGACTGCCTCAGCATAGGGGACGTGGATGAGGGGGTGGCTTGTTTCTCATTGGACAATCTTTTTTAAAGTGTCCTTGTAAACCACACTGATAACAAGCCCTACTGGGTGATTGGCCTGCTCCATTTTCTGTCCTCTCTGAACCACCAAGGTTTGTTTGTCTGAGGGCCATGACTAAGGGCCATGACTAAGGGCCTTTCTCTGATCTCACTTTTCCTTTTCAGCCTGTTCCTCTTGGTCCCTATTATAGAATACTGATGTTGCCAGGTTTAATAACGCCTCCAGATTTTGTTCAGGGCCCAGGGCTCGCTTTTGGAGCTTTCTCCTGATATCTGTGGCTGATTGGGTAATAAACTTATCTTTTAGGATCAATTGACCCTCAAGGGAGTCAGGTGACAGGGGAGTATATATTCTTAAGGCCTCCCATAGCCACTTGAGGGAGGCAGAAGGATTTTCTTCTTTTCCCTGAGTTATGGTGGGCATCATTGAATAATTAATGGGCTTTTTCCTAATTCTTCTTAGTCTTTCTAGAGCACATGTCAACAGATTTTTGTGACTCCAGTCGCAATGATATGAGTCTAGGTCCCAGTGGGGATCCATACTGGGGATGGCTTGCTGAACAACAGAGAATTCTCCCCTTTCTTCGGCTGTCATTGTATCATTTACTTGACTAAGATACCAGGTATCTCCAAACTCTCAGGCTGCAGCTAAAGCCGCATTCTTTTCATTAAAGGCCAGGGTTTGATCTAACAATAGCATGACATCTCTCCAAGTGAGATTGAAGGTTTGCCCTAGACCCTGTAGGACATCTGTATATCTATCAGGATCATCTGAAAGCTTCGCCAGGTCTGCCTTGATCTGCTTTAAATCAGAGAGGGAGAAGGGGATATGTACTCGGGTTGGGCCAAATTCCCCTCCCCCTACAGCTTGAAGGGGACATAACTGATAGCCCAGGGTTTTCTGTGGTCCCTTGGAGAGTCCTTTGCTTGTTTCCTTCTGGGTGGAGGAGATTAGAGGAGGCTCATCATTAATAGGAAGAGGAGCTATAGGGAGGCTAGGAAATGGGGGTAAGCTGAGAGGTCCTCCTGTGGGATGTAAATTGCAAGCTTTGCATAGTGTGTATTCTCCTTCAGTGAAAAAAAAAGCTTGGACATAAAGTATTTCACTCCATTTTCCTTCTCTCTTACAGAAAAGGTCAAGCTGCAGGATAGTATTGTAATTTATGCTCCCTTCAGGTGGCCATTTTTCCCCATCAGAGGAAGAATATTGGGGCCAGGTTGTATTGCAGAAAAAAATAAGCCACTTCTTTTTCAGGGTTTATGAGTCCAGTTGGTCCCAATGGCTTAGGATGCATTTCAAGGGTGAGCCTGTTGATGCCTGAGTGTTTCCCATCTGAAAGAAAAAAACCACCCATAGTTTTGGTCTGTTTTTTTTCCTCCCACCCAAGAACCTGCAACGGTCCCTGGACCCTGCTGTTCAGAATAGTTGCGCTCACTGAAGCAGCAGCGGAAACACTAGTTTTCCTCCTAGACCACAAAGAGGACTGAGGAAGGTCAGATTCAGTGGCCCTTACCGAAGCATTCTCAAAAATCTGCACCCTTGCCTTTCCTCTTAGACCACAAAGAGGACCAAGAAAAGTCAGATTTAGTTGTCCTTACTGACGCATTCTCAAAAACCTGTTAGAGTCCTAAGCCTTTTCTTCTGTTAGTATTGGGACCTTACACTTGTCCTATAAAGATGATGTGCCTCAAAATGGAGTGGAGGGCCATACCCTGAGGGAGGGAAGGGATCTCCAGGGTGGGAAGAGTGATGCCTTTTGTCCTCACTTCTCATCATATGAATGGGAATGATATCCCCCCCAATTTTGGAGTCTATAATTTCTGAGGCTCCCCATATCCTAGCTTTGGGAATAGCCTTTTTTAGGCCTGCTAGTCTGAGGAGGGATCCTAAAATTCCAGATAGTCCCCCCACTGATGGGGCTTTGGGCAATAATTATATCTTTCTTATTGGTGAGCCTGGGTGCCTAAAGAAGGGAACAGAGTCCTGAAATTTATACTAGAAATCATTCTTATAGGATAAACTAGAAGAGCGCCAGGGACAGGGAGTGGTTTTTAGAAACAGGACTAGCCTTGGAGAAGAGAGGTGGGAGGAAGTTTGTCTGACAGGCATCAGGACCTAGGAGGCAAGGGTCAGGATAGATAGGATAGATGGGCTAGTCTCTCTTGGGTGATGTAACTTTGAGAGTTCTGCTCATGGCTGCAGGGTCAACCAACTTGTTGTCGGGACCCCGAAGCTGAATGGCTTTCTTCTCTGTTGACCCTTGGCTCAGCCCAGAAGTACAGGGAAAGCGGAATCTGGTTCCAGGAAAACCAACGCTCCCAACTCCAAAGAGTCAGGGATGGTTAGAGAGCCCTTTCCCAGAAAGCCTGACACCCGTGTCTTTAGTCAGGCCCTGTGCTAGTCACTTTTAACTGGCCAACAGGTGCCTGGTATTTAGCCCCCGAATTCTGAGGAAAAACAGGACAGAATAGCAAGCAACAGGGGTCCAATGGTACTCACTGCATGGCAATATTCCGGAGGAGCCCACAAGATGTGTCTGGAGTTGGTTCTGCTGGTGGTTTTGTGGTCTCGCTGACTTCAAGAATGGAACCATGGACCTTTGCAGTGAGTGTTACAGCTCTTAAAGATGGTATGGACCCAAAGAGTGAGTGGTAGCAAAGTTTATTGTGAAGAGTGAAAGAACAAAGCTTCCACAGTGTGGAAGGGGACCTGAGTGGATTGCTGCTGCTGAATGGGGGTGGCCAACTTTTATTCCCTTATTTGTCCCCTCGCGTGTTCCATTTTTGTCCTATTAGAGTGACTTTTTCAATCCTCCCTGTGATTGGCTACTTTTAGGATCCTGCTGATTGGTGCGTTTTACAGAGTGCTGATTGGTGCATTTTACAGAGCACTGATTGATGCATTTTACAATCCCTTTGCTAGCTACAGAGTGCTGATTGGTCCATTTTACAATCCTAGCTACAGAGTGCTGATTGGTGCCTCTTACAATCCTCTTGTAAGACAGAAAAGTTCCCCAAGTCCCCACTCAACCCAGCAAGTCCAGCTGGCTTCACCTCTCAGTATGAAATGCTGTAGAGACAGGTGTAGGTCAAGGAGGCAGGCCCTCATAGGCCACATTAGGGTTTTATTCCATTGGGGAATTTTTAGACAGTTCTGATGATCCTTTTCCCTGAGTGTCCTCCTAAGCAGGGTCTTATGTTCAGAGGCAGATTTTCCATGAAGTTAAAGAAGCTTGAACTTCAGGGTCCTTCATGGCATGAGCTCCTTAGAGGGACACTGGCAGTGGGTTCACATGATCTTATGTTTTTGCAAAATTTGCAAAAAGAAGTTATTTTTACTCCATAAACCCCCTGACTCTTAACACTACAACTTCTCCTCTGTCAAAAGTCCTTTCTGTTGGTAGGGTTGGAAGTGAGCATTTTTGGGAGGTTAAGTTGAGGATTCATTTAATTTAGGTTAAGTGGGAGGTATTTATGTATTTTACTGTCATTTCCACGTGTAGTGAATTATTACTACGTGATCTTGCATAGGAATGGTTTCTAGAAAACGGAATCCTCTGTGCTGATTCATCTGGCACTGTAACACAAAGAGATAGGTTCGGAGGCTGTATCGTCAGATGAATGTGTGCCATGGTAAAATATACAAATGTTGATCCATGGATGGGAGACAAGATATGGAGTGTATGGGGCTGGAAGCTACTCTGTGGAAAGTCCTTGCAGTCGTGAGAGTGTGGAATTGTAGCAAAGAGTTTAGTTCTCTGAATGATTCAGTCCAGGTCTCAGAAATGCCCATTGTTAACACTATCTAACATGAAGGGATGTGTGATGGAGAAGTCAGTATGGGAAGACACAGTGTTATTAACCATTTGTCATAAAATTATCTGACTTTTCCAAACTGGACAAATGGATAATCATGTGTACTCATGCGAGGGCCCCTCCCAGGGGCTTAGAAGTAGCCTGTAAAGCGAGGGCCCAGAATACAAAGATCTTGAAAATGGCCATTCTCTTATGTCAGGAATTTATTTTTTAGGCAGCATATATAGTTATACTGCATCACATACTTTTCAAAGAAAATTGTGTCCAATCAAATTTATGCAAATTCTTGTGTTTATAGGACATATATATATTTTAATTTTTAAGTTTTAATTTTTGTGGGTACATATTCAGTGCATATGTTTGTGGGTTGCATGAGATATTTTGATACAGGCATACAGTGCACAATGATCACATCAGGGTAAATAGGATATCCATTACCTCAAGCATTTATCCTTTGTGTTTCAAACAGTCCAATTATACTCCTTTAGTTATTTTAAAATGAACAATGAAATTATTTTTTACTATATTTACCCTGTTGTGCTATCAGATACTAGGTCTTATTTGTTTTTTCTAACTATTTTTTTTTGTACCCATTAACCATCCCCCTGTTTCCTTCAACCCCTCCATGTGGACTTCCCTCCCCAGCCTCTGGTAACCATCCTTTCACTCTCTATCTCCATGAATTCAATTATTTTAACTTTTTGCTCCCACAGATAAGTGAGAACATGCAATGTTTGTCTTTCTGTGCCTGGCTTATTTCACTTCCGTCTATGTTGTTGCAAATGACAGAATTTCATTCTTTTTTATGGCCAAATAGTGCTCCATTGTGGATATGTATTAATACCACATTTTCTTTATCCATTCATCTGTTGATAGACACTAGGTTGCTTCCAAATCTTGGCTATCATGAATGGTGCTGCAACAAACATGGGGGTGCAGATATCTCTTCGATATACTGATTTCCTTTCTTTTGGGTATATACTAGGAGTTGGATTCCTGGATCACATGGTACCTCTATTTTTAGTTTTTTGAGGAACCTCTAAATTGTTTTCCATAATGGTTTTACTAATTTACATTCCCACCAACAGTGTATGAGGGTTCTCTTTTCTCCACATCTTCACTAGCATTTGTTATTGCCTGTATAAGACATAAATCTTAAGCAGTATTACAAATAAAGAGTCTATATATGTGTGAACTTGCATATCTTATGCATACCAATATGCTATGAAACATCTTAATGTATTTGATAAATCTTGTCCTGACACAGTTTGGTGGTTCCATATGAAACATCATGCAGATCATACCCCAAAACATTTATTTTACCCAAAACCCAGTTATGTCATTAATAGAAAGAGGTAAATTTCATCAGAAGTAATGATCAACTCTTAGCTTGTTTGATGATTAAATTAAGAGAAATTAATTATTCAAACATAACTGGAAAATAAATTTCTTGCTGATTTGACACAACATATAAACAAAAAATAATCAAAAACTCACAAAATGCTACTACAATGAGGACACTGATGACAAATCAGTTAATGAATGATCTTAATGAATGATCGTTTAAGATTACTCACTCTACAAGAAACTTGAAGTGCCCTGAAATTTTACAGTTGATATATGAAAGACACTTGATAGAATTTCCCCTCATTATAGGACAATGATCCTAAACATTTTGCATGTCATTAACAATAATGAAATTTGAAGCAAAAAACCTTTTGAGACAGTCAATAATAAAAAACATATTTCCATAAATTGTGCTAGAGGAAACACTAAATAATGTTGCTTCTGTAGAAAATGATATTACAAAATTCTTGTTAAAAGAGCATCTAGCCAAAAAGTGTAAGAAAATAGTATTATAGAAATGTATTCTAAAAATAGCAACGTTAATAAAATTTGTTATTTTTCTGGATTATATCATTGTTGTGTTTGTTAGCATTCTTGTGTTTTTTTCTTTTTTCCAAGTGACTTCTCACCTAAGAATGATGCATTCTTTTTTCTGTCTTTTTTTTTTTTCCCTGTGACAGGGTCTCACACTGTTTCCCAGGCTGGAGTGCAGCAGCGCCATCATAGCTCATTGCAGCCTCAATACCTGGGCTCAGCCTCCTGAGTAGCTGGGCTTAGAGGCATGAGCTGCTATGTCTGGCTTGTTAGCGTTCTTGAACTTATTTTTTTGTGATTTCTTTTTCTAAATATTTAGCCTTATACCTGATTTTATATTCATAATTTTATATATTTTTTTCTTAAAATTGTGTAATTAAAATGGCAACTTGTACAAACTTGACTACTGCCCTGCCTGATATGACATTTAGATCCCCTTGAACAGTTAGTGGTATAATAGTGATGTGATGTTCCCATTTCCCTATATTTGTTGTAGAGTGGGAGAGACCAAAGAGTACCGAACACTGTTTTCTTACACTTTAAAGTGATATAATTAGTTTAATTGTAATGCGATCCTGATTGGATAACAAAATACATGCAACATAGTTTCAACTCCCTTAAGAAGTATTTTTGTTGATTTTTAAAATTGCAAAGGTAGTACAAATTATTTAAAAATTATAATACAGAAGTAACATAGCAAAAATACCATCCAGTTCCCCAGAGGAAACCATTGCTTATTATTAGGTGTGAGTTTTTTTCTTCACACTTTTTCTATGCATATACAAATTTACATCTGTGAATATGTATATATATGTGTGTGTGTATATATATATATATATATATACACATACACCCCAATATATATGTACACATACATCCATTTAAAGTTAAAAAATAAACTTAAAAACAAGATGATGAAATACTTACTTTTTTCTTTTTATTTTTTTGAACAATATGTTATGAACCCCATTCCACATCAGTACATATATATATATATATACCTAGTCTTCTTAAGAAATGCAAAATATAGATATAGTATAATTAAATTAATCCCCTATAGATAGACATTTAGGATATTTTTATTCTTTCCCTATTATAAACAATGCTAAACTGAAATCCATAAAAATATCTTTGTACACATTTATGAGTGTTTCTGGACATCAGATTCCTAGGAATTAAATTTCTGGATCAAAGGCTTTGGGTTTAAAAATATCTGTTATTTATTACCAAATTGTCCTTCAAAAAATGGTTGGCTTTCACATGGTCACAAAATTTATGATTAAGGCCAGACTGAGTTATGTGGTTGTCCCCAACAGACTAAGAAAGTGGCACCAGTGTGTGGCAGGGGTTTCTAAGCCCAGCACTAGCACCTTTGCCCCTTTCTATCAGGGGTTCAGCTTAGGATCACCCCTGGTGGGCAGCTCCTGAGTTTTGAAGGAGAGTACGAGAACCCAGATGTCTCAGACCTGTGGAGGCTCCCTGGGTGGCGTTGGTCTCTGCTGCTTCTGGTTCTCAGTTCTCAAACATCTTAACTGAACCATCAGGGCCTTAGGGAAGCCTGTTCAGCATTCTTCATCTCCAAATGTAGTACATCCATCCGATAAGCCTTTCCTTAAGAGTGATCTACGACACTCCCCAAATAAGCCTACACTTGCCTATCCAGAAAGCAACAGCAGAGCTATATTTTGTGCTCTTAAGAATCTTAAAGGTAAGATTTGATGCTTGGAACTTGAAATGATTCTGGCAGAAGAAAGTGTGAAAACCTTGTCTAGAGAAACAATTGAATCCAAGAAGGTACTGGATGGAGAGATATGGGAAAGGGAGAATTCAAAGAATGAAGAATCAAAGCACAATCAAGAACTGATATCTCAGTTGATAGCTGCAGAAAATAAATGTAATCTTTTAGGAAAACAATTGGAATACATGTGAAATATGATAAAGCATGCAGAAAGGGAGAGGACATCTGTCTTAGAGAAACAGGTTTCCCTAGAAAGAGAATGGCGATACAATCAAAGACATGTTTGGAGCCAACTTGAAAAATTGGATCTTTATGAATGGGAGTATAACTTTCCACAGTGCAGGCCCTTGCAGAAAGAAAAATGTAAGAGTTGGTAGCAAAACTCTGAAGAAGAACAGGAAAGGAAACATGTACAAACTAAGGCAGCTAAGTTACAGACTGGTCTAGAAACAAATAGACTTATTATTGAAGATAAGGCAAGTCCGCATTTTCCCAGTGCAAGAAGAATTTTAAAAAAAGTCAAAACCACAAGAAAAACTAAGTTCTAGGAACTATTTTGGTGCACGAGTACATTATAGATTATGCTTGGGTGATGTGCCATTTGTAGCTGGGAAGTCCACAAGTCTTAGCCATGCTGTGGCAGCCAATGTTCAGCTTGTCTTGCATTGCATCTAATGAAGCAACACAGTAAAGCTTTGTGCAGTGATCAGTCATTAGTGTTCCTTTGGCAAAGCAAGTATCTTCAAGATGTGTTGAAAGTAAGAAGTTGTCATTAATACCTCCCTCCTCTGACAGCATTAATGAGGAATTGTCAGAAGTCTTACAGACTTTACAGGATGAATGGACATAGGACCTTTAATCACCAGCAGCATGCAAAACTTACCCAGGAGTTGGCAACTGTTGAACTGAAAGACAACTTAGTGTGAGAATCGGAGGCATTAGTGGGAAGGATGGAGGCAAAAGCCAACCAAATAACTAAAGTTTGAAAATACCAAGCCCAGCTGGAGAAACAGAAGGTAGAGAAGCAGAAGAAGGAATTAAAAGCTACCAAAAAGACTCTGGATGAAGAAGGAAAGAGCAACAGCCATTCTTCTGGACCACAAATAAGAAGGCGTACAGTATGAGTGCAACATGAACTGTATACACAATTGTCATCATGTTGATGTGAATCATAATTTCAACTAGTTGAAGCCATGTTAACCGTTTATAAATTTGCCAATGAAGTCAATAAAGCATTTTTTTAAAAAAGAAAACACTTAAACTTTCCTTAACAGCCTGTTAACCAAGGCTTTCTTTATTATAAACTCTCAAAATTGCATTTCTAAATAGAACATGAATGTATTGATGATAAGAAAAAACTAGTAATTTAGTATTTAACTTATTTGCCATTCTCATGCTTACATAGAAATTAAGCCCAAGAAGACTGATTTTCCTCATGGTATATGATAAGATACTCCAAGAGTGCTAATGGACATGTTAGCCACATATTAGAGGAATTCCTTTATATGGCCCTCTTGGAATTGATGGAGATAGAGTTCTAGGATTGTATCCAGATATCCAGCATGAATTGTCATGGCTACCTAGGCACTAGGCATGTCAAACCTTTCTATAGTTAAAGCTTTTAATTTAGGATCCTTAAATAGATTTTGGAGTATTTGTGAATCTCCTGAAATTATATGTGCTTTTGGGGCCAGTTTCTGATGAGTAGGTTTGTAGCTTGATCAAATTCACAACAGTGAGTCCGTAGACCCAAGGAAAGTGAGAATCAGTGCTCTGGTGACATGGTAAATATGTGTCTCAACCATCCTTTTAACAATGAAAACTTTTGTTATCTATTTGTTTGGAAAAGAAAAAAAAAGAAAGTGTTACCTATGCATTCTTTTTTTTTGGAGATGGAGTCTTGCTCTGTCACCCAGGCTAGAGTGCAGTGGTGCTATCTCGGCTCACTGCAACCTCCGCCTTCTGGGTTCAAGTGATTCTTCTGCCTCAGCCTCCTGAGTAGCTGGGATTACAGGTGCATGCCACCACGCCCAGCTAATTTTTGTATTTTTAGTAGAGATGGGGTTTCACCATGTTGGCCAGGCTGGTCTTGACTTCTGACTTCAGATGATCCTCCCACCTATAAGTTGTTGGTCATACTTATGAAGAGGGGTGGCTCAGTGATGTGTGACAAAAGGGCAGAAAGGAGGGGTCTCTACAGCAGAGCTCTGCTGCTTCTCTCTCATCCTGAGCAATTCTGCTCTGGTCCAAATTTGTAGATCCACTCAGCATATCAAAAGCCCTGCAGTCATCTGGACCCACCTATTTTAAAAGGCAGTTTAACAAACATCTGGTGTTATTCAAGCATGCTTTTAAGGGGATTTCACCTCCCATTTCCTCCTTCACAAGAAGTTCCCAAATTATTCCTTGTAACCACATTCAGTAAGCTGCACAAGATGAGTTCTAGTACACATGATTTTCTTCATCTCTCTATCTTTCCAGGACTGTTGCCCCATGGTTAGTTTGGCTAGCCCCTTCACTTTCTCTGCCCATTTTCCATCATAGGGCTGTTCAGGCATCTCTTCTCAGCAGCCCGTGTGAAATGCCCCCTTTGCCTATCAGCAATGCATAGTGTAGGCATGTGTTGCCTTGCACCTTTTCTTGCAGCCTTGTTCTTGCTCACATGATGACTTTAATAATTTATGTGGGTTATTACTTCCCTTCCACCCCCTAATTTCTCACAAATGGGTTCCTTGCCCGCACAGTGAGTCCTGCTCTGAAGTTTCTTTTCCACAAGGGGCCCCTCAGTTTAGCTTCTTGTTGAAGTTCTTCTCTATTTCTTTGGACCTCTTCCTGTTTCTGTCACTTGCAGTACCATAGCTAAGTCTGCTATCTCCAGCTATCCACCTTTTGTAATTCAACAGTAAAAGCCAAGGTCATAAAAGCAACAAGCTGGTTGGATCTTCGCAGCTAGTCTCAGGATTTCTAGCTCTCTTTGGTAAATACAAATCAAGCATGGTAAGTAGAATTAACCATATCCCTTTGAAGGCAGTCTTTGATCTTCAAAATTGTCATATTTATTTTAACAACATGCTTAGCTATTGCAACCCACAGGTAGTGGGAGGAAATTTTTGAAAGGCTTTTCTGCCACAGTCAGCAGTGACTTGTCAGACAAACAACTTCTGAGGTGCAACTTTGGTCCTGACAGCTCTCATTCCATAAGGCACAGTCCAGGAGAATGGGAAGCCAGGAGACTTCAGAGAAAAGGTGTCTGTTTCATGGGCATATGCTCTTCACCTGTCAATAGACACTTTTAAGCAAGCATCCAAACAAAGGAGATGGATATAGTTCTCTCTCCAAGGGTAGAATCTGAACTGAGTCTGTGTTATCAGCCGGCTAGTTGGAATGGGGAGAAGCCAAGGATATTGATTAGCAGTATGGCTGCTGGCCTGTGTGGCCATCATAGCCAGGGTGGACAATATGATAATAGATATTGACCCTATGGTCATATAATCTGACCAATGTCCTTAGATCAGCAAGCTTCTCACTATGTGTTGTATAAAATACTGGTGTGCAGAGAATGAGATGTTGACTTCTTAATCCTCTGAGCCCAGGCAGGACCTGGAACATCAGGGAGCACGTGGGGTGCTCACCTTTGGCCTCAAGTAGCCTCTCCCATTTGCCCCCGTGTGCAGTACAAATAACATCACTTTCTCTATGTGTCCTGAAATGGAAAGATTGGAAACACTATCTTAGCAGACCTGCCCTTAAAGGCTAGTGGTTTAAGAAAGTATAAGGTTTAGGACAGATAGAGCATCCTAAGAAGGAAGCATGAAGGAAAATAAACATGAGAAGGAAACATGAAGGAAAATAATCCCAGAAAAGTGTAATCCAATATGCCAATGTGAAAATAGTAAAGAGAGGAAGGAGAATGCCATTGGATGGCTAAGGAAGTCAGCAGATGTAGTTTTTTTTTTTTTTTTTTTTTTTTTTTTTTTACAGCTGGTAAAAAGAAAGTCCTTGAATTTTTCTTTTTTCTTTTCTTTTTTTTTTTTTAAATATAAAACTCTTAGACTCTGACTGGCATTTGTTTATGCTTGTCTAAGAACTGTGTTTTAAAATCTTTTTATTCCAAACACCTAACACAGGGCCTATCACATATAAGTATTTATTGATCAAATGTTTGTTGAAATGACCAGGCGTGAAGTGACTGCAAAAGAAGAAACTAATTCATTCATTCAACTCAACAAACATTTTCTAGTTACTACTACGGGCTAGGCTTTGGACATTCAAATGAGTTAGAAATACCATAGTTTTCAAGGAATTTATAGTTTAGAAGATAAGGCATATTGATAATACATTATTACGTATGACATAACAGAGGCTGCACAAGATAAAGTTAAACGCCAGGAAGGGATAATCAATTTTATCCTGGAGAATGGTTAGGAAACCAGAGGAATGCTTTAATTGAGTTTATTTTTAAAGGTTGATTGAAATGTAATATACATGTATAGTAAATGTACAGCTTAATAAAATTTGACAGGTTGAACACACCATGTAAGCCAGGTGCCTAGAAAGATCTCTTATTTTTCTTCCTAGTTACTATCCATCAAAAGTAAGACCTATCTGACTTTAAACAGCATATAGCAGTGATGCCTGCAACTAGTGCCTTGTATAACAGGAATGACACAATATGTAAACTTTTCTGTCTGGCTTCTTTCAACAAACATTATGTCTGTGACATTCATCTATATTATTAGATATGAGTAAAGATCATTCAGTCTCATTGTATGATATTCCATTGTCAGAATATGCATGCATTCATTCCTCCATTTATTTACCTACTGTTTAGTGGACACTTTAAGTCTCTGACTGTTACATATAGTTCTGCTGTGAAATTCTAATACATGTGCTTTAATGAACATATGTATGCATTTTTGTTGAATGTACACCCAGGAGTGCAATCGTTTGTTCTTATGGTATATTAAGCTTTATAGTTACTTCCAAATAGTTTTCCAAAGTGGTTGTACTAACTTATACTCCCAGCAGCAGTCTATGAGGGTTCTGGTTGCTCCACTTCCTTGCAGACAATATTTTTTCTTTTCATTTTAGCAATTCTCATGGCACCATATTGTAGCTTAGCAGACTTTTGAAAGATGCATGGTATTTTATTAGGCAAATGGGGTGATAGAGCGAGTCCTGGGGAGGATCAAAAAAATAAGAAAGCAGGGAGCCTGTGGGAGTCCTCAGCAGCTCTCCTTGGAGGCACTAGGGGAGAATCTATTTCCTTGTGTTTTTCTAGCTTCAAGAAGCTGCCCAAATTCCTTGGTTCCTGACCCTACATCATTCCAACTTCCTTCCATCATCACGTCCCCTTCTCTGACTCTGACTCTCCTACTTTTCTCTGTAAGGACCATTGTGATTACATTGGGTCCACCTGGCTAATCCAGGATACCCCCCCCCATCTCAAAATCCTTAACTTAATCATGTTTGCAGATTCCTTTATCATGCAACTTACATAGTTACAGGTTCTGGGGATTAGGACATGAACATCTTTTGGAGACCCTTTTTCAGTCTACCATGGTCATGTTGTAGCCTCACCTTATCTATACTATAGTGTGTGTTATTCTTATTTATGTGGGACAGGTGCTAAGCAGAGTGGTGTGATGGAAGAGGCCAGGTGCAGTGGCTCCCGCCTGTAATCCCAGTACTTTGGGAGGCTGAGGCGGGCAGATCACCTGAGGTCGGGAGTTTGAGACCAGCCTGACCCAACATGGAGAAACCCCCCTTCTCTACTAAAAATACAAAAATTAGCTAGGTGTGGTGGTGCATGCCTGTAATCCCAGCTACTCGGGAGGCTGAGGCAGGAGAATCGCTTGAACCCAGGAAGTGGAGGTTGCAGTGAGCCGACATTGCACCATTGCGCTCCAGCCTGGGCAACAAGAGCAAAACTCCATCTCAAAAAAAAAAGGCTGGTATGGAGTTAGCACAACAGGAACTCCCAGAACTGCTTCAGAGCTGTGAGGCCTTGGACAAATCATTTAAATTCTCCTGGTTCTCACTTTCTAGTTTGTGAAATGAGGCTATTGGTCTAGGCCAAGGAAGGCAAATTCTTGCTGGGCATACTGTCAACCTTCCCTCCCGCACCCATGGCAGAGATTACTACTTGTTCAAGGCTCTTTCTCTTGTGATCTTGTGTCCCAGCCTAATCTTCCAAATAGGCACTACCAGATGGCATGAGATAATACTGAGATGAAATCTACTTTCTGTCCCCAAAAATGATCATCTCTGAGGCCTACATCTTAAGCTATTAAAACAACATAGGCTCCTACAACTCAACTAACCTTATCATGGATCATCGAATGCCCAAAGTCAATTGACTTCCTTTCTTTTCTATATATTTTCTTCCCCAAGTTTTCTCTAACCTATTAACTTGGCTAATCAGTATCTTATATATCTTTGCTTCTCCTCTGAAGGGAGCAGTTAGGAACAAAAAGAGAAATAATAGGCCAAATGGGTCCCCAGCTATCTTATCATCAATCAGGTATAAATAAGAGTTGCTTATACAGAAACACTGCTCTGCCACCACACCCATGGCAATGCAGGTACTTATACTTACACCTGTACCTACACTTACATTTTAAAGCCCATGTCATTTTTTCCCCCCACACATTGATTTCTACATAGAGCTTGCCTCTTCCTAATATACAGAGAACACAGCAACAAATTATACTATTGATTGCTAGACTCATGAGCTAGAAAGAACTCTCTCAAAGGCAATTGGCAACCAGGCATGACCAGGCATGTGAAACATCTCTCTGAGAGTGAGTTTGAAACATTAACATTAAAGACATATAGCTTGGATTGTGAAAGAAGCTATGGACAGGATGTGAACTCACTTCTACTGGAAGGAGTATAATGCAAAGAATACTCAGGGGGACTTAAGTTGAGCACAAGAATCAAAGTCAGGTACTAGACCAAAAAACCAGAATAGTCAAATGATCACACTGTCTTGTGATACGTGGTTTCTGGAATGCATTACGAAAAATGAAAGAGCACTTTTCTATTAAGATAACTGTCTCTTATCAGATTCTACCTAGGTTTGCTGTAACCTGATGCTTTCAACTCCATTTGTGGTTTATAAGATTTTCCAAAGAAGAGACAATTTTTCTTCTTATTCTAATACCCCTTCTCATCAAAATGGAATTTTGAGTTACTTCATTTTATAACCACAGGACAGAGAAGATGCCTCTTCTGAGATCTGAGTTCCTCACTGGAAATTCTTGGTAGAGACAAAGATGTCTGGTGTCCTGGAATAGGTTGCCTTCCCTGAAAAGCCAGAGCATCCCTCCCCCACATTAAGTGATTGCCCTCACATAAGCCTGCCTTATTTTTCTCACAAAATGTGTCAATATCTGAAATTATTTTATCAATCTGTTTACCTTGGGAATGGCAACCCTGTAGATGATGAGTTGGGGGTGCTGATCTAAGTTGCAGGCTTGTTTTCCTTGGCCAGCATAGTGGTCATAGATCAATTTTGAATTGAATGTCTTTAGACAAGCAGAAACTCTCCTGCTCAACATAATCACCACTCCCTGTATTCTCACCCTTGACTACTTCACACATGTGAGTTCTTTGCATAGCCCAGCAAGGCATTTGAGTATGGGAACTGTGGCTTCCCTGTAGCAGGTCTCCTGCTCTGGAATATAACTGCATGGCAGTGGGACCTCATCTGTACCCCAGCATGCATAATGGAAGGGATTCAACAAGTATGTGTTCACTGGGGTATAAAATGAGAGGTTTTATTTCTGGCTTCTTCTAACTTGTTGTAGGTCAAAGAGGGGGCGTTCTGCACTTTTCATACTTTCACTTTCTCACCTGTGGGAGGTTTGAGTGGTACAATGTACATGGAGCTGAGAGGGAAATGGGTGGAGGCCCTGTTAAATTCTTTTGGAGACAGCCCTCCAGAGTCAGCACTCACTAGACAATGAGAAACTCCCTTCTAGCCAGGCTTTTGCAAAGAACTGAGATGCTTCCTTAGACGGGAACAGAGGTTCACAAGTGTTATTGTTGTACGTCTTCTCTCTGTGAGAAGTGAGATAATGATGAGTCAGCCAGTATGGTGGACAAGATAATGCTCCCCGACCCCGCAAAGATGTCCACATGCAAATCCTCCAAACCTGTGATTTTGTTACCTTATATAGCAAAAGGGACTTTGCAGATGTGATTAAATTAGAGTCCTTCGGATGGGGAGATTATTCTAGATTATCCATCCAGGTCGGCCCAATATCATCACAAGGATCCTTATGAGGGAAAGAGGAAGGCAGGAGAGTCTGAGTCAGAAAGAGTTATGTGATGACAAAAGCAGAGGTAAGAATAATGCCATTGCTGGTGGGAGAGCATGAGCCAAGGGATGTGGGTGGCTGCTAGAAGCTGGAAAAGACTGGGAACAGATTATCTCCCAGAGCCTCCAGCAGGAATACAGCTCCCAACTACGCATAGGTTTTAGCCCAGTGAGACCTGTGTGGGACTTCTGACCTTCAAAACCATTAAGATAATAAACTTGTGCTGATCGAAGGCATTGTTTGTGGTAATTTATTATAGCAGCAATAGGAAGCTAATACAGTGAATCAGTATTTATCGAGCATCATTTGTGAGCCAGGAACTGCATAATGTTCTCAGAATAAAAGATAGATATGGTCTTCAAACGTAATTTTGTAGGGAGGGTAACCTTTTTAAAAAAATTTTAATTTCTATTTTTCCAAAGTTTTTTATTTTTTATTTTTTGCATTTCAGTAACTTTATTGAAAGGTATATATCCCTTAGTACTAAAACATAATGGTAGTTGGTTAGTTTACCTCTGCCAACTCAGAATTAACAATGATGTATTCAAAATGTTGAAATTTATCAGCCTTTTGGGAAAACTAAAAAGATACCCATAAAACAGGATATTGGCCTGAGATTTCCTTTTTTTGTTGTATCTCTGCCAGGTTTTGGTATTAGGATGATGCTGGCCTCATAAAATAATTAGGGAGGAGTCCCTCCTTTTCAATTTTTTGAAATAGTTTCAGTAGGAATGGTACCAGCTCTTCTTTGTACATCTAGTAGAATTCAGCTGTGAATCCATCTTGTCCCAGGCTTTTTTGGGTTGGTAGGCTATTTATTACTGCCTCAATTTCAGAACTCATTATTGGTCTGTTCAGAGATTCAATGTCTTCCTGGTTCAGTTTTGGGAAGGTCTATATGTCCAGGAATTTATCTTTTTCTTCCAGATTTTCTAGTTTATGTGCACAGAGATATTTATAATATTATCTGATGGTTTTTGAATTTCGGTGGGGTCAGTGGTAATATTCCCCTTATTATTTCTGATTGTGCTTATTTGAATCTTCTCTCTTTTCTACTTTATTAGTCTAGCTAGTGGTCTTATTTTATTAATTTTTTTAAAAAACCACCTCCTAGATTTGTTGACCTTTTGAATTTTTTTTTTTGTGTGTGTGTGTCTCGACCTCCTTCAATTCAGCCCTGATTTTGGTTACTTCTTGTCTTCTTCTAGCTTTGGGATTTGTTTGCTCTTGTTTTTCTAGTTCTTTAGAATTATGGAACATGGACATTTTAATGAATTTCTTATTGCTATGAAGATGATGATCACTTAGAGACAATTACATGAATACAATTAAAACTGATTCCACAGAATGCTTATAAATGCATACATTTTCCTCCAAAGAAACATGTTTTTCACAGATTTAAGTAACAAATGATTTATATAGGATTCTCCAGATTCCAAAATATGTACAGATTTTTTTACTCTACAGAAACTGATGAGCAGTGGTTGAAAAAGAGAGTTGCTTTGTCTAACATGGCTCTTACGAAATTCTGTATCAATACACATTTTTCAGTAACCACACATTTTCCTTTTATTATTAAATGAAATTCTGGACACATCAGCATGCAGGACAAAACCATTCCCATTTCCAAACACTATTTCAAATGAGATCATGAGTGGCTGACAGCATGACTTAATTTTAGCCATACACACATGCACACGCACACAGGAGCATGCACACACACAGGCACATGTGTTGCGGGAAGTCAGAGACCCCGAATGGAGGGACCTGCTGAAGCCATGACAGAAGAAAATAAATTGTGAAGACTTCATGGACATTTGTTAGTTCTCCAAATTAGTACTTTTGTAATTTCTTATGCCTGTCTTTACTGCAATCTCTAAACATAAATCATGAAGATTTCGTGGATATTTATCACTTCCCCAATCAATACTCTTATAATTTCCTATGCCTGTCTTTACTTTAATCTCTTAATCCCATCATCTTTGTAACCTGAGGATGTATGTTGCCTCAGGACCCTGTGATGATTGCGTTGACTGCACAAATTGTTCATAAAGCGTGTGTTTTTGAACAATATGAAATCTGAGCACCTTGAGAAAAGAACAGGATAACAGCGATGTTGAGGGAACAAGGGAGATAACCATTGGGTCTGACTGCCTGTGACCTGGGCAGAACAGAGCCATATTTCTCTTATTGCCAAAAATGGGTAAGAGAAATATCACTGAATTCTTTCCCCAGCAAGGAATATTAATAATTAACAGCCTTGGGAAAAGAATGCATTCCCAGGAGGAGGCCTCTAAAACGGCTGCTCTAGGGGTGTCCGCCTTATGCAGTTACAGATAAGGGATGAAATACGCCCTGGCCTCCTGCAGCACCCCCAGGCTTGCTAGAATTAGGAAATTCCAGCCTGGCAAATTCTAGTCAGACCAGTTCTCTGCTCTTGAACCCTGTTAAGAGGTTTATCAATGACAATGCGTGCACAGTGGGACATGGAACTTCATTAGTAATTCTAGTTTCATCCTGACCTTGTGATCTCGCCCTGACCTTCTGCCTTGTGATCTTTTATTGCCCTTGAAGCATGTGATCTCTGTGACCCACACCCTATTTGTACACTTCCTCCCCTTTGAAAATCACTAATAAAAACGTGCTGGTTTTACAGCTCAGGGGGCATCATGGAACCTGCCGACATGTGATGTCTCCCCCGGACACCCAGCTTTAAAATTTCTCTCTTTTGTACTCTATCCCTTTATTTGTAAGACTGGCTGACACTTAGGGAAAATAGAAAATAACGTACGTTGAAATATTGGGGCTGGTTCCCCCGATCCACTTGCAAACACGTGCACCATCTCCAGTCTTCTCTGTGACTTTTGACTAACATGGTCACAGCAGCAGTTAATGAGATCACTTTAGAAGACGACACACAAGTTAACAGTAAGGTGTCCCCGCTCCTGAGAACTCTGCCTGAGCACTGGCAGGGCTGCATCCCCGTGGATGTGAGTGAGGAACCCAGTGTCTGAGGTCTTTCTGGTTTACCAGAGAAAGTGAGCAGCTGTAGCAATGACGGTCACCAGTGTGCCTAAAACTCAATGGCCACCATGAGTATATATATTTTTTCTTCATTTCAAATTTTAATCAAAACTTGTATATAAGATTACTTTATTCCTGCATCTCCTCAATTTTTTCTTCCTTGTATTTGCCCTTTTCCTTTCCTGCCTGGTGAGATTTGGCTTTCTGTTCAGGGATCTTTTTGCGGTCTTTGTCCAGTTTTAGCCTAGTGATAACCGCCTTGCTGGGGTGAATGCCTACATGGACAGTTGTGCCATTGGCCTTTTCCTGCTGCACCCATTCAATGTAGATGACATATTTCTTCCTGTAAACCTGGACTACTGTACCAATTTGCTGACCTTTATAGTGTCCTCGTACTCGTACAACCTGAACTTCATTATCCTTTCGGTTAGGCATGGATTGAACATTGATATGGGCATTTAGTGCTATAAACTTCCCTCTTAACATGGCCTTAGCTGTGTCCCAGAGATTATGGTACATTGTATCTTTGTTCTCATTAGTTTCAAAGAACTTCTTGCCAAATTAAAAAATTTTGAAGCTTTAAAAAAATCTAGACCAAAGTGGGAGCAGCCAAAATGAAGTTCAATCCCTTTTTGACTTCTGACCGAAGCAACAACTGCAAAAGACATTTCAGTGCACCTTCCCACATTCACAGGAAGATTTACCTTGAGGGTAAATGTTAAGTAAATAGATGTGTGAGAAATGTTGTGACAGAGTAATTCAGGGTGCTATGGGACCATAACACAAAGAGAAACATAGCCTAGATTGGCATGATTGGATAGGGATGCTTAGGTTGAGATCTAAATGATGGGTAGCAATTGGCTAAGAGAAGAGACCAGCTAAGAATGTTCCAGACAGAGGGAACAGAATGGGTGAAGGCCCAAAGTGAACATGATATGTTCATGGAGAAAGAAAATTCAGTGTAACTGGCAGGCTCAGGATGTGAGGAGAGAGATAGGTGAGGCTGGAGAGGTAGGCAGGTCCAGATAATATAAGGCTTTGATGATCACATTAAGCTCATGCTAAGATTTTGGACTTATTATTAGTATTTTTTAGCCATAGAAAATGCTCAGAGTGTGTACTTTTCCTATGGGCTGCTGGGTGACAGAACTGGATTTTCTTTCTAGTCTTTAGATAGACAGAGAGTCATTTTGGCAAGGGCTTTTGGAGCTTTTCCATACCCTCATCTTCTCTCCTCTTACAGGAATAGGAGACAGTTTCACTTCCCTGTCCCTTTGCAGGTAGCTGGGGCCAGGTGACTACATCTGGCCAAGGGGTCATTAGTAGAAGTAACGTGTGTTATTTTGAGGTTGACTCATTGAATTGCCAGTGTGAGACCCTCCAGCATTCTTTTGGCCTGTTGTGTCAGCCTCTGAGGCTGCATATTTTAGATGTTGCATCTAGAGGTTGGTGGAGGCACCAAGAATCTGGATTGCAGAGAGCTGCTACATGGAAGAGTTGCTCCAAGGTCTCCTAGGCCCACAGCAAACTTTGAGTTAGCCTTTGTTCTGTTAAGCTCTTACTATTTTGGTGGTGTTCCTGCGTAGCTTGGCTTTTTTTCTGATTAATTCAGTCATCTAATACAGTAGCTTCTTATCATCAGAATGAAACTGGGGAATAGTTTAAACATAGAGAATGTTGGACACCCACTTGCCTTGTTCTGATATAGGCCTCAGGTAGAGCCAGGGGACTTATTGATATGTTTTATATGGAGGAAGTACTGATTCTACCAGTCTGTCTTAGCCAGGATTACAATAACAGGGCATGTGAGTTGAATTGTGCTGGCCTGCCCTGGGTACATCATATGTTACTTAAAAAACCCATTTTAATAATGCCAGTTGTTGTCTCTGGGATCCTAAGACATTCTTTGAGAAAACAGTATATTTTAGGAATGTCAGCAAAACCAAGCTTCAATAAAGCACTTTTGTTTTATGTAGCCTTCACATAGAGGAACTTGATGCAGGGATGGAAGTATTTTTAATTAAGAGAGGAGCTACATGATTTATAGTGTGATGGGTCTGATCTACACAGTTCATTTATAACTTAGGTAAATATATACCATTTATTTTCTACAATAAATATATTTTATGCTATACAATGTTCTACTTGCTTCTGTTTTGAAGATTACATTTAACCTAGTTTACACAGGAACTTTTTATTCAATGTTGAATGAATATCCTAGGAAGGAGTTGAGAGCTCTTGAAAAGGTTGGTAAGTGATTTGCTTTTTCTTAGCAAATATACCAATAGGTATAACTGGTTTAAACTTACATCCTTTTATACATGTGTATAATTTTGTTTTAAATTAAAAATCTATAAAGAGTTTTTGGCCATTGGTCATTCTCTGAGTTTCTTATGCTTCTGAGGATCCCGGAATATAAATATTTCTCCCAGACTTTCTCTTATCTTACTGAGCATCCTACAGCTTAAAAGAATTGAAGTACTTGTGTATTCTTATTCCCAAGATTTATATAGAGTCTTTTGAGTTTAACCAAGGCATTGCCACACTGTCATGGGAAAAGTGAAACTGGGGAAATCAGTGAAGGCCACTTTGTCGGTTAGAGACAGAACTAATACTGCAGCCTGTCTACCTTACAGGTTATTGTAGAGCTGAAGTGCATTACTTCAGAAAAGATGATAATATATAGTATACTTATACTATATTTATAACAGAGTTCAAAAAGTCCATCGAATACATTTAGGACTTCAATGGATTTCTGATGCAATATGGGGCAGAGTTCTGTTGTAAAACACTAAACAAAAACAAGCAAGGGGGCCGGGCGTGGTGGCTCACGCCTGTAATCCCAGCACTTTGGGAGGCCGAGGCGGGCAGATCATGAGGTCGGGAGATCGAGACCATCCTGGCTAACGTGGTGAAACCCCGTCTCTACTAAAAATACAAAAAATTAGCCGGGCGTGGCAGCGGGCGCCTGTAGTCCCAGCTACTCGGGAGGCTGAGACAGGAGAATGGCGTGAACCCGGGGGGCGGAGCTTGCAGTGAGCCATGATTGCACCACTGCACTCCAGCCTGGGAGAGAGAGGGAGACTCCGTCTAAAAAAAATAATAATAATAATAAAAACAAGCAAGGAAGCAAGGGAAACTTAAAGTGAAGATGTGGAGATTTTTCACTGCTCACCGTTGTTCAGACCTGTGTTGGGGAGACTACTTTGTCAGTTAAGATAGGCTAGGTTGTGGTACAATAACAAACAATTCTAAAATCTCAGTGGCTTAATACAACACAGGTTTATTTATCACTCACTGTATATGTCCTAGTTTTGCCTGGTTCTATGGTTACATTGCCCATTTCATCCAAATTTTTTATATTCATTGGTTGTTCATAGTATCTTCTTATGATGTTAATATTTGCAAGATTTGTGGTGGTCTTTTTCATGCATGATACTAATAATTTGTGCCTTTTCTGTTTTTCTTGATCATTCTTGCTAGGGGTTTATACACTTTATTAGCTTTTCCAGAGGACTAGCTTTTGGCTTTGTTGGTTTTCTTTCTATTGAATGTTTATTTTGCATTTTGTTGATTTTTGTTCTTATCATTATTTTATTTCTTATGTTTGGGTTTAATGTGCTTTTGTTTTTCAAGCTTTTTGAGATGGGTACTGTATTAGTTTGTTTTCACACTACTGATAAAGACATACCTGAGATTGGGCAATTTACAAAAGAAAGAAGTTTAATGGACTCACAGCTCCCCATGGCTGAGGAGGCCTCACAATCATGGTGGAAGGTAAAAGGCATGCCTCACATGGTGGCAGACAAGAGGAGAGAGTGAGAATCAAGTGAAAGGGGTTTCCCTTATAAAACGATCAGATCTCATGAGACTTTTATTCACTACCACGAGAACAGTATGGGGGAAACTGCCCCCATAATTCAATTATCTCCCACTTGGTCCCTCCCACAACATGAGGGAATTATGGGAGCTATAATTCAAGATGAGATTTGGGTGGGGACACAGCAAAACCATATTAGGTACTTAGATTATTGATCTTCTTTGTCCTTTTCTACATATTTCAAGCTCTGCTTTCTTCTAAGTTCTGCTTTACCTGCATTCCATGAATTGGAAAATCACTGCCTTAGACTCACTCCCAAGTTACACCTTAGGCCAGTGATTCTCAACTAGGAGTGATTTTGTCCCCTTCCCCTGCCAGGAACATTTGGCAATATCTGGAGGCATTTTTGGTTGTCACACTTGAAAGAAGGGAGCTACTGGCGTCTAGTGAGTAGAGGCTAGGTGTGCTGCCCTAAATTCTATAATGCACAGGACAGCTTTTTACAAAAAAGAATTATGTGGCCCCAAATGTCAATGTTGCTGAGGCTGAGAAGCCTTGTGGGCTAGACCTACATTGCCAGTAGTTATACACCCCCTTGCCATAGTGCCCTCCACATGACTTGTTCCTCGTTCTTTCAAATTCCAGAGATGCTGTCCCTGATAACCCTGTACACATAACTCTGCATAAAATAAAATGATTTCTTTCTGCCTGCCTTCTTCCAATAGAATAGAAGCTTTGTGAATGCAAGGCTTTGTCTATTTCATTTACTTTCCTTTCCTAGTATGTAGAACAATGTTGAATGAGTTAATACTTACTGCATGATTGAGTGCATTGTTGCATGGGAAAGACTGTCTCATTCCCAGTGTGTGGCACTGAAAATACAGTGGTAAATAAGGCAGAGGTAGTGTAAGGGTAAATACAAAAAGAAATTTGCCCTGGTGCCAGAAGGGAAAGAGACTCACTCACCACTTTCCTTAGAACATTTACTTTAAATAAAAATTATATTTATGAGTTCTCTCTCTGATTCTTTGAGATATCCATAAGAATTTTTAAAAGCTAAATAAGATGTCTGCCAATTTTACAACCCAAGGATCTTTTCCTCAAGGACTTGGGAGCTATCTCATTGAAATGGAATCATTCAAGGAGATAGTGCCCCTGTCTCCCAGACTCTGGGAGAGGGTAGGAACCTAACTTCAGTAGTGGCCCTGACTCCAAGTTACTAACCTACTTCCAGTCACAAGTATGCAAAAAACTTATTTTTCCTCTGGATAAAGTCAATTAGCAAATATCGTGGCTACACCAATTATCAGGTGGATTTAGGAGGAACTATGTATAACAAATGTTGCCATCAAGTCCTCTTACTTGAATACTAGTTATTGTTTATCTTGAGTACATGTGTGGAATGGGTTCCATCTGCTTGGCTGTATAAATGGATGAGATTTCTTTCTGTTTTTGCAATTTCTTTAGTTTACCTGTGATGCACAACACATTCTGGTTTAATGATTATTCAATAATATAATGGCTTTCTTTTTCTTCTACTTTTGTGGAGAGGTTTTTCTGGGTGGGCAGGATATTATATTACATTTCCCCAAGAGTAGTTATTGCCATACCAGGAAGGTGGGTTAATAATTTAAAAGATGCTCCACTGCATCCTTTCTTTTGAAAACTAACACCCTCCTTATATTTTCTTTATCTCTCCCTTGGTAGCTGTTTTTGGAGCATCTGTACTGCTGAATCTTAGGGAGACTCTCATTTTCATCACTTTCTTCCCCCTCCACATCATCCAGGAATGCTTTCACATGGTATGTAAAGTGCTATGTAACTTCAGCTTCCAGGTAGGGAACATGCAACAATTAATACATGGATGGACTCTCCTTTTGGTCCTTCAGTGGGTTTATTTTAGACCTCTCCTTTATGGGAGTGGGTACAGAATTCAGAGGGATTTAAAATTTTTTTTCAGCTATGTGGTCCTCACTGGTTGGTACTGTGGTCTAACATTCCACATTGGGGTATGCAGGTATTTTCCCTACAACTCGCTCTGATCTGAAGACTTGTGTCTCTTTTCTGGATAGCATATGTATTTCTGATGATGTTCAAGCAACTGTTTTACTGAAGAGCTTGCTTAAGTGTCCTAAAGCAGTGCAGAGTTGAGGGTGGGGATGAGCGAATCATCAGTGGTGACTTTGAGCTAACTCCCTCACAGTGGATGGGGAGGGGTGGATCAGGCTTCATTTTAGGTCCTCAGGAAGGTGAGCCACATACATAAACTTCTTCTAGTCCCACCCATTCCCTCTCATCAGCCCTCTCGTTAAATCCTCCCTACCCAAAGTCCCTGGCCCTGCCCTCAGGGTCACTCTTGCCTTTCCTTAGGGGTAATGAAATGACAGGCTCAAACCATTCCTAGGACTTACCACTCTGCTGCCTCAGGTACCAGTGGGATTGCACCGAGTCTTCCTCCATCTGGTGGCCCACTGACTCCCTTTGTCAGGGGTGCCCCAGGAATGGTAGTCACTTTCACTTCAGTTGGGTCTCTCTCTGTTGATGACTGAGACTCTCTCCTTAACCAAACTTCAGTTATGCTTCTCCAAGTCCTCTTTTTGATTAGGCCTCACTCTTGGGCTCTGTCCTTGGTCCATTTAGTCCATCTTTCAAGAATCCTGCTGGGTTTAGTGAACATTCTTTACCCTTGCTATCTGATCAGATTCCTCATTCCCCAACCTCAATGTCTGATCATCCTGGCCTGCCTTCAGCAAGTCTTATCAAATCAGTTTAGCCAGAATCCTATTTATCTTTGAGGATTTTCTGTTAATAATTTTCTATCTACTGACCCCCAGCCTGATTTTTGGCTGTAAATCTCCACTCATTGTTGTTTTCAGAATTGAGCCAAGGTCTGTCTATACTGAGGTCTCTCTTTCTCTGTTGCAATGGTTACAGAATAAAATTAACTTCCCGGTTTTCTTTGGCATTGGCAATGCCAAAGCCAGTTTTTCTCTTAAAACACTTGATGGCAAACACACTTTTCCACTGGACTAATAAATGTTTTCCAGAAAACTTCTTCGTCTGTCCTGTGTGAGGTGTGTGTATTATTTCTCTTATTCTTTGACCCTATTCCTTGTGAAACAGCAAAAAGACAAAAATCTTGGTTTTGCTATGCTATAGGCACATTTTCCTCTGTTCTTTTATTACAAAGGGCCTCTGCATTAATTGGAGATTACCTCTGCCTAGTTTTTCGATCTACATTCAAATAGTATGTTTACTTCTGATCCCCCAAATTCTCCTGTGGCAGATATGATTGAAATTTCAGTAATACCACTATGTAAATATTCAGTATTGAAACATAGACTTGCAGATATAACAGGGAAGAACTGTTTCAATGAGAGAGGTTGCATGGACTCTTTGAGGAGAGATCTTTACTTCTATAGATGACTTTGCCAATGATTCAATGGAAATACTTCAGTGATTGTAGAGTCCTGTCTAATTGAACATTGGAAGTTTGTATAAAACTTCTAAAATTATTTTTATGCTGAATATAAAAAGTAATTTGGTATCTGCTTTATTCCCTCTTGTCCTCTCGTAATGAACTTGGTCTCCAGATATTAAAGTTGGAGGTGTTTTCTTAGGGTTATTAAAATGTCAGTACAGACTAAAATATGGAAGACACTAAATGTAAGCATGATACTGAATGTATGTCTGAAAGTGAGTCTGATGCAAATTTTGAATCCCTGGGATTTATGGTGCAATCTTGCCACTTGCTGAACTTTGGACCAAGGGAGAAGGAAGCCAAATGATATTGCTAAAGCTCCTAGTATTCTAAGGTACCGTGTTAGTTGTTTACCCATATATCATCCCTTTACATTTTATTACCAACCATACAAAGTATGTTTTATTGTCTCATTGTTTGCAAATGAGGAGAGCCAAACTTAGAGAGTTTAAACGGTTTCTCAAGGTCTCCTATATTCAGGTGCAGAGTTGGAATTGAAGATTCTTGACTTTAAAGCTCTTACACTTTCCCCCATGCCATACTGCCAACTTCAAGAGTCAAAAATTCTGCAGGTGCTATTTACTGCTGTACAATAGTGCGCTGCAATGTTACATCAGCACAGTAGGATTGTGGCCTTGCTTTGTGTGGTCTCGTGCTGGTATTCTATATTCCTTTGATGGGAGAGATCATGACTTATTTAGCTTTGCCTTACCAGCACTTAGCACAGGGAGTGAAATTTAGGAAAAACTCAATAAAGGGCTGTTAAAATGGATGAAGAAATCAGACATGACCATCCTAAGCCTTTTAATTCCTAGAACCTGTAGGATCATTTAAAGTTCTTTTTCTCCTTGTCCACTTTAATATTCATAAAGTTGCCAGATATTGTCATTTTACTTCAATAATGTCTCTAACACCTGTCTGTTCCTTTTTATTTCCATTGTCAGTACTTCTTTTCCAGTTAGCTTCAGCTAGTGTCTTCACTACTTTCATTCACTTTCCATTTCATTCCATCTTATCTATCCATTCATTCATTTATCCATGCATCCACCCATCCATCCATCCATCCATCCTTTTATTCCTTCAACAAACATTTTGTGAGCACTTATTAAGTACCTGTAAAACATGTTATCAGAATACAGTGTGTAAGTTCCTTAAGAAAAGATTGTTTAGAATGCCATGAGAGTATGAAAAAGGGTTACTCTTATCCAATTTGGGGAGGGATATTCAGAGAAGGCTTCTTGGAAGAAGTATAATCTGAGCCAGATCTTGAACAATCAGTTGAGTTAGGAAGGCAAAGGGGATAGAGAAGGGAAAAATAATACCCCTAGTGTCTCTCCCTTGCTGCATCACCATATCCTTTCCCATTTCTATTTTTCTCCATGTTCCTTGAATGCGCATTGGGCTGTCTCCTGCCTCAGAGTCTTTGCACTTGTTTTCCCCTCTGCTTATAATGGTTTCGCAGATATCTGCATGGCAAACTCTTTCATTTCCTTCAGGACTTGCATGTCACCTTTTGAGAAATGGCTTGTCCGACTATCCTATTTGTAGTTGCAATGACTCCCTTCCCTGACAGAAATTCCCATCTCCTGCTTTTGCCTAGCAAATATCATCTTCTATCATACTATATATTTATTTATTTCATTTACTCCCCTATTTTTGATTACTGCTGTCTTCACTACCTACATGAGTGCTGGCACATAGAAATTTCAGTAGTTATTGATCATATGAATGAATGAAAGATTGGGAGATAGGAATGCAAAGGCAAGGATGTGAGAAATTTTAAGGAAATGTAAAACTAATTTGGTCTGATTCCTTCTGAGATCCCTTATTGCACCACCACAGAGCATTGTGTCACCTTCTTCCTTAGACTCTTGCTGAGTGCTGACTCTACTAAGGGGAAAGAAGCATGTTTTGTTGATGGTGGTAATGACTAACTTTCCTTCTCCCTTCTAGATAATGTTGCTTTGTGCCTTCACCACTACCAAACGATCACTTCTAGATTTCTCAGAAAGGGCTTTTCTCTTTGGCCAAGACACAAGGCTCTTCTGCAGAGCTATGGACTTCCTGGTTCCCGTTTATCATCACATTATAGACATTGGGATTGGAGGAGAGGAAAGTTGGAATTTTTGGTTAATGGCTTCAGCTTCCTTAGTGTGTAGGAGGTTAGGTCATCTGTTAAGAGGGAGGAGGGAGGATGAAATTTGGAACCTTTACTGACGGGATTAGGACAGGCAGTTGATAAGAGAAAACAGAGGTGTTGAACAGAATAAAGTGTTTGAGAAACGGATAATATGTCCATAAGATGGTTGTATTTTTTTTTTTGCATAATGCATCATTCGTGTTGTGGTTTTGTCAAAAAGGAAGAATGAAAATTTATTTCCACTGTTGGGAAAATAATAAGCAAGATGTAATAACACGCTGTGATTTGCTTATGGAGAATCCTTGTTATCCTCAAATTATGTGAGCTGCTTCACCTGGGAACATCCACTGGGCAGGCTAATCATCAACATATATAAAATAATCAGACATCCAGCAGGTATATGGGGAAGGGGTAGCCCTATAGGAACACTGGGCCTTCCAGAGGCAGATTTCATGGTTATTTCCTAGTCCCAGAGAGATTAACGATTAACCCTGAGGCTATGATTTACCAAGGATTCCTTGTAGAATCTGTGCCTGTTACTGGTCAAAGCCTCTTGGAGGGACATCCAAGCTCATAAGATCATACAAGTCCCCTCCCCCCTTGCAGTAGGAGAGGCTGTTGGCAACCAAATGCCCTTGCTCTTACCTTTATCAGATCACCCTAAAGTTAGCAGAAAGTCCAACACTGTGCTATGACCATACCCTAGAGAAGCAGGATAGAAACAGAAGGAATCAAATAAGGGGAGGAGCAGGAATCTAGAGGGTACTTGGAGCCATTGAGACTTCCAGAAGGGGTGAAAGGCATCTTCAGGATGCTGGACTTGGGGTCTGGGACAGGAATTTTAGGGTAGGAAATGGTAAGGTTGCTTCTGCAATGCAGCACAGAGCAATCTTTCACCAGAATGGAAAAATCAGAGCGCATACCAACAGAAAAGGAAGGAAAACAACATTTATGGGGCACTGACTTCATCTGGTATTTGTCTAAAGCTTATTGCATACCACTAACATACGTTACTTATATCTCATAGCAGTTCTGTGAAAGTATTGTAATGTCTCCTGTTTGCAAGTGACAACATTGAGGCCTAGAAATGCTCACGAACTTTCTTAGAGGCACAAGCTAGTAAGTGGCCAAGCTGAGATTTAATTATGTCTCCTGATTCCACATCCAGAATTCTTATTACCTCATCCCACTTGGGGAGGAGGTCGTGGCAGCCAAGCCACTGGGTGACCAGGCCTTAGTCATATTCTGGCAAGGGGGCCTGTGCTATATACAGTTGTTAAATGTCTGTTGACTAATAAATACAAAGACCTGCTGTCTCTTTTCAAATTTTGGGGTTACACGAATTATTCTGAGCCTCCTCTGTCTTCTTTCATAGCTCGTTGGCTCATGATTTGATCTTCTACACTGCTGTGGGCTCTGTTTGTCCCAAGCAGATAAGAAGGAAAGGTATTTCTTCTGTTTGCCAAGTGTATTATTCTGTTCTCATGCTGCTATGAAAAAATACCTGAGACTGGGTAATTTACAAAGAAAGAGGTTTAATTGACTCACAGTACAGCATGGCTGGGGAGGCCACAGGAAACTTACAATCATGGCAGAAGGGGAAGCAAACACATCCTTCTTCACATGGCTGCAGCAAGGAGAAGTGAAGAGTTAAGTCAGGGAAAAGCCCCTTATAAAACCATCAGATCTCATGAGAACTCACTCACTATCACGAGAACAGTATGGAGGTAGCTCCTCTCATGATTTAATTACCTCCCATCGAGTTCCTCCCATGACTTATGGGGATTATGGGAACTACAATTCAAGATGAGATTTGGGTGAAGACACAGCCAAACCATATCACCAAGACTATGCAGCACTCACAGACAGGGCATCTTATTGCTAGTAAACCTGGATAATGGACAAAGAAGGAAAGGGAGAGGGAAAGCCTACCCATCTATTTTATCTCTTCCCCCTCATTCCCATTCTAAAACCCTCTTTATCACTCTCAGGCCATGGCTGGGGAGAGAGACCTCCAGGGAAACCAAAGCATTCACCTGTGTCTGCTTTCTTGTTTGTTACCTGAAGAATATCTAGATTTCTTGAGGTCGACCAATCTCTCCTCCTTTTCTCCTTACAAATCTATCTGCCCTGGGGAACTGGTTGGGGATATAGGCTTCAAAAAAACTTCCTCACCCATTAAATTGCTTAACCTTTTTTTAGAGGGTCAGGCTCATCACCTCAAATGGTCCATCCTTAGTGCTGCTTCCTGCATTTTGCTCCTGCTATACAATTTCTCTTTCCCTACTATAGTAATCAGGGTTCTCCAGAGAAACAGAACTAATAGGGTATGTGTGTGTGTGTGTGTGTGTGTGTGTGTGTGTGTGTGTGTGTGTAAACAGATTAGATACATAAGGAATTGGCTCATACAATTATGGAGGCTGACAAGTCCCAATGCCTACAGTTGGCAAGCTAGAGATCCAGGAGAGCTGATGGTGTAGTCCCATTCCTGAGGATACTAGGCTCGAGACCTGGGAAAAACTGATGTTTCAGTTCGAATCCAAAGACAGGAAAAAACTGATGTCTCAGTTCAAAGACAGTCAGACAGAAGGAATTCCCTTTTACTTGCAGGAGATTTAATCTTTTTGTTCTATTCAGGTCTTCAACTGTTAGAGTGGGGCCCACTCACATCATAGTAAAGGGAGGGCAACCTTTACTATGTCTACTAATTCAAATATTTTATCTCATCCAGAAGCACCTGTACAGACACACCCAGAATAATATTTGAGCAAATATCCAGGCACACCTTTGCCTAGTCAAGATGACACATTAAGCTATCACAAGTCTACCCCTGATTAACTTGGCATCTATCTACATCTCCTTAAAACATATTTAATGTCCAAATAAAGACATAAACAAAGTCATATTTTGCCCTAACATGATACAACTATCCTATGTACAACAAAAAGCACACTAACCATTTCCCAGGAAAAGCAGGTAAGATTCCTGTGTGATGTTTATTCTTCTCCTTGATATCCCATAAATTAACTACTATGTTGTAAAATTAACAATACTTAAATACTATGATATAAAGTTACTATATCTTATGTTGCATGAGAAGAGAATAAGAGAGGGAAGAAAATAAAGATTTCATATATATACAAATTTTACTATGCATACAATCATATTCATAACAAAATAAGGATGAAATATGTCAATTACAGTACTGAATTCTGTAACATCACATTGTCATAGCTGGTATTTGTAATTACCTCCTTCTTTCACTACCCATTCAGAATTCCCTTTGCCTTTAGCTGTTTATTTTATTTTATTTTTTTGAGACAGGGTCTCCTTCTGTTACCCAGGCTGGAGTGCAGTGGCATAATCACAGCTCACTGCAGCCTCTAGCTCCTGGGCTCAAGTGAACCTCCCAACTTAGCCTCCTGATTAGGTGGAACTACAAGCATGCACCACCATGCCCAGCTAATTAAAAAAATTTTTTTTGTAGAGATGAGGTCTCGCTATGTTGCCCACGCTGGTCTCAAACTCTTGGGCTCAAGTGATCCTCCTGAAGTGTTGGGATTACAAGCGTGAGCCACTGCACCCTGCCTGATTGTGGTTCTTTATCTAATGAGATGATCCAAACTGTCATTCCTGAGGGGTCTAGGTCATTAGTAGTCCCGTGTGGATTATGTTGTTGTAGTTTTCCGCTGACCTTAATCACAGGGCATAGTAATACTAAGAATGCCTGAAGGAATCTCTTGTATTCCAGATTTTACCTCCATCGTGGAGTAGTAGTCCGATTTCCTTTTGGTAGCCAGGTTTAATCACCCCAGCCAGCACTGTAACTTCCTTTTTTACATGCTGTTTCAGAGGCAGGAGGATCCTCAAGTGTCTGGGCAGCAGTATTAACTTCCAATTCAATGGAATCGTTGTAGCATTCCACCCCCTGCAACTAAGACCTCTGGGCTGGCAGAGCATAAAGTTGTGGGAACAGGAAGCAAAAATTTTGCCAGTGGGTCACTGACAGTGATAGTGAGTGGTGCCACTCCCATTTGCATTCTTGATTTCTGGACCCATGAATCCCGGACCCTAGCTATGGGAGAAACAGCACTGTACATTGGACACTGATTTGGAGCATATACAGTGTTCTGGAGAACCTTGCCCTAGCCCTGCAAGGCATTGGTACCTAGCTGGTGCTATAACTGAGTCTTCAAAAAGTCATTCTACCATTCTGTCAAACCAGCTCTTTCAAGATGGTGGGGTACATGGTAAGATCAGTGAATTTCATGAGCATGGGCCCACTGACACACTTCATTTTCTGTGAAGTGAGTTCTTTCATCAGAAACAATGCTGTTTGAAATACCATGGCAGTGGATAAGGCATTCTGTAAGTCCACAGATGATAGTTTTGGCAGAAGCATTGTATTCAGGGAAGGCAGATCCATTTCCAGAGTAAATGTCTATTTCAGTAAGGACAAAGAGCTGTCCCTTCCATGATGGAAGCCATTTAGTGTAATCAGCCTACCACCAGGTAGCTGTCTGATTCCTGTGGGGGAATGGTACCATGCTGGGGACTCAGGGTTGGTCTCTGATGTTGGCAGATTGTGAAGTCGGCAGTGGTTGTCTTCAGCTAGGCCTTGGTGAGCAGAAGTTCATGTTGTTGAGTCCATGCATAACTTCCATCCCTGCCACTATGGCCTGTTTTTTCATGATCCTATTGGACAATGACAGGAGTGGCTGGAGAGGGAGACTGACTATTACCCACAGAACAAGTGATCCTATCCAACTGACTATTAACATCCTCCTCTCTGAGATCATTTGGTGAGCATTCACATGGGACACAAATATCTTCATGCATTTGGCCCATTCAGAGAGGTCTACTTCCTCTCTAAATTTCCTTGTCACCAATTTTCTAATCATGTTTCTTCCAAGTTCCTGACCGTCAGCCAAACCATTGGCCACAACCCATGAATCCATATATAATCACAAGTCTGGCCATTTCTTCATTCAAACAAAATGAACACTCAGGAGCATTGCTCAAAGTTCTGTCCACTGGGAGGATTTCCCTTCACCACTATCCTTCAGCAGTGTTCTGGAAAAAGGCTATAGTGCTGCAGCTGTCCACTTTTGGGTGGTGCCTGAACATTATATAGACCTGTCTGTAAACCAAGGCTCAGTTTTCTTTTCCTCTGTCAACTGGTCATTGGGAACGCCCAATGAAGCCATAGGTACAGACTAGAAGAGAGAGGGTAGTATAGCAGAAGTGGGGGCAGTGGACATACTTGTGCCTTCAGGACCTGCTTGGGCCTGACCTCATATTTACCACTTCCCTTTGATGATAGAGTGCTGCTTTGCACACCCAACTTTATGGCTTGGTGGGTCAGATAACAGCCAATTCATGATGGGGATCTTAGATTTCATGGTAACTTGGTGGCCCATAATTAAGCAACCAATCTCTGTTAAGGCCAGTAGCAGGCCAAGAGTTGTTTCTCAATAAGAGAAGTTATCTGTGGAGTATTGCAGGGTTTTGCTCCAAAATCCTAGGGGCCTGCACTGCAATACACCTATAAGAGCCTGCCAAATCTCCAAACAGGATTCCTATCTGTCACTGTCATTTTAAGTATGGTTGGATCTGCTTAATCACCTGGCTCAATAGCAGATTAGCTTTTACATTAGCCTGGATTTACTGCAGAGCCTTTCCTTTTTTGGAGCCCCACTCAAAACTAGCAGCTTTTTAAGTCACTTGGTAAATAGGTGGAAGTAACACACCTCAATGAGAAACATGTTGCCTCTAGACTCTAGAGGCCTAATAAGCATTGTGCCTTTTTTTTTGGTGGTAGGAGCAGCTAGATGCCATGACTGACCTTTACTTTTCGAAGCGATGTCTCCCACATGCTTCATACCACTGTATCCCTAAAAATTTCATAAGTAAAAGCCCCTGAATCTTTACTGGATTTATTTCCCACCCTCTGATGTGCAAATGTCTTACCAACAGACTAGAGTATTGCTACTTCTTGCTCACTAGTTCCAATTGGCATAATGTCATCAATGTAATGGACGAATGTGATATCCTGTGGAAGGGAAAAGCAATCAAGATCCCTGCAAACTAAATTGTGACACTGGGCCAGAGAGAGTTGTTATACCCCTGAGGTAGACAGTGAAGGTGTATTTCTGGCCTTGTGGGCTCAAACTGCTTGAAACTACTTCTGGTGTTCCTAGATAATAGATATAGAGAAAAAGGCATTTGCCTCATCAATAGCTGCATACCAGGTACCAGAGAATGTGATGATTTTCTCAAGCAATGAAACCACATCTAGTACAGCAACTCCAATTGGAGTCACCATCTGCATAAACTTAAGATAATACACTGTAATTCTCTGAGATCCACCTGTCTTTTGCACAGCCAAAATAGGCAAATTGAATGGGAGTGTGGTGGAAATCACCATCCCTGTGTCTTTCAAATCTTTAATGGTGGTAGTAATCTCTGCAATCCTTCAGGAATCCAGTATTGCTTCTGGTTTACTGTTTTCCTAGGTAGTTTCAGTGGCTTGCCCTTGGCCTTTCCCACCATAGTAGCCTCACTCCACAGGTTAGGCAACCAATGTGGGGATTTGGTGAGCTACTGAGTATATCTCTTAATTATGCATTCTAGAACTGGGAAAATAACTACATGATGGGGTCAGGACTGTGAGATAGACCTGAACTAAAACACTATTGATTACCTTATCTTCATAAGCCCACACTGTGGCTGAGGGATCAAAGTCACGTTTTGGTTCTCCTGGAAAATTATTGTCAGTTCAGAACCAGTGTTCAGTAGTCCTGGAAAGGTCTGATTATTTACTTTACCCCAATCTATAGTAACCTTGGCTAAATGCTGTAGGTTACTTTAGGGAAGGCTGGTAGAAATAGTAACAGTGTATATTTTAAGCAGTGTACCAGAGTTCTTCCTCAAGAAGACCTGCCTCTTCTTAATTGAAGGAATTGTGATCTGTTAACTGGCTTAAATCTAGAAATGATAGAGGGGACATCACCCTGTGTTTTTCTCATTCAGATTAGACTTTTGTTCACTTGACCTAGAACATTTCTACTTATATAGATCAAGTAAGAATTTACTCGAATTTAGTATGTTTCCCATCTATTTCATTTCTAGGAACAGCTGGTGCCTTAGGTGGGCCTGACTGCCGCCTTGACTCTGCTGTTTATTATGGTAATCACATCCCCCTTGCCTTTGGCTGTTGACTGCCACCCCAGGATCTGTTACCTCCATTGCATTTAGGTATCCTAATCCAGTGGGGGCTATTTCTACTGTAATGTCTGGCCCCTACGGAGAAGAGTGATCACAGAGCTCTTCAAAGATGCCAGGGCTCCTCTCACAAATTTATTTCTCACAGTCAAGATGTGCCTTCTAGAGCCTCTCATTATGGGTGAGTAGATCTTAAGTAACATATCCACTCTAACATTCCAATCTCCTTAAACCTTTGAATCTCTTTCTCTACATTGAAAGAAGGCAGGTTTGGCATTTCCAACTTGCTCTCTGTGGGCCACTGTTTGTTCCATGTTTCATCTAACGAACTAAGCAAGCAGTTAGAGTCAGGGAGTTTCTTAACTCCCTGAGCTGCAACATTAAATGAAGAATCTCTGCTTAGTGAGCTAGTATCAATAAATTTGGCCTGATTCAATTTTATTTCCTCCACCATTATCCCACAAACTCAATGTCCATTCCTACACATGTTCCTCTGATTTCTGCTTGTGTAAATGAGAAAACTTGAGTAGTTCTTTTGGAGTGCACACCACCTCCTCTTGGGTCACACTTTGTACTTCACCTTTAGGGGCCTGCTGGGATTTAAGTCTAGTTACAAGTCTAGAAGCGAAGAGGTGGTGGGAGTGGGTCCCCTGAGGGGAGCCAGCATTTCTTGAAAGGCAGCAGCCTCAAGGGAGACCATTACAATTTTCTAGGCAAGGCAAGGATAATTCTCTCATACTGCGGTGGACATACCTCTTCCACCGGCAAAGAAGACTCATCAGTTTAGGGGCCTAGTGTCCCCAGCTTCATCAGGGTCTTCTCACACATCCCCATTCCAACTTTCAGAATTTCACTACTTCCTAATCATTTTAACAGTAGACAGCCTATAGGCCTGAAAGTTCAACTTGTGTTGTAATTCAGCCAGTTGCAGGATGAGATTCTATGTTTAATTTTAATCAATCTCAACCCTGTGGCTACAGAACATAAGGAAACTCTGTTAGGGCAAATATAGAAGCTTTCACATTATTTGCACAGTTTAAGCAGAGAACTTAGGCTCATCATTTTCTTTTACCTTGACAGGATCAAGTGGCGAATGTCATTATATTCTTTAATTTGAGAACGATACCTGAAATATGTAGTCACTTAGATCCTTGCTTCTTATAAGTGGTTATTTGGGAGTATTTAATGCAGATATTTTGTGTCTCCCTATTGCCAGATTATGCTATGGACTATCAGTCCTCTGTTTACCACTAAAAATAGACACTAGCATCTTTAAATATAATCAGATTAGAGAGCCAATTCTAGAAACCCACAACCAATTAAGAACACGAATCCTTAGCATTCTGTTTCCTTAGAACCAATCTTAGTACCAGAATTCATTTCTCAGGGTTCACCAGAGAAACAGAACTAGTAGGATTAATTAATTAATTAATTAATAGAAATTTTGCTCACATGATTATGGAGGCTGACAAGTCTCAAGATCTGGAAGGTGGGTGAGTTAGCAAGCTGAAGACCCTGGAGAACCCTGAAACCCTGGAGAACCCTGAACCCTGCTGATATAGTTCCAATATGAGTCTGAAGGTCAGAAAACCAGGAGAGCTGATGTAGCTGGAGTCCAGTGGCCAGCAGACTTAAGACACAGGAAAAGCCTGTGTTTCAGTTTGAGTCTATCTTAGTCAGCGCATGCTGTCATAACAAAATACCATAGACTGTGTGGTTTAGACAACAGAAATTTTTTCTCACTGTTCTGGTGGCTGAAAGTCTGAGAACAGGGTTCCTGAATGGTAGAGTTCTGCTGAGAGCCCTCTTTTTGGCTTGTAGGTAGCTGCCTTCTGGCTGTGTCCTCAGGAGTTGGAGGGAGAGGGGTTCTGGTTTCTCCTCTTCTTATCTCCTCTTATGATGGGAATAGTGTTCTATTCCCATCACGGGGGCCCCATCCTCATGATCTCATTTAATAACCTCTCAAAGGCCCCACCTCCAAAGACCATCACATTATGGGCTAGGGCTTCAGCATATGAGTTTTGGGGGATACCAACATTCAGTCTATAGCAGAGTCTGGAAACAGGAAAAACCGATGTCTCAACGTGAAGGCAGCAGGTAGGAGGAATTCCTTCTGACTTGCAAGAGGGTCAGCTTTTATGTTTTTTTTTCAGGCCTTCAGCTGATTGGATGGGGCCCGTCCACATTAGGGAGGGCAATTTGCTTTATTCAGATTACTAACTCAAGTGTTAATTCATCCAGAAACACCCTCACAGACACACCCAGAATAAGGCTTGCCAAAATGCCTGTGTACCCTGTGTCAAGTCATATTGAAACATACAGTTAACTACACCTATCCTAGCCACCCTTCCTTTGTTGCCCCTTGTGTCCTGAAGGCCTTTCCATTTCTTCTGATCCATGTCTTTATCCTGGCCACTGCGTGATATCGCATGTAATTTTGAATGAACAGAATTGTCTGGGATTCTTTACTGGTTGTTTGTGTTGTGTCATTTACTAAATTCTAAACTTGTATATGGTGATGGCAGAGATTTTATTTACTAAACAGGAGATGTATATTTTCTATATCCTCCTCAATGGAAAGCAGGTGGATGTGCAACAAATGTTTATTTATGTATTTATTTATTTTTTTGAGATGGAGTCTTGCTCTGTCACCCAGGCTGGAGTGCAGTGGCCTGATCTTGGCTTACTGCCTCCCGGGTTCAAGTGATTCTCCTGCCTCAGCCTCCTGAGTAGCTGGGACTGCAGGTGCGTGCCACCACGCATGGTTAATTTTTTGTATTTTTAGTAGAGATGGGATTTCACCATATTGGTCAGGCAAGTCTTGAACTCCTGACCTCGTGATCCACCCGCCTTGGCCTCCCAAAGTGCTGGGATTACAGGCATGAGCCACCGCACCTGGCCCAACAGATGTTTATTTTATTTAATTAATTAATTTATTTATTTTGAGACAGAGTCTTGCTCTATCACCCAGGCTGGAGTGCAATGGCACAGTCTCAGCTCACTGCATCCTCCGCCTCCTGGGTTCAAGCAATTCTCCTGCCTCAGCCTCCTGAGTAGCTACATGTTCAATCCATTTGGAGAGTATGTTTTCAACCAGCTGGTTTCCCTGGAAGGCAGCTAGGGAAAGTGAGTGTTAGTAAGTTTGAGTCAGACAAGGGTTTGTTAGTCTTCCCCTCAGCCCTTGTGCAGCAACTCACTCCTCGGGCTGTGGGCCATGACAGAAAGGGAAGGACTACTTTGCTTCCTCACTCTTGCTGAGTGAGAGCAGCTGGATCAGAGGACAGTGAACGTCTGCTCAGGATTACAGTCATTCAGGCATACCTAGGAGATGTCCCTAGGCCCCAGACATTGCTTGAGAAGCTGGGAGTAGCTTACATTTGTCTGAGGCAGGGTTTCTTAACCTTATCACTATTGGCATTTGGGCTGGGTAATTTTTTTGTTGTAAGAAGCTGTCCTGTACATTGTAGGATGTTTGGCAGCACCCCTGGCCTGGACCACTTACTAGATGCCAAGTAGCACCTGCACTCTGAGATATGACAACCAAAAATGTCTCCAGATATTGGCCAATATGTCCTGGGAACAAAAGCATTTGAGAACCACTGATCTTGAGCTTTGTTATTTGCAAAGAAGTTTCACCTATGTTATCATGTCTGAGAGGCATTATAGCTCTGTAAATCAGGCAGAAATCTGTTCTTTTCTCTATTTTACACAGCTGGACAAGTTGCAGGAAAAGAAATAGAACTCATGTCTTCTGACTGCAAACTTTTTCTCTTTATCTTAAGGCTCCTAGAGATAAGTAAGTAAAAGTGATAGTAACTTGCCCCCTGAAGGAGATGCCAATTTTGAGTTGAAGAACAAAAATCTTTGTTAAATTCCAAAAGTTTTGATGAAGGGACACCATTAATCACTTTGCTCTTTTCATGTGTTGGCTCTTAACTTTATTTTGATGAACTTTCATTTAGTCCTTTTGAAAGGAAAGTAGTTTAGATTTCCTTTCTGAAGTGTCTAGTTTTATTTTTGACTACTAAGGTTTCCAAATCTTTCATGTCCTAATTAAATGTGTTCACTTCCTCTTGAAGATGCGTCATTGTGATAACAGTGTGTATGTACCTTCCCAGTGGTGTTTTCCAAGAAAACCAAAATACAATACTGCTTTTAAAAACAGAAGTTTGCAGTAATTGTTACTGAGACTCGATCAGAAAACTGGAAGTACTGAAATACGAATTCGAAAGGCACAACATTCTGAGACTATACATCTTTTACTTTCTGGGTTTTGAAAAGAGGAAAGAAGGCTGGGTGCAGTGGCCGATGCCTGTAATCCTAGCACTTTGGGAGGCCAAGGCGGGTGGATCACCTGAGGTCAGGAGTTCGAGATCAGCCTGGCCAACATGGTGAAACCCCGTCTCCACTAAAAATACAAAAATTAGCCTGGCATGGTGGTGGGCGCCTGTAATCCCAGCTACTCAGGAGGCTGCAGCAGGAGAATTGCTTGAACCTGGGAGGTGGAGGTTGCAGTGAGCCGAGATCGCGCCATTGCACTCCAGCCTGGGCAACAAGAGCGAAACTCTGTCTCAAAAAAAAAAAAAAAAGATAAGAAAAGAAAAGAAGAAAGAAGCATATTATTTTAAATTGGCATCTGAAGGTAAAGAAGTAAAATTTGCTAAATAGGGGTAAGAATATACTGAAGTTTGACATTTTAACTAGATTAAAATACATTTTTTCTATCTATATTTCTTCTCCTTTGCAATGCACTTTCACTATGCTTAGATATCAGATTTAAAATTTATAATTTTGGAACCACATTGCTAGTCATAATTATAATTATTAATATCCAGTTAGGACCTACTTTGTGCTCTACTGTATTTCAGGAGCTTCAGTTTTTCAGGGAGGCAGAGTGCTGAAGCACAGGATATGACTAAGCAAGTTGGCAACATCTGCTTTTTCTGTTAGAAAATGCTTTGACCTTTTCCAGATGCTGGACATTTTGCAAATTATGTAGCCTCTTTGAACCTCAGTTTTATCACTTATAAAATTAGGTATTAATTATTTTGTGAAGACTAATGAAAAAATTATGTGCAACCATATTAATATTAACTTAGTATTAATATTAATAATTTATTAACAAAACATATATAACAATATATAATATACCATTAATATTGTCAATTAATATTTAGTATTAAAATTGTGATGTGATATAAAAAATAATAAAAATTAGTGAAAGCATTATTAATACCAATATTAATTAACATGAATGGTAATCATTATTTTTGAGTATGTTGAATTGCTTTTGAACAGTTATGAACATTTCTGGCCAACAAAGTGGGTTGCTATTTGAGGAGTTCCCTATTTTTCTCCAAATTGGACTTATTTATTTTTTGTGTTTTTAATTTGTGGTTTTATTTTTGAAAGTACCAGTGTTACTCCCCTATGGCCTGAACAAATCCTATGGACAGGAGCTGATCTGTTTACATTACACAAATATGACCGAAGAAAGGGTAGAGTTTATGCATCACTGATTATGCTTATTTTGGGAAAAATGTCTAGACCACAGGTGATGACACTGGCATTTTTAAGGAAGTGCATAACTAAATTGTTGAGTCTGGTATATCTCAGTAAAATGTTCCTGCATTTTTTTTTTCTTTTTTTGTGGTTGAGACTCAAATGTCTCATGGTTAAAAAAAACCATATTTCTTCTTGAAATTTCTTAGTAGCAACACAGAAGGCTGTTTACAGATAACAGAACCTATCCTACGGCCTAATATTTATTGGGTCTCAATAATTGCCTATTGAACTGAAGAAGGTGCTCATATTACATGAAGTTTGTTACAGTTGTTAAATTTGTTTTCCACTTGTATATGAGGTGAAAAAAATCCCCTAAAACCCTGCTCTAATAGACAACTATATCTAATTTTGCATTGCTTTTCTTTTTTTTGGTATTTTATATAGCCGCAGTACATTCTCTGTTTTCACTCTCCTTTTGTAGTTGGCCCTCCTTAACCATGGGCTTTGCATCTGTTGATTCAACCAACTGCAGATAAAAAGTATTTTAAAAAATTGCATCTGCACTGAACATGTACAGGCTATTTTTCCTTGTCATCATTCCCTAGACAATACAGCATAACAAGTATTTACATAAAATTTCCATTGTATTAGGTAGTATAGGTAATCTAGACATGATTTAAAGTATATGAGAGGATGTGCATACGTTATATGCAAATACAATGTCATTTTATATAAAGGACTTGAGCATGTGTGAATTCTGGTATCAGTGGGAGGTCCTGGAACAAATCCCCAAAGGATACCTAGGGACAGCTGTACTTTAATATTACAACATAAGCAGTTTTGTTGTTCTTTCAGGCATAATTTTAAAAAGATGCATAATAGTTTATTTAGTAGATACCCTATACTTTCTATAATTGTTTACCTGTTATTGGGAACTTGTGTTGCTTTCCAATATTTTAATGTTACAAAAATGCTGCAGTGAACATATTTACATAGAAGGCAATTTTCAATAGTATTTCATAATCCTTACTTAAAATGGCTTTCCACGTGTGGTGGAATTACTGGGCCAAAGGGCACAAGACATTTTTAAGGTACAAAACATTTTTTTTTTCTGAAGCACAAAAGTTTCTAATTTGATTTAAATTGAGGTTCAATTTATCTATTTTTTTTCTTTAGTTGTTTGGGCTTTTGGTGTCATAACACAGAGAAAAATGGACAAATCCAAAGTCATGGCAAAATAAATCTACGTTTTCGTCTAGCAGTTTTATTTATTTTTATTTTTTTAAAATTTTACTTTAAGTTCTGGGATGCATGTGCAGAATGTGCAGGTTTGTTACATAGGTATACATGTGCCATGGTGGTTTGCTGCACCTATCAACCCATCATCTAGGGTTTTTTTTTTGGGGGGGGGTAAACTTTTTTTTTTATTACGAAGATAAACTTTGTATTTTTTTATTTTATTATTATTATACTTTAAGTTTTAGGGTACATGTGCACAACGTGCAGGTTTGTTACATATGTATACATGTGCCATGTTAGTGTGCTGCACCCATTAACTCGTCATTTAGCATTACCTATATCTCCTAATGCTATCCCTCCCCCCTCCCCCGACCCCACAACAGTCCCCAGTGTGTGATGTTCCCCTTCCTGTGTCCATGTGTTCTTATTGTTCAATTCCCACCTATGAGTGAGAACATGCGGTGTTTGGTTTTTTGTCTTTGCAATAGTTTGCTGAGAATGATGGTTTTCAGCTTCACCCATGTCCCTACAAAGGACATGAACTCATCATTTTTTATGGCTGCATAGTATTCCATGGTGTATATGTGCCATATTTTCTTAATCCAGTCTATCATTGTTGGACATTTGGGTTGGTTCCAAGTCTTTGCTATTGTGAATAGTGCCGCAATAACCATACATGTGCATGTGTCTTTATAGCAGCATGATTTATAATCCTTTGGGTATATACCCAGTAATGGGATTGCTGGGTGAAATGGTATTTCTAGTTCTAGATCCCTGAGGAATCGCCACACTGACTTCCACAATGGTTGAACTAGTTTACAGTCCCACCAACAATGTGAAAGTGTTCCTATTTCTCCACATCCTCTCCAGCACCTGTTGTTCCCTGACTTTTTAATGATCGCCATTCTAACTGGTGTGAGATGGTATCTCATAGTGGTTTTGATTTGCATTTCTCTGATGGCCAGTGATGATGGGCATTTTTTCATGTGTTTTTTGGCTGCATAAATGTCTTCTTTTGAAAAGTGTCTGTTCATATCCTTTGCCCACTTTTTGATGGGGTTGTTTGTTTTTTTCTTGTAAATTTGTTTGAGTTCATTGTAGATTCTGGATATTAGCCCTTTGTCAGATGAGTAGGTTGCGAAAATTTTCTCCCATTCTGTAGGTTGCCTGTTCACTCTGATGGTAGTTTCTTTTGCTGTGCAGAAGCTCTTTAGTTTAATTAGATCCCATTTGTCAATTTTGGCTTTTGTTGCCATTGCTTTTGGTGTTTTAGACATGAAGTCCTTGCCCATGCCTATGTCCTGAATGGTATTGCCTAGGTTTTCTTCTAGGGTTTTTATGGTTTTAGGTCTAACATTTAAGTCTTTAATCCATCTTGAATTAATTTTTGTATAAGGTGTAAGGAAGGGATCCAGTTTCAGCTTTCCAGTTTTCCCAGCACCATTTATTAAATAGGGAATCCTTTCCCCATTGCTTGTTTTTGTCAGGTTTGTCAAATATCAGATAGTTGTAGATATGCGGCGTTATTTCTGAGGGCTCTGTTCTGTTCCATTGGTCTATATCTCTGTTTTGGTACCAGTACTATGCTGTTTTGGTTACTATAGCCTTGTAGTATAGTTTGAAGTCAGGTAGCATGATGCCTCCAGCTTTGTTCTTTTGGCTTAGGATTGACTTGGCAATGCAGGCTCTTTTTTGGTTCCATATGAACTTTAAAGTAGTTTTTTCAATTCTGTGAAGAAAGTCATTGGTAGCTTGATGGGGATGGCATTGATTCTATAAATTACCTTGGGCAGTATGGCCATTTTCACGATACTGATTCTTCCTACCCATGAGTATGGAATGTTCTTCCATTTGTTTGTGTCCTCTTTTATTTCATTGAGCAGTGGTTTGTAGTTCTCCTTGAAGAGGTCCTTCACATCCCTTGTAAGTTGGATTCCTAGGTATTTTATCCTCTTTGAAGCAATTGTGAATGGGAGTTCACTCATGATTTGGCTCTCTGTTTGTCTGTTATTGGTGTATAAGAATGCTTGTGATTTTTGCACATTGATTTTGTATCCTGAGACTTTGCTGAAGTTGCTTATCAGCTTAAGGAGATTTTGGGCTGAGACAATGGGGTTTTCTAGATATACAATCATGTCGTCTGCAAACAGGGACAATTTGACTTCCTCTTTTCCTAATTGAATGCCCTTTATTTCCTTCTCCTGCCTGATTGCCCTGGCCAGAACTTCCAACACTATGTTGAATAGGAGTGGTGAGAGAGGGCATCCCTGTCTTGTGCCAGTTTTCAAAGGGAATGGTTCCAGTTTTTGTCCATTCAGTATGATATTGGCTGTGGGTTCGTCATGGATAGCTCTTATTATTTTGAGATACATCCCATCAATACCTAATTTATTGAGAGTTTTTAGCATGAATGGTTGTTGAATTTTGTCAAAGGCCTTTTCTGCATCTATTGAGATAATCATGTGGTTTTTGTCTTTGGTTCTGTTTATATGCTGGATTATGTTTATTGATTTTCATATGTTGAACCAGCCTTGCATCCCAGGGATGAAGCCCACTTGGTCATGGTGGATAAGCTTTTTGATGTGCTGCTGGATTCCATTTGCCAGTATTTTATTGAGGATTTTTGCATCAATGTTCATCAAGGATATTGGTCTAAAATTCTCTTTTTCTGTTGTGTCACTGCCAGGCTTTGGTATTAGGATGATGTTGGCCTCATAATATGAGTTAGGGAGGAATCCCTCTTTTTCTATTGATTGGAATAGTTTTAGAAGGAATGGTACCAGCTCCTCCTTGTACCTCTGGTAGAATTCGGCTGTGAATCCATCTGGTCCTGGGCTTTTTTTGGTTGGTAAGCTGTTAATTATTGCCTCAATTTCAGAGCCTGTTATTGGTCTATTCAGAGATTCAACTTCTTCCTGGTTTAGTCTTGGGAGGGTGTATGTGTCGAGGAATTTTTCCATTTCTTCTAGATTCTCTAGTTTCTTTGCGTAGAGGCATTTATAGTATTCTCTGATGGTAGTTTGTATTTCTGTGGGATCGGTGGTGATATCCCCTTTGTCATTTTTTATTGCGTCTATTTGATTCTTCTCTCTTTTCTTCTTTATTAGTCTTGCTAGCGGTCTATCAATTTTGTTGATCTTTTCAAAAAACCAGCTCCTGGATTCATTGATTTTTTGAAGGGTTTTTTGTGTCTCTATTTCCTTCAGTTCTGCTCTGATTTTAGTTATTTCTTGCCTTCTGCTAGCTTTTGAATGTGTTTGCTCTTGCTTCTCTAGTTCTTTTAATTGTGATGTTAGGGTGTCAATTTTAGATCTTTCCTGCTTTCTCTTGTGGGCCATTTAGTGCTATAAATTTCCCTCTACACACTGCTTTGAATGTGTCCCAGAGATTCTGGTATGTTGTGTCTTTGTTCTCGTTGGTTTCAAAGAACATCTTTATTTCTGCCTTCATTTCATTATGTACCCAGTAGTCATTCAGGAGCAGGTTGTTCAGTTTCCATGTAGTTGAGCGGTTTTGACTGAGATTCTTAATCCTGAGTTCTAGTTTGATTGCACTGTGGTCTGAGAGATAGTTTGTTATAATTTCTGTTCTTTTACATTTGCTGAGGAGAGCTTTACTTCCAAGTATGTGGTCAGTTTTGGAATAGGTGTGGTGTGGTGCTGAAAAGAATGTATATTCTGTTGATTTGGGGTGGAGAGTTCTGTAGATGTCTCTTAGGTCCGCTTGGTGCAGAGCTGAGTTCAATTCCTGGATATCCTTGTTAACTTTCTGTTGCGTTGATCTGTCTAATGTTGACAGTGGGGTGTTAAAGTCTCCCATTAATATTGTGTGGGAGTCTAAGTCTCTTTGTAGGTCACTAAGGACTTGCTTTATGAATCTGGGTGCTCCTGTATTGGGTGTATATATATTTAGGATAGTTAGTTCTTCTTGTTGAATTGATCCCTTTACCATTATGTAATGGCCTTCTTTGTCTCTTTTGATCTTTGTTGGTTTCAAGTCTGTTTTATCAGAGACTAGGATTGCAACCCCTGTCTTTTTTTGTTTTCCATTTGCTTGGTAGATCTTCCTCCATCCCTTTATTTTGAGCCTATGTGTGTCTCTGCACATGAGATGTGTTTCCTGAATATAGCGCACTGATGGGTCTTGACTCTTTATTCAATTTGCTAGTCTGTGCCTTTTAATTGGAGCATTTAGTCCATTTACATTTAAGGTTAATATTTTTATGTGTGAATTTGATCCTGCTATTATGATGTTCGCTGGTTATTTTGCTTGTTAGTTGATGCAGTTTCTTCCTAGCCTTGATGGTCTTTACAATTTGGCATGTTTTTGCAGTGGCTGGTACTGGTTGTTCCTTTCCATGTTTAGTGCTTCCTTCAGGAGCTCTCTTAGGGCAGGCCTGGTGGTGACAAAATCTCTCAGCATTTGCTTGTCTGTAAAGTATTTTATTTCTCCTTCACTTATGAAGTTTGGTTCGGCTGGATATGAAATTCTGGGTTGAAAATTCTTTTCTTTAAGAATGTTGAATATTGGCCCCCCCGCCCCTTCTGGCTTGTAGGGTTTCTGCCGAGAGATCCGCTGTTAGTCTGATGGGCTCCCCTTTGTGAGTAACCCGACCTTTCTGTCTGGCTGCTCTTAATATGTTTTCCTTCATTTCAACTTTGGTGAATCCGACAATTATGTGTCTTGGAGTTGCTCTTCTCGAGGAGTATCTTTGTGGCGTTCTATGTATTTCCTGAATGTGAATGTTGGCCTGCCTTGCTCGATTGGGGAAGTTCTTGTGGACAATATCCTGCAGAGTGTTTTACAACTTGGTTGCATTCTCCCTGTCACTTTCAGGTACACCAATTAGACGTAGATTTGGTCTTTTCACATAGTCCCATATTTCTTGCAGGCTTTGTTCATTTTTTTTAATTCTTTTTTCTCTAAACTTCTCTTCATGCTTTATTTCATTCATTTTGTCTCCCATCGCTGGTACCCTTTCTTCCAGTTGATCACATCAGTTACTATGGCTTGTGCATTCATCATGTAGTTCTCGTGCCATGGTTTTCAGCTCCATCAGGTCCTTTAAGGACTTCTCCTCATTGGTTATTCTAGTTATCCATTCATCTAATTTTTTTCAAAGTTTTTAACTTCTTTGCCATTGGTTCGAACTTCCTCCTTTAGCTCAGAGTAGTTTGATCTTCTGAAGCCTTCCCCTCTCAACTCGTCAAAGTCATTCTCTGTCCAGTTTTATTCCACTGCTGGTGAGGAGCTGCGTTCCTTTGGAGGAGGAGAGGCACTCTGCTTTTTAGAGTTTCCAGTTTTTCTGCTCTGTTTTTACCTTTGGTCTTTGATGATGGTGATGTACAGATGGGTTTTTGGTGTGGATGTCCTTTCTGTTTGTTAGTTTTCCTTCTAATAGTCAGGACCCTCAGCTGCAGGTCTCTTAGAGTTTACTGAAGGTCCACTCCAGACCCTGTTTGCCTGGGCATCAGCAGCAGTGGCTGCAGAACAGTGGATATTGGTGAACTGCAAGTGCTGCTGCCTGATCGTTCCTCTGGAAGTTTTGTCTCAGAGGAGTACCCGGCCGTGTGAGGTGTCAGTCTGCCCCTCCTGTGGGGTGCCTCCCAGGTAGGCTACTCGGGGGTCAGGGACCCACTTGAGGAGGCAGCCTGCCCATTCTCAGATCTCAAGCTGCATGCTGGGAGAACCACTACTCTCTTTACACCTGTCAGACAGGGACATTTAAGTCTGCAGAGGATTCTGCTGCCTGTTGTTTGGCTGTGCACTGCCCCCAGAGGTGGAGTCTATAGAGGCAGGCAGGCCTCCTTGAGCTGTGGTGGGCTCCACCAAGTTCGAGCTTCCCTGCCGCTTTGTTTACCTACTCAAGCCTGAGCAATGGTGGGCGCCCCTCCCCAAGCCTCGCTGCTGCCTTGCAATTTCATCTCAGGCTGCTGTGCTAGCAGTGAGCGAGGCTCCGTGGGTGTAGGACCCTCCGAGCCAGGTGCAGGATTTAATCTCCTGGTGTGCCGTTTGATAAGCCCATTGGAAAAGTGCAGTATTAGGGTGGGAGTGACCTGATTTTCCAGGTGCCGTCTGCCACCCCTTTCTTTGACTAGGAAAGGGAATTCCCTGACCCCTTGTGCTTCCCAGGTGAGGCAATGCCTCGCCCTGCTTCAGCTCATGCACAGTGTGCTGCACCCAGTGTCCTGCACCCACTCTCAAGCACTCCCCAGTGAGATGAACCCGGTACCTCAGTTGGAAATGCAGAAATCACCGTCTTCTGTATTGCTCATGCTGGGAGGTGTAGACTGGAGCTGTTCCTATTCGGCCATCTTGGCTCCACCCCCCATCATCTAGGTTTTAAGCCCTACATACCTTATCTATTTGTCCTAATGCTCTCCCTCCCCTTGCCCCCCGCCCCCTTACAGCTAATGCACATGGGGCTTAAAACCTAGACGCTTCCCTCTGTGTGTCCATGTTCTCATTGTTCAACTCCCACTTATGAGTGAGAATATGTCATGTTTGGTTTTCTGTTCCTGTGTTAGTTTGCTGAGAATGATGGCTTCCAGCTTCATCCACACCCCTGCAAAGGACATGGTCTCATTCTTTTTTATGGCTGCATAGTAGTCCACGAGTGTATATGTGCCACATTTTCTTTATCCAGTCTATTATTAATCGGCGTTTGGGTTGGTTCCAAGTCTTTGCTATTGTAAATAGTGCTGCAATAAACATATGTGTGCATGGGCCTTTATAGCAGAATGATTTATAATCCTTTGGGTATATACTCAGTAATGGGATTGTTGGGTCAAATGGTATTACTGGTTCCAGATCCTTGAGGAATCACCACATTGTCTTCCACAATGGTTGAACTAATTTACACTCCTACCAAGAGTGTAAAAGCATTCCTATTTCTCCACATCCTCTCCAGCATCTCATTTCCTGACTTTTTAATAATCGCCTTTCTGACTGGCATGAGATGGTAAGTCATTGTGGTTTTGATTTGCATTTCTCTAATGACCAGTGATGATGAACCTTTTTTATATCTATTGGCTGCATAAATCTCTTCTCCTGAGAAATGTCTGTTGATATCCTTTGCCCACTTTCTGATGGTTTTTTTTTTCTTGTAAATTTAAGTTCTTTGTAGATTCTGTATATTAGACCTTTGTCATATGGGTATCTTGCAAAAATTTTCTCCCATTCTGTAGGTTGCCTGTTCATTCTGATGATAGTTTCTTTTGCTGTACAGAAGCTCTTTAGTTTAATTAGATCCCATTTGTCAATTTTGGCTCTTGTTGCTATTGCTTTTGGTGTTTTAGTCATGAACTCCTTGCCCATGCCTATGTCCTGAATGGTATTGCCTAGGTTTTCTTCTAGGGTTTTTAGGGTTTTGGGTTTTACATTTAAGTCTTTAATCCATATTGAATTAATTTTTGTATAAGGTATAAAGAAGGGGTCTAGTTTCAGTTTTCTGCATATGGCTAGCCAGTTTTCCCAACACCATTTATTAAATAGGGAATCCTTTCCCATTGCTTGTTTCTGACAGGTTTGTCAAAGATCAGATGTTTGTAGATGTGTGGTGTTATTTCTGAAGCCTCTGTTCTGTTCCTTTGGTCTATATATCTGTTTTGGTACCAGTACCATGCTGCTTTGGTTACTGTAGCCTTGTAGTATAGTTTGAAGTCAGGTAGCATGATGCCTCCAGCTTTGTTCTTTTTGCTTAGGATTTTCTTGGCTATATGGGCTCTTTTTTGGTTCCATACGAAATTTAAAGTAGCTTTTTTCTAATTCTGGGAAGAAAGTCACTGGTAGCTTATTGGGAATAGCAATGAATCTATAAATTACTTTGGGCAGCATGACCATCTTCACAATACGGATTCTTCCTATCCATGAGCATGAAATGTTTTTCCATTTGTTTGTGTCCTCTCTTATTTCCTTGAGCATTGATTTGTAGTTCTCCTTGAAGAGGTCCTTCACATCCTTTATAATTGTATTCCTGTGTATTTTATTCTCTTCATAGCAATTGTGAATGGGAGTTCACTCATGATCTGGCTCTCTGTTTGTCTATTATTGGTGTATAGGAATGCTTGTGATTTTTGCACATTGTTTTTATATCCTGAGACTTTGCTGAAGTTGCTTATTAGTTTAAGGAGTTTTTGGGCTAAGATGATGGGGTTTTCTAAATATACCATCATGTCATCTGCAAACAGAGACAATTTGAGTTCCTTTCTTCCTATTTGAATACCCTTTATTTCTTTTTCCCGCCTGATTGCCCTGGCCAGAACTTCCAATACTATGTTGAATAGGAGTGGTGAGAGAGGGCATCCTTGTGCCAGTTTTCAAAGGGAATGATTCCAGCTTTTGCCTATTCAGTTTGATATTGGCTGTGGATTTGTCATAAATAGCTCTTATTATTTTGAGATATGTTTCATCAATACCTAGTTTATTGATAGTTTTTAGCATGAAGGGATGTTGAATTTTGTCAATGGCCTTTTCTGCATCTATTGAGATTCTCATGTGGTTTTTGTCATTGGTCCTGTTTATGTAATTGATTATGTTTATTGATTTGCGTGTGTTGAACCAGCCTTGCATCCCAAGGATGAAGCTGGCTTGATTGTGGTGGATAAGCTTTTTGATGTACTGCTGGATTCAGTTTGCCTTCATTTTATTGAGGATTTTTGTGTCCATGTTCATCAGGGATATTGGCCTGAAAGTTTCCTTTTTGTGTGTGTGTCTCTGCCAGGTTTTGGTATCTCCATCCAGTTTTGTGCCCTTGATGGAGAGGAATTGCGATCATTTGGAGGAGAAGAGGCATTCTGGTTTTTGGAATTTTTAGCGTTTTCATGCTGGTTTTTCCTCATCTTTGTGGATTTATCTACCTTTGATCTTTGAGGTTTATGACCTTTGGATGGGGTTTTTGTGGGGGGGTCTTCTTTGTTGGTGTTGCTGTTCTTGCTGTTTGTTAGTTTTTCTTCTAACAGTCAGGCCCCTCTTCTGCAGGTCTGCTTCAGTTTGTTGGAGGTCCACTTCAGACCCTGTTTCCCTGGGTATTACCAGTGGAGTCTGCAGAACAGCAAAGATTGCTGCCTGCTCTTTCCTCTGGAAGCTTCATCCCAGAAGGGCGCCAGCTTGATTCCAGATGGAACTCTCCTGTATGAGGTGTCTGTCAACCCCTGTTGGGTGTTCTCTCCCAGTCAGGAGGCACAGGGGTCAGGGACCCACTTGAGGAGGCAGTCTGTCCCTTAGCAGAGCTGGTACACTGTCCTGGGAGAATCACCCTTGTCAGGATCAGCTGCTCTCTTCAGAGTCAGCAGGTACAAAAGATTAAATCCGCTGAAGCTGTGCCCACAGCCACCCCTTCCCCCAGGTGCTCTGTCCCAGGGAGATGAGAGATTTATCTGTAAGCCCCTGACTGGGGCTGCTGCCTTTCCTTCAGCGATGCCCTGCCCAGTGAGGAAGAATCTAGAGAAACAGTCTGGCCACAGTCTCTTTGCTGCACTGTGGTGAATTCGGCCCAGTCCAAACCTCCCAGACCCTTTAGCACTGTCAGGGGAAAACCACCTACTAAAACTCAGTAATGGCGAGTACCCCTCACCCCACCAAGCTTGATTGTCCTAGCTTGACTTCAGATTTCTGTGCTGGCAGTGAGAATTTCAAGCCAGTGGTTCTTAGCTTGCTGAGCTCCATGGGATTGTGACCTGCTGAGAGAGAACACTTGGCCCCCTGGCTTCAGCTGCCTTTCCAGGTCAGTGAATGGTTCTGTCTCACTGGGGTTCCAGGCATCACTGGGGCACAAAATAACTCCTGCAGCTAGCTCAGTGTCTGCCCAAACAACTGCCCAGTTTTGTATTTGAGACCCAGGACCCTAGTGGTGTAGGCACATGAGGGAGTCTCCTGATCTCAGTTGGAAATGCTGAAATCACGTGCCTTCTGCATTGGTCTGGCTGGGAGCTGCAGACTGGAGCTGTTCCTATTCGGTCATCTTGGACACCTTCTCTATTACAAAACATTTTTAAGTCTTTTGATACATATAGCCAAATTGCTTTCTGAAAGGTTTTTACAGCTCTTCATATAAATTCTTGCTTTCTTACCCTTACCAGAACTAGGTATTCCCATTAAAGTTTTTCTGGTATATAGAAATATATTCCAATATTTTAGTATGCATATTATTAAATATTGATGAGGTTGAAATTTGAAAAGTATATTTTGTTGATCATTTGAATTTCCTTTGTGAATTTTCCATTCTCTTCCCCCATTCCCTTGACCTTAAGAATGCCTACCTTGCTTTGCTCCATTAGTGAACTGATAATGGCTTTAGGAGTGAATTGTTCAGGGAGGAAGGAAAGGGAAGAAGGAGAGAATGAGTTTTCTATTGTTTTAAAAATGAGAAATAGACCTCATTAGGAGATTTTATAGTATATGTCTCTACTACAGGCATTACCTGCCACCACGTCCGGCTAACTTTTTGTATTTTTAGTAGAGATGGTGTTTCACCATGTTAGTCAGGCTAGTCTAGAACTCCTGACCTCATGATCCACCCCCCTTGGCCTCCCAAAGTGCTGGGATTACAGACAGGCATGAGCCACCATGCCCGGCTGATTCTTTAAACATTTGGTAGTAATTTTATTTGCCTAATATGAAGACTGGAAATGTGCATATTTACAAATAGCCAACCAATTGTCCAGCTACTACGTGTTGAAGTGCTATTTTTCTTTCTCAGTGATTTGTGATCCTTCCTTTATAAAGTTTGTGTGGTGTGTATTTTTCAGCCATTTGTTCTATCCTGATGACATTTACCAGTATTTGTAATTATTGTAATATTTATAATTCGTACTGATGGTGGTGTTAGTTTCCCTTTACATTTCTTACTTTTCAGAGATAACTTTTCAAAACACTATAATTGCCTATTTATTCTTGGGATGGACATCAGAATATTTTTTAAATTGCCCTCTCTAACGGAAAAATCCTATTGATACTTTAATTGGAATTTTGTCAAAATCTACAGTTAGTATCAGAATTGAACTTTGAAAATAGAATTAGGTTTTCCTATCCAGGAATAATATTCTTCTTTCCATTCATTGCAGGGCTTTTTTGGTATGGTTTTGTGGTTTTATAGTTTCTTCATGTGGATGTTTTGTTCAAATTATTTCTTAAGTATTATATTTTGTTGCTATTATAAATTAAATCCTTTTTTAAATCTAGTTTCTTTCTTTTAAATACTACAGTTTAATTACACATGTAATAATTAAAGACATCCCCTGGGTGGGGTGAAGGACCATCGTTACATGTAAGGGTACACCTTTGACTCTCCGTTGTTAATCCTAGCACCAACACCAGAGGTATGTGTAGTAATCACACTTGGTCTTAGCCAAAAGGCCAAGAAGCGTATTGAGTAATCAAATGACCATACAGATTACCATGCAGGTATCATCATGCTGTTTCCTATGGATTTATATTGTATACTTACAGAGCATATTTAACATGGTGTTGATGGTGGTATTCAGCTGGTGGATGGGACAGTCATGTATCTGGCTCCTTGGTGGAGATGGCTAAAGTCTAGGCTCAGTTGGAACAATTCACCAGAACATATACATGGCTTCTCCAGCACAGTGGTCTCAAATTATTTGACCTCTAACATGGCAGCTCAAAGCTCCCAGAGAGTGTTCCAAAAGGCCCAGAAACTGCAAGTTTTTTTATGACTGAAGTCCCAGAATGACATATAAGCAATGTTTTGTTGGTTATGTAAGTCACTAAAACTATCCCAGATTCACAGAGATGGGACTGTCAATGAGAGCTGCAGCAAAGAATCTGGGCTATCTTCATTATTCCAGATGGATCATAGTCTTAAAGGTTAAAGGTAAAACAAAGCTTTTAGAGGAAAACATGGGAGAAAATCTCCATGATCTTGTAAAAATTTCTTTTGTCTAGTACAACAATTACATGTTAATTTTAAGAAATATGACCTTGTAAAAATTTCTTTTGTCTAGTACAATGATTACATGTCAATTTTAAGAAATAAATAAAAATTTTAAAATGAAAAAAACTATAGCCATCACAATTTTTTTGTCTAGTAATTTATTTTTATTATATTTTGCAAATATATAATGGATTGGGGGAAAATGGCCTTTCACCACAGATGGTTTGAGAAACATTGATGCATACCACATTGAAATATAATAAATCCTTGATAGATGTTTATTTTAACACATAAACTAATCATGGTGTGGTTTGGCAGGAAGTTACTTCACAAGTTTTCTTCTAGATCTAAAGTTTTTTTACTTGGAAAAAGTCTTTGTTCTGAAATATCTCTGTATATTCTGTGTTATTGAGGAACTTCTGAGTACAAAGCATTTTAGAAAAAATTGATACAATCTTTTCATCCCATCTAACCAAGTTTATTCCTTTATTATAAATTAATTTATTTAAATACAAGTTACATATATTTAAGGTAAAAACGATGTTTTGACATATATATCTACAGTCAGATGATTATTAGAGTTAAACTAATTAATATACTTATCTCAAGCATATATGGTCAACTTATTTTTGACAAGGTTGCTAAGCATACACAATGAGGAAGGGTAGTCTTTTGAATAAGCAGTGTTGAGTAAACTGGATATCCACATGTTGAGTAAACTGGATATTGACATGCAAAAGAATGAAATTGGACTTTTGTCCTACATCAGATACAATAAACTCAAAATGGATTAAAGTCTTAAATGCAGGACCTAAAACCATGAAACTACTGGAAAAAACAAGAGAAAAGCTTGACATTGGCCTTGACAATGAGTCTTTTGATATGAAATCAAAAGCTCAGGCAGCAAAAGCAAAAATAAGCAAATGGGACTACATCAAACTACAAAGCTTCTGCACAGCAAAGGAAAAAATCAACAAAATGAAAAGGCAACCTATAGATTGGAAGAAAATATTTGCAAACTATGTATCTGTTAAGGGGCTAATATCCAAAATATTTAAGGAATTCAAACAACTCAACAGCAACAAAATAAACAATCTGACACAATCTTGATAAGCAATTCAGTGATCAAACTCTAAGTTTAAATTTGATTATTCCATAAAGTCAGAAGTATCTTTCCTGCTCTTAGAAAATTGCCAAAGATTCCGTTTTCTCACCCACAGTAGCCTCCCTTTAATCACGTGTCCTTACAATTTAGGGTATACTTGAATGGTACATTTTTTTTGCCTCCACATATGGTTGCAGTATGATTTCATGGGTTTTCTAAATCTTCAGTAGTCTTTTATTGAAGTAGCAGGCTGTGGTTAACATAAATAGACAAAGAACTCCCCTGTGATTTTTTTATCTGATATTCTTTTTTCTTTGATGTCTAGACTTTACCCTTAAAGATGATCAGACTTTTATCCTATAAGGAAATAAATGGAACGTCTGATTTATTTAAACAGCTTTTATGGGGATTGAAATAGGGAGGTATTGAAATAGCAGACTGATTTTTAAAATCCTCTTACCATCCATTCTATGCATGTGACTGTAGTGAATTTTATATCTTAATTGACCCAACTCAGCAAGTACTCAGGCTGGCCAGAATTTTTTATTTATTTAAATGTTTGTAATTTCAAATCACAGATGAAGAGCACAGAGAAGACTTAGGTCACACGTAAAAAATGGAAAACAAAATTATTAATCTCTAATGACCTTGTTTTCTGTTTTCATCTCTCATCCTTCCTCATCTTTCTTTGTTATTAGATACTGTTGAAATCTTCCACCACCTTGACCTCTCTCTCCTTTGAGTTTCCACTGTGTTGCCTCACCCTGCTGCCCTTGCCCCACTTCTCCTACCATTTAACTGTGGCCATAGCTAATGTTCGGTGCTATGGCCAAACATTATACCCATTGTACTTCACTTGGGAGAGTGTGGCTTTGACTATCAGATGAATGGCTCTTTGAGGGGGTTGGTATCTCCAGCTCTGATGCCATTCAGCACTCTTTCCTCTGTGTCTCTCTCTACAAGTTCAGCATTACATCATGATGCAAAGAAATACTGGAGTTTCCCAATTATCAAATATTCAGTAATTTAGCTGAAATATTTTCTTTTTTCAACAGTGGCTGCATCTCTGTCTTTTGCCTTCCAGGTCCTGTGCCACATACTAGAAAGAAAATAGAGATTACAGAGAAAGTAATTGCTCTTAAGGAGCTCAAATTCCAGTGATGCATGCACAGAATGAAACATGTTAGATAATAGAAGTATGCAAAATGGATGTGCTATGGAAACACAGAGAAGGAAGTTGGACATCATCAAATGGAGGGCACTGAAGTCTGATAGAATAGTGTGAGCAGAGGCCATAGCATATGTAGCCTGCTTGAGGGCTAGCAAGTATTCTCATGGTTTCGTAGGCTGAGAAATGAATCAAAATTAAGAGCTCAAGAATGGGAAGAATGGTGTAAAATAGAAATCATAAGTAGTAAATTGTAGAATTTTTACCGTGATTATAAAACAACAAAATGTATACAATTGTTCTTAGAAGACAAGATACATAATGTAAGAAGAAATAGAATAATCACTGGGATCAGAAAATTCAATTAGAGGTTTGTGAGACGGGCAAAAGGGAGGTCGCCATATTTCACAGATGGAAATCATATAGATTTTGATTTAGAAATGTGGGTTTAAGTGTATTTATTATAATTTTTATTATGTAAAGATGACAGTAGGATATGTAGAATGTATGACTAATAAATCACTAGAAAAGAAGAAAAACCTAATAAAAGTCAATGCAGCAAAATATATGATTATACATAAGGGAAAAGACAAGAAGTAAAAAAATAGAAAGCATATAATAAAATGATAGTAGTCACATCTGACATATTCAAAATGTCCCTATTATAAGACAAGTATCCCTAGGCTGGGCTCTAAACACAAAATTCAAATATTACTATTTACATACAATAAGTATACCTAAAACTAAGTGACTAGACAGTTCCAAATAAGGAATGAGCTTGGCCATTTTATAAAAGTGTGTGTAATATACGAAGAGAGAAGATACACTTTCCATGAGTAATGAAAATTGACAAGTCATTAAGAGAACTATCGATAGTCTATAAAAATATCTTGGATCCTCAGAGAGGTTATCGAAAGGAGTATGCTCCTCTCAAAAAAGAAGAAAAACCGAGAGAAAATCTAAAGCATTGGGAGAATTTCTTGTAAATAAAGTGTCTTGTACTTTTTTGGAGAACAGAGCTATGCAGCATCACTAACATATGAGAGATGATAAAATATACTATTATAATTAAATATATTACTGCTTAGGATGTGGCAAAATTAAAGGTATTTGTAAATCCGATATTCCAAAAGAGTTCTCAAGCGAAGTAGACACAGCATGCATATAGTTTAAAACAAAACTGAATTGCCTTATTCAATTGAGAATGTTAGGTTTTATTTATGTTCCTAATGAATTCTGTATTATCTTTAAACTTTCTATTAAAATGCTAAGTATCTAATATATCCATATAAAACATCACATAAAAACTGGATGGCAAATGATAAATCAGAAGAAAAAAATAAACTGTATAATGGGCAATGACTTGATATCCTTAATGTATCAAGATCTTTTATGTAGGGGGGACCCTTTTCTCCTCCTCCCCGAATCCTGACATTGGTTACTAAGGTAGAATTTTCAACTATTTAGTAGAAAAGTGAAGGGAATATCCACTAGTACATTCTGAAACCTTTGGGGAGATTGAGAGAAAGAATTGTGATGCAGGGCTGCCACTTGCTCAGGGCTGTGCATCTGTCCCTGTAAGTGGGGCTGAAACTCAGCTGAATCTGCAGGCCTTGTGTCCTGGAAAAGAGCTAGTATTTATCTGGAGGAAAGGGTTGATTCCAACAAAGATGTTGGTGTCTCCAAGCCTCAGGGCCTGGATCCACGTGTAGCAGGTACTTCTTTCTACAAACTTGCCATTTGTGCTGGTTGGGGGCCCTGTGAGCATGTGTGTTTTAGCCTCTTCTGGGTTCTTTTCCATTTTAGATAAGCCCCCACAGCTGGGGTACTCTGGTCTCTTCTTCTCCATATGACAGACTTAACTGTCTTCTGAATTAAGAGGCCCACAGTTTATGCCTGAGCCTGGGGGAGAGGGACTGGTGGTAAGTCTGATTAATTCAGAAGTGAACTTTTAGGAAATCTATTTGGCTTCCTCAACATTATCTTCATTAGTAAGAAAGCTGATAATTTGATTTCTATATTTTGAGTCTTTGTCTATTTTCTCTCTTGGTTTAGGATTTCAGAGAGGAAAAAGGAGGATGTTATTCCATTACTGATCTTAAGCCCCACATTGATCAATAAAAAGAGAGAGACAAGAAATTAAAAAAAGAGGAGAGGACAGGAAATTCACTCAAACACAAATACAACAAAAGGGAACACAGAAAGGCAGTTGTATGAGTAAAAATTCATAATGTCTCAAGCAACTGATGAAATGAAAATTGAAATGCTGATAGATAATTTTCACCAATGCAATGAGAAATTTAGAAAATTTTAACAAGTTATGTCAAGGTGATAAATAGAGGCTCCCGCAGTTGCTAGTGGGTTGTAAATCTGTATATTTCTGAAGACAGGGATGGTACTATACAGGAAAAACCTTAGAATTTACAACTTTTCTTCTAAGACTTATCTTAAGAAAATCATCATGGATATGCACAAATGTATACTTAGCAGATAATTAATACACGTCACAAAAGTAGCATATAAACCAGAATCAAGTAAATGGAATTAAACTGTTTTAAGGTCCTTGCTCCATGCCAGAAGAGGTTAAAAGCAACAAGAAATATTAGACATTGCTAATTCAAGGATGCCTATTATAATTTCTAAAGTAACCACCAAAAAGAAGTAAAATAGTGAAAAGCTATCAGAGGATGTGTCCATTACCGATTTGTTGCTCCTCGTCTCCAAATCCGCATTTTATTGCCCTGCTTGAGGTACTGATCATTTCTCTCTTGCCAGTTGGCATGATGGTAAGCTTCATCAGTAGAGGGTGTGGGAGAGATGCTGGAGGAGGAAGGGGCTCTTCCTGGTTCTGGTATGCTCTACCTGGTTGACTCTTGTATCCCACAGAACTTCCTCATGGACACCTTACCCTACGACCCCAGTGTGTGGTTTTCCACACAAAGAAATGCTTCATCTACACCCTAGAGGGTGGCTTCCCAGTTCCACCAGTGAGACCTCAGGTCATCTCCACTGTCTAGTGGGCTGTGGTCATGCCCTCTCCAATGAGGTTTGAATCTCAGCCTGGTGAAGGAGAGGGGTCCTTCAGATTTATTCCTTTATTGTTTACTCTCACAGCCCTAGGGTAGTGGCTCCTCCCTTTTATTGGTACTGCATTTTATCTTGTATCTATATCTGACTCCTGTATAATTTAGCATTCTCTTAACTTATTAGCAAATCCCATATTACTTCAATCTTCTGTTATAGTTAATATATCTTTATATTAAACTTTGCCAATTCAAATGGCTGTATGATTTCTGTTTCCTGATTGGACTTTGATGGATACACAGGAAAGAAAGGCAAATAATAAAAAATGGTCAATCCAAATGATGGCAAAAAAGGAGCAATAAAAGAACACAGAAGAGGAATGACAATGAGATAACAAATATTAAGACCCAATCTGATCACTAACAACATTAAAAGTAAATGGACTAAATGCTTTAATATACAGAGATTATTAGTTTGGTTTAAAAACTTAAACATATGATGTTTACATGAGATAATATAAAATATAAGAATAAAATATAAAAAGTGAGGCTGTGAAAAGATTAAAATTACATGATGGTAAATATCTACCATGTAAACAACCAAAAGAAACCTGATGCAGCTATATTAGCAAAAGTGAACTTTAAGTCAAAACATTATTAGTGATAAAAAGAGGCAGGCTCAATAAGTTTCAACTTACCATGAAGAAATAATTTTAAATTTGTATGCACCTATTAACGTAAGTATTAAAATATCAGACAGAATTAACAAAACTGCAAGGAGAATAGAGAAATCCACAGTCTTCACTGGAGGTTTTTAACATATATTTCTCAGTGACTGCTACAATAACAGACAAAGAAAAAAAAAAAGAAAAAGTACAATAAAATTATAGAAAATTTGAAAACTGTATTAAGAAAATATATCTAAAGGACAGCTATATAACACTATACGTTCTTTACGAGCCTACACTTTTAAGAATTGACTATATTTTGGGTCCTGAAGCAAGACTTAAAGATTAAAATAATAAGGTGTTCTATAATGACAGTGCAATTAAAGCAAAAAATCAATTACAAAATGTTAAGTTGAAAAATCCCTGTATGTTGTAAATTAAGAAATATATTTCTGAATACCCCTGGGTCAAATATTTAAAAATCACAATGGAAATTAACAAATGTTTTGAATTAAATGATAAAGAAAATACTACATATCAAAACATGTGGTACCCTGCTAAAGCAGTGTTTGGAGGACATTTTTTGCCCTTAAGTACATACAGTAGAAAAGAAGACAGTCTCAAAGTAAATAAACTTGTCATCTATCTCAAGAATTTAGAGGAACAACAACAAATTTAAGCTAAAGAAAGTAGAAAGAAGAAAACAATAAAGAAACAGAAACTAGTGAAACAGCAAAAGAAAGGAGCAACAAAGTCAAAAGATGTTTTTATGATTAATAAATTTTGGTGAGACTGATAAAGACAAAAAGAGGGATAACACAAATTTCAATATTGGAAGGAAAAAGGTGACATTAGTACAGAACTGACAGTCATTAAAATCTCATATGAACATTATGAACAACTTATTTTTTATCAATACATTAAAAATGTATGTGAAAAGGATACATTATTAACAAAATACAAATACCAGATTTTATGCTAAAATAAATGGAAAACCTGAATAATTCTGTAACCACTAGGAAATTGAGTCCATCATTAAAAATATTTTCATTAAAAAATTTCAGGTCCAAATGGCTTCACTGGTGAGTCCTGTTAAATGTTTAAGTAAGAAATAATGCCAGGTTTACATAAACTATTTGAGAGAATAGGAAAGGGAACAATCTCAACTCATTTGATAAGGCTAGCATAACATTAATAGCAAAGTCTAATAAGGACATTAAAGAAAGGAAAAAAAATCACAAGCTAATCATCTCCTATAAGTGCAATAGGTCCTAAAAAAATCAGCAGGCAAAATTCAGCAATATATAAAAGGGATACTATATCCCCATCAAGTTATGTTTATTTTGGAAATACAAGTTGATTGGTTTTCAAATCAATCAACTAAAAAAGAAAAATTATATAATTGTCTCAATAGTTCAAGAAAAATCTCTGATAAAATTCAGTATCTATCCATGATCTTAAAAAAAAACTCAGTAAACTATGAAAGGATATTTCTTACTTTTTTAAAAAGTACATAGTTAAAAAAATAGCAAAGATCATTCTTAATAGTGAAATGTTACAGTTTCCCTTTGAGATCAACAATAAAATAAGGATGACTGCATCGCCGTTACTGTTCAAAATTTTACAGGTCCTAGCCAGTGTAATAAGACAAAAAATGCAAATGAAGGGCATGAGGATTAAAAAGAGAAAATAAATGGTCATTCTTTATAAAGGTTATGAACATTCAGATGTAGAACATCTAAAATAATCTATAGATAAATTATTAGAATGAATAAAAGAATTTAATTCACACCTATATATGCCCCACCCCATAAGATCTTCTAGCATGTGACATTGATATCTCTCCATTGAGTGATGGAGTCTATGGTCCTTCTTCTTGAACCTAAGTGGACCTTGGCAATTGCCTCAGTCACTGGAATGCAGTGGAAGGATGCTGTGTGACTTTTGAGGCTATTTTATAAACATCAATACAGCTTCTTAGCTCTCTCTCAGGATACTTGCTTTTGAGATCCAGGTCTTATGAGGACGCCATATGTTAGTCCACAGTCCCAGCTAGGCTCCAAGATGCTAGGCAGCATGAATAACTAGACATATGAATGGGCTAGCCTTCAGATAATTCCTTCCTAGCCTTTGATTCTTCCAGCTGAGCCCCCAGATAACATGGAACAGGGATGAGCTGCCCTCATCATGTCTTGTCTGAGTAACTCACCAACAGACATCTTGAAATAAAAAAATTATTATTGTTGTTTTAAGTCACTTAGTTTTGGAGTAGTTTTAGCAGCAACAGTTAACTAACATAGGTCAATATAAAAATCAATGCATTTTATAACACATTCAGAAACAAAAAATAGGATTTTTTTTAAGAAGTAGTGCTGTGTCTCCATATGGAAAAATAAAAATTATTATCTCCCACCATACACAAACAACAATTCCAGGTAGATTATAGATCTACATGTGAAAGACAAAAGAATAAATATTCTAGAAGACAAAATAGAAAAATGTCTTCAAGACCTTGACACAGGGGAAAAGGTCTCAATAAAACACACACACACACACAGACACACACACACACACACACACACACAGAGAGAGAGAGAGAGAGAAAGAGAGAGAGGAGTGGGATGGAGGAAGAGAGAAGGAAGAGAATAAAGTTGACTGCAGTCAAATTGAAAACTTCTGTTTATCAAAAGATACCATTATAAGACTTAAAGGCTAATCACAGAGTAGAAGATATTTGCAACACATATTGCTGACAAAGGGATTGTATTTAGAATAAAGAATTTGTATAAAAAATAAGAAAAAGACAGACAACCCAATTCAAAATGTGCAAGAGACTTGAACAAGGCATTTAACTAAAGAGATTATTCAAAGTCCAATAACACTGACCAGGTGCTCCACCTTACTAGTAATCAGGGACCTTTCCTTTTCTATATTATGAGCCTAATCATGCATAATTTTGAGGGTTGTAAAAAACACGAGATAATTTTTAAACTTTTATTTTGAAATAATTCAACCTTACAGAAGAATTGCAAGAACTCTCATAAATATTTTGCTCAGATTAACCAAGTGTTACTATTTTGTCATATTCTGCACTCCCTTTCCAGATCCAGACTCACGTGTGTGTGTGTGTATGTACCTATTATTTTCTGAACCATTTGAGGGTTTTATATTAGTATATCATGTCCCTTTGTGGCTAAATACTTTAAATACTTTAGTATTTCATGAGAACAAAAGACCTTCTTTACATGACCACAGTATGATTATTGCATTCAGAAAATTTAACATAGATTTGCCACTATTATCTGATATAGAGTTAATATTTCAATTTTCCAATTGTCTTAATAGAAAAACTTTTTTTTTCCAAAGCCAGAATCCATTCCAGGATCATGCACTGTATTTAGTTGATGTTTCTTTCATTTTCTTTAATCTGTAATGGTTCCTCAGCCTTTGTCATTCACGACATTGACACATTTGAAGAATATAAGCTAGTTGTTGTGTACATTGTGTTTGAATTTGGGTTTGACTGCTTTTTCTTCATGATTAGATTTAGATTTTGCATTCTTGGCTAGTATAGTACATTAGCAATATTTTGTCCTTCTCAATATATCAATAGTATATAACTTAAAGGACCTGGCATAAATAGATTATCATTATATCTTACCTTACTGTTATTTTTTTTTATTGTGAGCAATTTCTCAGCATTTTTGGGAAAAAGTAGAGAATGAATTGATTTAATAAATAAAGCATTTTATAAAGTATTTTATGTGTGAATATATTTATCTGACAGTTTTATGGTAAAACCTGAAACAGATGAGGTTGCCAAAACTGATCATTCCAAGAAGCAATTAATAAGTAGGATTCTCAGAGTCAATGAAGATGCTTCCAGAGAACCATATGGAGAATTTGTTATGTGTTCCCTGGAGTTGGAGGGGTGCAGGGACTAGTATCTGACTCAAAGCTGCAAAGTCTAAAGGTGAGAGTTGGAGGCCTGAGCTCTGCTGACTTGGGGCAGAGTCAGGGAAGTTCGAATCCATCATGATTTCTAGCATCTGGCCTGACAAGGAAGCTTGAATTTCCCTTGAGCTTATGAGACCCCACAGGAGGAAGTCATATTGAGTTCTCTTGAATGAGATTCCACTAAAGAGGACTGAGCCCTGTAATGGTTGGGCCACAAGAAACCAGTGGATAAAGGGAATGTGTAAGTGGCCATCTCCATGGAGGAGGCATAGTGTATGTGAAAGGAAGTGTAGACAAGTGTAGGAAGTGTAGGAAGTGTTCCTAGTGATGGAGGTCATCTGTGAAAAAGCCACAAAACCACTCCAGGAAAGAAACAACTGACATTTGGAATATCCTTTGCAGAGAGAATACCTACACTAGACTATAACCGTATGGTGAAATATTACCTTTGCTTACCCATGCCTCTTCCCACCCATCTCACTCCAGTCCCTGAGGGGCCCCAAAGTATCTGCCAGGGAGTGAAGGAGAAGGTGGAATAAGAGCTAGAGATTAATATGATTACCCCCATCTTTTCTCATTATAGGCTTCCAAGCCTGAAGTAGGTCAGAGCTCAGAGAAGAGAGAAGTTTTAAAGTTGATGAGAATAGAGTTTTAATTACTATACTTGATTAGAATTTCTAATACTTAGAAAAAGACATTACTAAATTTCATCGAGTCTTCGATGCTATTGATTCTAAGATACTTCATTATTTTTATATACCACTAAGAAAGGGGAAAAAATCTCCTTCCAATTATGATTATAAGATGCCACTGAGATTTGGATTTCAGAGATGAGATGAGATGTTAAAATGGAAAAATATGTTCATGTTGGAGTAGATTAACATATTTTATTATCTGAGAGTGATTAGAAAACCTATGAGATCCGTGTAAGATTTCATCCAGGGAAGGGTGATGTGGTTTGGCTCTCTGGCCCCACCCAAATCTAATCTTGAATTGTATTTCCCATGTGTTGAGGGAGGGACTTTTAATCCGCACATGTGGAGGGAAGGAGGTGACTGGATCATGGAGGCAGTTTCCTCCATGCTAGTCTCATGATAGTGAGTGAGTTCTCAGGAGATCTAATGGTTTTATGAGTATTCCTTCCACCATGATTGTAAGTTTCCTGAGGCCTCCCCAGCCATGTGAAACTGTGAGTCAATTAAACTTCCCTTTTTTTTTTTAATAAATTACCCAGTCTCGGGTAATATCTTTATAGCAGTATAAAAATGGACTAATACAAAGGGTAAGTGAATTAATATAGAGGTTTTAAGTGGGGGAGGCAGTGGGATAAAAAGTAAGAGTGATTCCTGCTTCTTCTCTACATTGTCCAACTGGTTCAAGAAACTGGTTGAATGATCCAATTTCTCAGTCTAATTTCAGGCTAACAACTATACGTGGGCCAAGCCTGCCTTTCACAAATGCTTGAACGGAAAAGTTTATCTGGGGGCTTAAAGGTTCATTTGAAGGTTCATCTCTTCCACTTAAGCGTGTTTCATCCTGCCCAGAAAGAGCTGAATACATTCCCTGAATATTATTTTAGGTGCTAGATTTTCTTGGTAGGAATGAAAACTTGGGGTACATGGAGATACTGAAAAACTTGGAGTGTTCTTATAATTTATGGGAAATAACAGGAAAGATTTTTTCCAAAATTGTGACTGTTTTTGCAAATTGTAGATCTCATGCCCTTTTGGCATGTTTCATAACATATGGAGTAGTATAACTAAAATATCATCTGGTCTCCCTGCCTCTTAGGTGTCTGGATAAATTAAATGGAATCCTCCCAATTCTATGGCCTATGGAAGTCTGAAAAATTCCTGTTCGTTTTTGTGAATTCCTAGGGGATTATGTCCTATGGTTCCTCAGGCTCTGGCTCTTAAGTGCATCAATCTGGGTTTGCAGCTAGACCCCTGTGGTGATTTTACAAAATGTCCACCAATTCTTTAACACTCTTCTCTTCAAGAGATAGCACTTAATTCCTCTCCCCTTGACTGTGAGATGGACTAAATGACTTACTTCTAATGAAAATAATATGGTGGAAGTGACAATGTGTGGCTTCTGACACTAGGTTATGAGGCAAGTGGCTTCCTCTTTGTCCTCTCTCCCAGATTGCTTGCTCTGAGGGAAGCCAGGTTCCATGCCATGAGGGCACTTAAGCAGTCCTGTGGAGAGAGAGGTCCATAAAGTGAGGGCTTGAGGCCTCCAGCCAACAGCCATGTAATTAAGCCATCTTGGAAGTGGAGGTTGGTTTCTTTGTCAATTTACTGAGAGTAAGTAACATTTTAGAAGAAAGGGTCAGAGTTTGTAGTTGTGCTTCTATCAGCAGTGATTATATTAAGGCCCAGAATCATTTTGCCTTAACAATGGTGAACACCTAAAGGACTTTTCCCTCATGAGCAACTGGTTTTCCTTATCCTGTATTTTCCCCTTTCTAAACCATTCTCTCTAGCCAGTGAGATTTTCCTATGTCATTTATGTATCCCCCAGTTAAGAAGTGCATCCATGCCCAACCCAGTCCCCTTGCCTTCAGGATAAAATCCAAATTCTTCTACCTAGTTTATAAGAACTCTCAGCACTGCCATGATATGAGATTGTGGTCACTTCTCTGGCTGTGGGATATTTATTTTGAATATCGTGCAATAAAGGTTTTATTTTTCACAAGTTCTATGGAAATGAAAGATACCATAACCTTTACTTGGAGGTTTTTTGTTCTAGAAATGAATACTTATTTTATGTCAATGGTTTTTTTTACATACACAGAATTACTGGACCAAGTGACCAGAGCTTCTGAGAAAGAAAGAAATAACTGTTTTCACACCTTTATAGCAGAAATAATGAAAACTGTGTGGGCAGTTAAAACTGGACAGGAGAATAAAAAGATATTTTTAAAGCAATATATCTTTCTTCTGAAAATGCTGTTGCATTAAATTCTTAAACACAGAATAAAAATAATTATGATATTTTCACTGTGTAGTCATTGAAAAGTAAAAGGGTGACTTACTTATATATTATTGACCTGGAATCTTGTCTATCATATAGAGTAGAAAAAATGGTTAGAGAACAGTATGTAGAGAATAATCACATAATCATATGTAGAGAATAATATAATATTTAGTTATGTATGCATACACAAATAGTGTAGAAGGCTCTATATCAAGTTGTTAATGATGATTATCTCTGGGGAAAGGTTTATGAGAGGAGTTTGTGGGATGTTTTTTACGTTATTCACTTCTGAATTAAAAAACGTATAAAAACATCTTTTATAATTTAAAAAGATAGTTCCATTTTATAAAGATCAAGGATCACATAAACTAGGTGATAGAGCAGGAGCGCCGTCATCTCGGACAAACACCGCCACTTTAAATTCCACCTCCCATTCTAGCCTCATGCATTTCAAGGAAACCTCTTCTAACTACGGAAAGAGCAGCCAGAAAGAGCAGACAGGAAAACACAGATAAGACAGCTTGGGCACAGAGGGAGGTGGGGGGAAAGTCTCTTGGGTAACTACCAAATTTCACCCTCATACAATGAGCCCCAGTAAAACAGTGGGCCTTAATAAGCACATTCCTTTCCCTTCAGGGGCACTGAGATGGGTAAGCTAAAAGCAGACTTGGGGGGTATGACTGCAGCTGCAGAAAGATGTGTGGGAACAGACACACAACTCTCCCTCCCAGATAAGCACAACAAAGAGACACAGAAGCAGTCTAAGCCTCTGATAAACTCTCCCACCCTGAATCCTTAAAAACTCAGTCTGTAAGAGAGTGTGGCTCTGACCTAACTTGGTCAGAAGGCACCTCTCAGGTTTGTTTTCTGTAAAATGAATCTGTCTTGACTGTCCAGCCGCTTTTCATGTTTCTTTCCTCTTTCTTTAATTGTTACACTAGGAATCCTCAATTAATACCTATACCTCTGTCATCATACAGACCCTCATTTAAATCCTGTTGGAATGATGAATGGTTTGATGTCAGGGTTTAATCACATCTTAAAACTGTTTTTCAAAGGTGTCTTTTATAACGTCATCAGTGGCTAAAACACTACTTGTTATTAAATTATTCCTCATAGCCAATCCTCATGTTATTCCATGTGATTTTCCTCTGGAGCTCAGCTAAAAATGGAAAAAAAAAAAGAAAGAGTTGATGACTTTCTTTGTTTAAAAATGATTAAGTGATTTTTAGTTTTATTTTCATAGCATGTTTATCTTTTTTTAGATATCTTGCCCTTGATCATTTCTTGGAAGCCACATTGTAAAAACAGTATGGGATTGGAAGTTGGAGGAACTGATGTCATACCCTGTTATCTTCACATACCAGTAGTCTACCTGTGGGTCAGTCATTACCTTAAATTGTCTGAACTTTGGTTTTCTCATCTATAAAACGGGAATGAGAGTGTCCTAGAGGATCATGGGAGATGAGGTCAAAGAGTGTGATGAACAATAACATCTTTCACATATGCTGGTTTACCCTTCTCTTTCTCCTGCCCTCTTTCTTTCTCTTCCTTGCTTCTTAGGGATGTCAGAACTCTCTACAATCAGTGTCTTCTTCTGTAAAACAGAAAAATAAAATAACTCTTTTTCTTCTGTACTTCAGAGAGTCACTTTTGTAAGACTCATTTGGATAAATGAGTGTCAAAGTGTGTTTTAAAGAATAGGGTCTTACACAAATGCTAGCTATATTTGTGCTTTGCCATTATGTCAGCCCTATGAATGCATTTGTCCTAGTGGATATCATCCTTCCCATTTTATAGAGAAGAACACGGTTTGAGAGGACCTGCACAGGGTCTCACAGTACTAGAACCCAGGCTTCCAGACTATTAAAGGCCGTTTAAAAAGTTTATTTCTCTTCTGTAAATTAAATGACCTCAATTCTTTTAGCTTTTTTTCTCCCATAAATTCCACACATCAAAATAACTGACAAAGAAAAACGAGTGAATTGTTCAATTAGTTTTTGTATGGTATTTTGCTATTAAAGTTGAATCAATTTATGTGAGTGCAGGGAATGAGAAGTGGTAAATGAGAAGACATGATTTCCGCCTTTATGGAATGTATGTTCTGTAGGGTGGGGGTGGGGTGCATGGGTGGTAGCAGAAAATAAGTGAGTAAACAAATAAATGAACAAGATAGTTGTAGGTGGTGATAAGCATTTTTGGATCAAATGAAGCATAGTGATATGAAGGAGTGACAGTGTGGTGGTGTTGGATGAGGAGGTGTGGCCTAGACTGAGTAATTAGAAAAAGGCTTTGGGAGGAGATGACCTATGGTGTTCAACAGATATTTGCTGAATGAATTAATGAGTGAATGAGTCATTCATGCAAAGAATAGGAGCAATGGCAGAGAGTGTTTGGAAATACTTTTGCTATAATAGTTAATACTAATAGCTGCTTTTGATTTGCTCTTATGTGCCAGGCACTGTGCTTAATTATTTATATTTACCTAAAAGTTGAATCTTCACAACAACCCAAAGAATTAATTAATTAGAATAACTCCATTTTTTAGACAAGAGTTGTAATGACATTTATGGTAAAAAAAATGGAACTTTTTACTTAAAAATCTTTAATGTTCTTATTACTCCTTTAAATCTCAAGCACTTAAAGAACAACATTTGGTTATAAATTAATCAAAGTGCTGGGAAAGGTGGTGGTCTGTCTCATTCACCTAATTTTCTATCAAAATAGATTTGTTAAAGTTCTGTATAAAGATAATAGCTTCTTCATTTGCTCTGTTCATGTGTTACAATTAGATCATAGAAAGTCAGAATGGAAAGCAACCTTGGAATTCAACTAGTCCAGCAGTAGTGTTTTATAAATAGACTTAGGCATAAAGAAATTAAATGAATCTTTTTAAAAATACTGGATTTTTGTAGTGAGCATTTGGAATGCATAAAACTGTAAGAATGGTTATCATTCGTTCACGTAAATTACGTTTCTCAAACAGTACATTTGTTCTTCATAAAAACTACAATGACATTATAATCCCTACTTTCCTGATAAAGGCACCTAAGTAAACTGCTCAAGATCACATTGACACTAAACAGTAAACCCAGGATTTAAAGTCAGATATGCTCCTCCAATACACTTTGCTTTTACTTTCAAAATAAGATCAACTCATAGTAAAAATGTTTTAGAAATTAATCATAGCAGTTATAATAGTTTGGATTGAATGTTTACTCATTCTAGAAAACTGGAAATTATGTTGATTTTGTTTATTTTTTGGGGTGGGGGTGGAGCACTCCACTTGAAAGAAAAAGGTAGAAAAAATTCCATTACTTATGTTTCCATTAATGCCTGTAGCATCGCAAATCCAGTGATCAACAAAATCCAGTACCATTTGGGCAGTGAGATAGTGGCTGTCAACAACTATGGAGAGAGAAACTTGCAGAGACTATTGGGGGAAATCCCTAACGTAAGAAAATCCCTCCTCAGCAACAGAGTGTCCCAGGGACCTTTGAGATTCTACTAAGGGCTGGTAAAGTAAAATGTCAATCCAAGTGGCAGATACTATCTTTCATGTCTTCTCTGAATTACAGGATTTCTCTCCTCCTATACCTTCTCTCCTCCTATTCCTCATAGGAAGTTCCTGGCTGGAGAGACTCCCAATATGGGTAGGCCAAAGAGGAAGGACTCTAGGGCTGCTTGCTCTTCCTTGGGGACTTTAAATACCAACTTCTGCTTTTATCTTATATGTATGTATGTATGTATGTATGTATGTATGTATGTATGTATCTATCAATCATCTATTTATTATCTATCTATCTATCTATCTATCTATCTATCTATCTATCTACCATCTATTTTGGGGGAAGTAGGGGATTATAATGAGCAATAATCAAATGACCAATATAGCCTGATTTATTGAACTCATAAAAAATCCGTAAAATATGCCTTTTAGAGATTGAGAGAAATTAGCCTAAAAGTAATTTTTTGGCCATGTGAGCAGTTGACAATGGGTTTAAATACAACTTAATCTTTAGTTGATGAGCCCCTCAGCCTACCCCTGACACTACAAGAAAACTGCTTATAGTTAATGCATGTCTTCCCACATCCCCTATTCCTTCTTATGTTCCCCCTCCCAACTTTACATGTTGGGGGCAGGTGGAATCCTAATTCATATAGTTACCACAGTCTGAGAAACAGGTTAACTCTGTATTCATGATTACAAATTTAGATTGTTTGCAAAAATAACTCTTATGCATCATCCCATATAAAGCCATATAAAGCCTTAATTCCAGGCTCATAAATCAAATAGTCAATACAAAAAGCACTTATGAGTTACCTCCTGTGGATCTTTTGCTAAAACACAATGCAATTTAGTAGTTAGAGGTCCTAAACTAGTAGAAAAGTATTTCAAGGGGATTTGTTTGAATATTTCCCGTGGGAGAAGGAAAGAAGTAGGATTGGGTAGAGGGAAGAAGTGAAATGCAAAACAGTCACAAGTCCTCATGCAATCCTCATAGATGCCCTGAGTCTTTAGATAGCCCCTCAGAATCCTAACACCTTGGGGCAAGGGAACTGGGTCTTTATTTCCCATCCACCAGTGATCAGATGCAGGTTGGCCCTGGGAGTGAGCCATGATCTTGGGCAAAGCAGCTTTCATAAGCTTAGGGCAGTTTCCAGAGAATGATGCAGTTGAGAGCTGTCAGCTGCTGTCAATACTCCTAAAAGCAGTGGGGAAAAGGAGTGTGCTTCAATTCTGGATGCAGATTAGACATCAGGATTTATGGGCTGTTGAATCTGGCTGTTGAATCTGGCACTGAGTGGCATACCACAGCATCCACTACAATATTTAAAAATTATTGTTAGGTAAAGGACATCATATCCCAACAATTTCTCAAGTGACTGGTACTTTTAATTTCAAATGTATAATTGGAAAATGTTAACAAACTGGATATATCACTCATAGTTATTAGTTTAGAGGTGTCATGTTAAGTACTCATTGTTATATAGCTACTAAATTTCTGTATGAATTATATTTTATATATCCTCTTTCATTTATCCAGTGTGATTTGCTTAAAAGAACTCTGAAACTCTTTTATCTCTGAGTTAAAAGACCTGGGTCCTTACCAAAATCTGCCACTTACCATAGAACAAGTCATTTTACTTCCTCATCTGTAAATTAGTGATGATGATATTTTGGCTGACTCTTCCACAGGGTTGTTGTGCACAGTAACAAACAAAATGCTTGTAAAGGCCTTTTGTACACTGCTGCTAAAGAAGAGCTCAGAGAAGCTGTAGCTGTGGGAGTCCTGCTCTGGCTAAACAGCCTCAGTTAGCATGAGGAGCCCCTGAAATTTGAGAGTAGTGCAGAGTGAAGTGTGGATGATACAAACAGAGGGAATGAGGCAGGAGATTCCAAAAAAGAAGGGGTGAGGAAGAAAGGTGGAATTTTCCTTGGGTACCAAAGACTACCATTTCCTACTTCACCACTCTAACTCAGGCCAGCTCTACTAAAGCAAATTGAAAACAGAACAAAACACAAAATAGACAGACAAATCAGCTGACTGAATTACATGTTAACTAAACCATTATGCATCTTAGAGCATGTCTCTTCCTCCCATTCTTACCCTGTTTCCTGCACCAGGTAAACAGCAATCATATTACTGAGAGGAAAGAAAAACCACTGTATTTGTTTAGTTTTGGGGGTTCTTGGCTATAATATAGGATCTGTCACCTCCTTAACACCACTTTGACTCAAGCTTTTCATCTGAAAGCAAGTGGGTGTTCATTTCTAAGTCTCTCTTTATTGCTCTCTCTTTTTGTTGTGGTCGTGGTTGCTTTGGTCTCATTTTTAATCTTTCCCCGTGACAGTCCTCTCTCAGCCCCTGTCCTGAAAGTAAGTGATCAGCCTTCAGGTCAGGGTAGAGTTAGCCTGGACTTCCCCAGACTCTACCCACAGCATCGGAAACGTTGCCTTTGAATTCTCAGCTTTTTCAACATTGATGATACAGCCTTGGTTTTGGTTTAAAAAACTGGAGATAAATGTCATGTGGTCAACTCCAAGGAGGCATAGTTGAATGATTTCTAACCAGAGGCATTTCCCAGTTGGTTGGCCACATTGAGACCAGCTTTCCCTTCTACCCCAGAGGTTTGCTGTAGCATATTCTGCTCCCCTCACTGTATTCTTCCTTCCAACAACCCATCTATACATCCTCTCATTCATTCATTCATTTATCTATTTCCCTCTCTTTTGGTCAAGAAACCAGTGTGGGCTGCCTTGCATATTTCGTATTCTCTCCTGCAGCCTCCTCTCATGGGCCAGATATGGATGAACTCCTCCTTCAACTTCAATTCCTTGCTCCTAGCACCTACTTTTTCTGGTTTGGCCTCCATCTCTGGGAGCTGATGAGTGGCCAGGATAATTTCAACAAAGCAGCAGTGCAGATTGGGGCCAGGTCTGTTTTGTGCTTTCTGTTACTTCAGGATTTATGGGCTATTGAATCCGGCACTCAACCCTGGCTTTGCCAACAGTACATTTGTTTTATCCATAAAGCAAACAGCAATGACTGTGAAACTTGACTTTACTTGGACTGTGACAAGTCTGTCTGCCATACCAGTGATCTTTTTTTTTCGTGTGTTGCCAGATAACTTCTCCCTTCTTGCCCCCCAAGATTTCTTAAAGGAAACAAGGTCTAACATATCATTAGATGGTGTATGAATATAATGAAAACATTTTTCTCATGGAAGTCTGCCCTGTCTCCCTAAGGATAGGCTGGCTACCTTTCTCTGTACTCCAATGGCACCTTATACTCTTCCCTGTATTTTCTGTATCTTTCTCTCCCACTAGACATCATGAGGACAAAAACTCTCTTGCTCATCATTATGTCTCCAGTCTGGAACCCAGAACTGTCAGTGTATGTTTATTCACTGATGAACTAAACTTTATAATGTGTGGGCTTTCTTCCAGTTTCCTGAGAAGGAAGGGAAGTAGTAATATCTGCTTTTCTGGGCACTGTCTACCTGGGACTCCAAGGCCTATTGAGAGGCTGTGCTGAGGGTAAGCTGGATGTTGGGTTCTTACATGTGATTTTGCTTCTCCATTACATCTGTCCATCCATACCATTTTCCTTGCCAGAACATGTCAGGCACAATCTTCTGCTATAGGGGAAGCATGATTGGCGATGGCTAAAGGTGATCAGAAGAAAAATAGTCAGAAGAAGCATGCCCTATTTTTCCTGCCTACCCATGTCCACTAACACAGTAGGAAGTCTGTGCTTGGCAGTGTATCTATGGCTGTCAAGATCCTTTCCCAAGCCTGTAGTCTTTCCTTCTTTTGTCTCCCTACCCCTCACTCAACCCCCTTTGCAGCCTTCTCTCCTGCCAGTTAAAAAAGCCACCACACCTTACATTACTTAGAGTAAATGATCACTTGTGTGTGGCATAGGTGGCTTTTAAAGCTGATTTAGATTACTATGAAAACTCTGTATTTTTTTGTGTGTGTTTAAGCTCTTCCTCTTCAACATATTGTAAGCTCCTTGAAGGCATGACTCATCCTCACACTTTTTTCTTCCTCTTTGGCTCCAATATGTAGAATAGAATGCCTTCTATATATTAGGACTTTAATAAATATTTGTTGGGTAGAACTGAAATTCACGTAATGAGACATGTCATTTGCAATGGGTAGCTGTGCTTGATGACATCACCTTTGGTTTCCAAGGGGTCAGGATTTCTAACCAAGCACATTCTCTTCCTAACTCTTTGGCTAACTCATACTTGTCTCAAAAATCACTTCCTCTGAGGAGCCCTCTAGGATGACAGAAAACTGGGCTAGGCACTCCTTCTGTGTGGTTGCATAACATCTTTTACTTCTCCATTTAATAGGAATGTACTAGGGTTCTTAAAAACATTCATGGAAAATGTGTATTATGAAAAAACTATGCATAGATTTCAATTTTTTTCACCCAAATAAACTTGTACTAACTTGCTATAACATGTCTGAACAGGAGCTAGTTTGAGATACTTAGAAAGATAAGATGTCAGTTTGAAAAAAGACCCTATCAGAGCCATACAAATTCTGCTAAAATTGAAGCAGGAACAAACATCAAATTTATGATGAAGTTTGGGTGGAAGAGTGGTGAAATCAGTGATGCTTTAAGAAAAGTTTATGGGGACAATGACCCAAATAAATCAGCAGTTTACAAATAGATAGCTCATTTTAAGAAGGGATAAGATGACGTTGAAGATGAAGCTCACAGTGACAGAGCTTCCATGTCAATTTCCAAGGAAAAAATTCATCTTGTTTATGTCAGCTCTCTTCAGGCCTGAGGATTAACAGCAGAAACAATAACTAACACCACAGGCATCTCAATTGGTTCTGCTTACACAATTTTGACTGAAAATTAAAGTTGAGCCAACTTTCCATTTGATGGGTGCCAGTACTGTTGTGTCCAGATCAGGTGAAGACATGAGCAAGAGCTTTCAAAGGAAATTTTAAACAAGTGGGATCAAGATCCTGGGGCACTTCTTTGAACAATGATTAATTCCTTTTTATTATAGGTTAGTATTTTGTGGGATGGATACATCACCATTTGCTTATCCATTTGTTTCATGATGAATTTAGGTTGTTTTCAGCTTTTAGCTATTATGAATAAAGCTGTTATGAACATACATATTTTTGTGTGAAAATGTGTTTGCATTTCTCCTGGGTAATTACTTAGACGTGGAATTGTTGGGTCATATGGTGAATGTATGTTTAACTTTATAAGAAATGGTCCAAGTATTTTAAAAAAGGGTTGTATCATTTTCAGCTTCCACCAGCAGTGTATGAGAGTTGCTCATCTATACTTGTTATTGTCAGTCTTTTAAATCCTAGCCATTCTAGTGGGTGTGTAGTGGTATTTGACTGTGGTTTTATGTTGCAGTTTTCTGTTGACTAATTATGATGAGCATCTTTTCATGTGTTCATCAGAGATTTGTATAATTTTTGTGATGTGACTATTCAAATATTTTGCCCGTTAAAAAATTGGATTGTCTTCTCAGTATTCAGTTGTTAAGAATTTAAAAAATATATATTCTGAATAAAAGTTTTTTCAGTCATATGTACTGCAAATATTTTTCTGCCTGTCTGTGGCTTTTCTCCTAGTCTGCCCTCTGTATCCACAGGTTCCACATTTGTGGATTGTTCTTTTCAAAGTCCAACTTTGAGTTTCACTGATTTTTCTCTATTGTTTGCCCCATTTCAGTGTGATTGACTTCTGTACACATATTTATTATTTTGCCCTTTATTGTTTGGGCTTAATCTGTTCTTCCTTTTTATTTTTTGGGGGGTTTGTTTTGTTTTTACTTTTAAAAAACTTTTATTTTAGGTTTAGGGGTACACCTGCAGGTTTATTACATAAATATATGTTGTGGAGGTTTGGGGTATGAATGATCCCATCACTCAGGTAGTGAGCATAGTACTTGATAGTTTTTGAACCCTCATCTATGACCCTCCCCATTCTAGTAGCCCCAGTGTCTATTGTTCCTATATCTGTGTCTGAGTGTACTTAATGTTTAACTCCTACTCGTAAGTGAGAATGTGCAGTATTTGGTTTTCTGTTCCTGCGCTAGTTTACTTAGGATGATAGCCTCTGGCTGCATCCATGTTGCTGCAAAGAACATGATTTTGTTATTTCTCATGTTTGTGTAGTATTCTATTTGTATATATACCACATTTTCTTTATCTAGTCTACTGTTGATGGGCATTTAGGTTGATTCTATCTGTCTGCTGTTATGAATGGTCCCATGATGAACATACGAGTGCATGTATCTTTTAAATAGAATGGTTTATTTTTCTTTGGGTATATACCAGTAATGGGATTGCTGGGTTGAAGGGCAGTTCTGTTTGCAGTTCTTTGAGAAATCTTCAAATTGCTTTCCACAGTGGCTGAACTAATTTACATTCCCACCAGCAGTGCATAAGCATTCCCATTTCTCCATAACCTTGTCAACATCTGACTTTTTAATAATAGCTATTCTGATTGGTGTGAGACAGTATCTCATTGTGGTTTTGATTTGCATTTCTCTGATAGTTAGTGATGTTGAGCATTTTTAAATATATTTGTTGGCTTCATGTGTGTCTTTTTTGAGAGGTGTCCATTCATGTCCTTTACCCATTTTTTCACAGGGTTATTTGTTTTTCTGCTTGATGCATTAAGTTCCTTATAGATTCTGAATATTGACCTTTGTCAGATGCATAGTTTGCAGATATTTTCTCCCATTCTGTAGGTTGCCTGTTGACTCTGTTGATAGTTTCTTTTGCTGTGCAGAAGCTCTTTAGTTTAATTAGGTCCCATGTGTCAATTTTCATTTTTATCGCAATTGCTTTTGGGGACTTAGTCATAAATTCTTTGCTAAGACTAGTGTCCAGAATGGTATTTCCTAGGTTTTCTTCTAGGATTTTTAGAGTTTCAGGTCTTAAATTTAAGTCTTTAATTTATCTTGGGTTGATTTTTGTATAAGGTGAAAGTAGGGGTCCGGTTTCAATCTCCTGCATATGGCTAGCCAGTAATCCCAGCACCATTTATTGAAGAGTCTTTTCCTCATTGCTTGTTTTTGTCAGTGTTGTTGATGATCAGATGGTTGTAGGTGTGCAGCTTTATTTCAAAGTTTTCTATGCAGTTCCGTTGGTCTGTGGGGTCTGTTTTTGTATTAAATACCAATACTATGCTGTTTTGGTTACTGTAGCCTTATAGTATAGTTTGAAGTTGGGTAGTATGATGTCTTTGGCTGTGTTCTATTTGCTTAGGATTGCCTTGGCTTTTGGCTCTTTTTTCACTCCATATTCTGTGAAAAATGACATTGGTAGTTTGATATGAATACTATTAAATCAGTAAATTGCTTTGGGCAGTATGGCCATTTTAACAATACTGATTCTTCCTATCCATGAGCATGGAATATTTCTCCATTTATTTTTGTCACCTCAGATTTCTTTCAGCAGTATTTTGTAATTCTCATTATAGAGAGCTTTCACTTCCTTGGTTAGCGGTATTTCTTGGTATTTTATTTTTCTGGGTATTTTTAATGGGATTGGACTCTTGGTTTGGCTTTTGGCTTGAACATTATTGTTGAGTAGAAATGTTACTAATTTTTGTACATTGATTTTATATCCTGAAACCTTATTGAAGTAATTTTCAGTTCTAGGACCCTTTTGGCAGAGTCTTTGGGGTTTTCTAAGTATAGAATTCTATTATCTGTGAAGAGAGATAATTTAACTTCTTCTCTTCCTGTTTGGATGCCTTTTATTTCTTTTTTTTTTTCCTGATTGCTCTGGCTTCCAGGACTTCCAGTACTACGTTGAATAGATGTGGTGAGAATGGACATCTTTGTCATTCCCCACTTCTCAAGGGGAATGCTTCCAGCTTCCAGCTTTTGCCCATTTAGTGTAATGTTGGTTGTGGGTTTGTTATAGATGGCTCTTATTATTTTGAGCTGTGTTTCTTTGATGCCTCATTTGTTGTGCATTTTTAACATAAAGGGATGTTGAATTTTATTGAAAGCCTTTTCTGCATCTATTGAGATGATCATATGGTTTTTGTTTTTAATTCTGTTATGTGGTGAGTCACATTTATTGATTTGCATATGTTGAACTAACCTTGCATTTCAGAAATAAAGTCTACTTGATCATGGTGAATTAACTTTTTGATGTGCTACTGGATATGATTTGCTAGTATTTTGTTGAAGATTTTTGCATCTATGTTTATTAGGGAGATTGGCCTGAAGTTTTTTTTCCTTGTGTTTCTGCATGATTTTGGTATCAGGCTGATGCTGGTTTCATAGAAAGAGTTAGAGGGGAGTCCCTCCTCTTCACTTTTTTGGAATAATTTCAGTAGGATTGATACTAGCTCTTCTTTATACGTTTGGTATAATTCAGCTGTGAATTTTTCTGGTTTAGGTTTTTTTTTTGTTGGTAGATTTTTTTTTATTATTGATTTAATTTTGGAACTGGTTACTGTTGTGTTCAGGGTTTCAATCTTGGGGAGGTTGTGTGTTCAGGAATTTATCTATTTCTTCTGGGTTGTCTAGTTTGTTTAATAGCCTAGGTGTTTGTAACAGCCTCTGAGGACTATTTATATTTCTGTGGGGTCTTTTGTAATGTCACCTTTGTCATTTATATTTGTGTTTATAGGGATCTTTTCTCTTTTTTTCTTTGTTGATCTAGATTTCAGTCTTTTAATCTTGCTTATTCTTTCAAAGAGTTAACTTTTGGTTTCAGTGACCTTTGTATGGATTTTTGCACCTCAGTTTCATTCAGTTCTGCTCTGATTTTGGCTACTTCTTTTCTTAAGCTATGTTTGTGGTTGGTTTGCTCTTATTTTTCTAGTTCCTCTAGGTGTGATGTTAGGTTATTAATTTGAGATCTTCCTACTTTCTTGATGTAGGCACTTTGTGCTATAAACTTTCCTCTTAACATGCTTTAACTGTGTCCCAATGATTCTGGTATGTTGTGTCTGTCTTTTCATTAGTTTCAAAAATTTTTTTGATTTCTGCCTGATAGAGTTTAGATATGTGGCCCTGCCCATATCTCATGTTGAAATGTAATTCCCAGTGTTGGAGGTGGGGCCTTTGGGAGGTGATTGGATCATAAGGGTGGACTTCTTATGACTGATTTAGCACCATCCCCTTGATGCTGTCCTCATGATAGTAAGTGCTCATGAGATCTGGTTGTTTCAAAGTGTGTGGCGCCTCCTCCCATCCGCACCCTTGCTCCTGCTTTTACCACGTAAGGTGCTCGCTCCTGTTTTGCCTTCCACTAGGAGTGAAAGCTCTTTAAGGCCTCCCCAGAAGCAGATGCCATTGTGCTTCCTGTATATCCTGCAGAACCATTAGACAAATAAACTGCTTTTCTTTATAAATTACTCAGCCACAGGTATTTCTTTATAGCAATGCATGAATGAACTAATATACTGCCTTAATTTTGTTCTTTATCCAAAAGTCATTCAGGAGCAAGTTGTTTAATTTCCATGTAATTGTATGATTTTGAGAGAGCTTGTTGGTATTACTTTCTTTTTTTATTGCACTATGGTTTGAGAGTGTGGTTGGTATGATTTTTTTCTTTAATTTCTTGAGACTTGCTTTGTGGCCAGGCATGTGGTTGGTCTTCGAGTATGTGCCATGTGCAGATTAGAAGAATGTATATTCTGTTGTTGTTGGGTGGAGTATTCTGTAGAAGTCTATTAGGTCCAATTGGTCAGGTGTCAGGTTTAAGTCTGGAATATCTTTTTAGTTTTCTGTCTCGATGATCTGCTTAACACTGTCAGTGGGGTGTTGAAGTCTCTCACTATTCTTGTGTGGTTATCTAAGTTTCTTCTAAGAATTCGTTTTATGAATCTGGGAGTGTGAATGTTGGGTGCATATATGCTTAAAATGGTTAAGTCTTCTTGTTGAATTGAACTCTTTATCATTATGTAATGCCCTTCTTTATTGTTTTTTATTATTTTTGATTTAAAATTTGTTTTATCCAACATAAGAATAGTAACCCCTGCTCTTTTTTTGGTTTTCTTTTTGCATGATAGACCTTTCTTCGTCCCTTGACTTTAAGCCTATGAGCGTTACATGTGAGGTGGATCTCTTGAAGACAGTAGATAGTCGGGTCTTGCTCCCTTATCCAACTTGCCACTTTATGCCTTTTAAGTGGGGCATTTAGCCCATTTACATTCAAGGTTGATATTGATGTGTGAGAATTTGATCCTGCAATCATGTTGTTAGATGGTTGTTATGTAGACTTGATTGTGTAGTTGCTTTATAGTGTCAGTGTGCCGTGTACTTGAGTGTGTTTTTGTGGTGGCAGATATGTTCATGATGTTTTCGTTTTAAGGTAATTTGATTATAATGTACCTGGTCAGGTTTTATTTATTTTTATTCTGCTTGTGGTTCATCAAGATTCTTGGGTCTATAGGCTTGTAATTTTCACAATACCTTGGAAAATGTTGAACCATTATTTCTTCAGATTTTTTTTTTTTAGCCTCAAATATATCTCTTCTCCTTCTGGAACTCCAGTTACACTTCTGTTGGATTTCTTGATATTGCCCTATAGCTCACCGAGGTTTTGTTTATTTTTTTCTATCTTGGTACTTAGGTTTAGGTGGTTTCTATTGCATATCTTAAACCTCACTGATGTATTCTTCTGCAGTTTCTTATTTGCTGTTAATGCCATTCACTGAATTTTTCAATTCAGATACTGCATTTTTCAGTTGTTGAATTCCCATTAATTCTTTTAATCGTCTATTTTACTCTTATTATGTTCATGTGTTCATTTACACACTTGAGCTTATTGTTTGTTAATTTTGCCATTAGTGTCATTTCTTGGCTGATTTTACTGACTTTTCCCCCTGCTGGCTATGGGTCACATTTCTCTCATATTTGCATGTCTAGTAATTTTAAAAAGTAATTTTTATTATATGCTGGACATTGTGATTGTTACATTGCTGAATGTTTAGATTTGGTTGTCTTTCTTTAAAGAGTGTTGGAAAAATTCTGAGAAGCAGTTAAATTACTTGTGGATCAGTTTATTCATTTTAAAATTGTTTTTAAGCTTTGGGAAATTTCAAGATAGCATTCATTAACTAAAAAATTGCCCCCCCGACCCCTCACTTATGTGAGCGCTGTGTCTCTTACATTTCTATATAAATCTTCATCTTAGAGCTCTCCTATAATTTTTGGCCTCACGTTATGCCATCTACACAGATGGTTTAGTATTTATCAATGGACTCAAGGGGACCACATTGCATATTTTTAGAGGTTTAGAGCCTTTTCTATGCATAGTTTCCTTTTCTCCAACACTGACTTGAAAAACCTAATCACTTTGGCCTCCCTGTTCCCCTCAACTCACAGAGCTCCTTTCTGTCTCTTAAACTTAGTGAGACAATTGGTCTCTGCTTGGGTTCTCTTTCTCTGCACTGTAGTCTGGAAATTCCTCCAGGTGGAAATCAAGAGTAGGCATAGGGGTCTCTTAGTTTATTTTCTTTCTCTTAAAAATTCCATTTACATACTGTGTACAATTTCTTAAAACATAGTTTCATATATTTTTCTAGTTTTACAAAGGAGAAGGAGAAGTATGGTTTCAATTATTCCATCATGTCAAGTGGCAGTCCTGATTGGTAGTGTTTTTATTATTGTTTAGTTTTAAAGATTTTGAAATTTCTATTATGATTTTATTTTAACCCATGAATTACTCACAATTGTGTTTTACAATTTTGAAAAGATATGAGAGTTTTAATTTTTTTATTTATTTTGAACTTAGTTTTATTGTACTCTGTGAATGTGTTCTAATATAACAACAAATAACTGAAATTTGTTGGATTTGACTTATTGCTATCTTACAAACATTTCACATGTATATGAGAGAAAAGGGTATTTTTTAATTATTGGGAACCATTTCTATATATGTTCATTAAATCAATCATATTGTGTTTAAATTTTTTATATCTTTGCTAATTTTCTGTTTGCTTGGCTATTTATTTATTTATTTATTTTTGAGACAGGGTCTGGCTCTGTCACCCAGGCTGGAATGCAGTGGCACCACCTCAGCTCACTGCAACCTCTGCCTCCTGGGCTCAAGCAGTCCTCCCGCTTCAGCCCCCCAAGTAACTGGGTCTACAGGTGCATGCCACCACACCCAGCATAGGGATGCAGTTTTGCCATGTTGCCTAGGCTGGTCTCAAACTCCTGAGATCAAGCAATCCACCCACCTTGGCCTCCCAAAGTGCTGGGATTTGGGATTACAGGTGCAAGCCACCCCGTGCTTGGCTATTTATTGATGAGAGATACATGTTGAAATCTAATACCAGATGGTGAAGTTGTTAACTTCTCTTTATAGTTCTATAAATTTTTGCTTTATGTATTTGGAAACTTTAAAGATATTGAGTATACATTACACATGGTAAAATACACAAATCTTAAATGTCTAGTTCAAAGAATTTTTATACATATGAACATACACACATCCCACTATGTAACTGCCTCATCAAGATGTAGAATATTTCTTCAGCTGCAGAAGCCTCCTTTGTATCTACATTCTGTAAATATCCAAAGGAAACCACTGTTCAAACTTGTACCAATATTGATAAGTTTTGTGTGGTTTTGAACTTTATATAATTAGAAACATAAAATATGTATTTTTTGCTCAGCATTATGGTTTAAGATTTATCTGTGTTGTTTTCTGTATCAGTAGAGTTTTTTTAATGTTATGAAGAATTCCATTGTGTGAATTTTTCTCCGTTCTATTATTGACAATCATTTCAGTTGTTTCCAGTTTAGGGGTATAATAAATAACTTTTCTGAGAACATCCTTGTACATATCTTCGATGGAGACCATAAACATTTACATTTATTGATAAATGCCCAGTAGTATAATTGCTGAATCATAGAGCAAGCATCTGTTTTGCCTTAGTAGATATCACTGAACGCTTTTGTAAAATAATGGTACCAATTTACTCTTATATCATTACTGTATGAGAATTCCAGTTGCTCAACATGCTGTCAACACTTGGCATTGTCTATATTTTAATTTTGGTAATTCTGGTGGGTGTGTAGTGGTATCCCATTGTGGTTTTTAAAAATTATTTATTTTATTTTTGAGTCAGGGTCTTGCTTTGCAATCCAGGTTGGAGTGCAGTGGCACAATTACTGCTCACTGCAGCCTCAAACTCCTGGGTTCAAATGATCCTCCTGCTTTAGCCTCCCAAGTAGCTGGGACTACAAGTACACACCACCATGCCTGGCTAATTAAACATTCTTTTTTTTTGTGGAGACATCAGGGGGCATCGGATCTGGCTGTGTTGCCCAGCCTGGTCTTGAACTCCTGGCCTCAAGCAATCTTCCTGCCTCCACCTCCCAAAGTGTTGGTATTATAGGCATGAGCTGCTGTGCCCAGCTCATTATGGTTTTTAAATTTGCATTTCTCTGATGACTATGGATGCTGGGCACATTTTAATATATTTATTAGTTATTTCAATGTCTTTTTTTATTAAATGACTAGATTTGGCTTTTTTGTCCATTGGATTTTTTTCTCTTTTCCATACCAATTTATAAAATGTTGAAGATATATTCTAAATAATAATTCTTTGTTAGATGTACGTATGGAAACTGTCTTATTTTTGTGTTTCTTGCATTTTCATTATCTTAATAGTGTCTTTTGATCAACACATGCTTGATTTTAAGAAAGTCCAATATATTAATCTTTTTTTATGGTTAGTGCATTTTATGTCCTGTTTAAGAAATGTTTGTCTTTCCCAAGTTCAGAAAGAGATTCTTTTATTTTTTTCTATTAGAATATTTATTGTTTTAACTTTCACGTTTAGGTCTATGGTTCATTTGGAATAAGTTTTTGCATGTAGCACAGATTGAGTCTAAAGTTAATTTCAAAAATGGATATCCACTGAATCCATCACTATCTATTGAATTGACTGTACTTTCCTGACTGAATTAGTGTCTTTGACACAAATCAGGTGACTGTATATGTGTAGGTATATTTCTTGCTTAATAGCTATTCTGTACCATTGCTCCATTCTTGTGCCAATATTACACAGTATCTTAATTTCTTCAGTTTCATAATGGTTTGAAGTCAGACAGTGTATGTCTGCCAGTTTTTTTCTTCTGTTAGATTGTCTTGGCTTTTCTAGGTCTCTTACATTTCTATATACATTTTAGAATTTGCTTCTCAATTTACAAAACAAAACAAATCAAATCTTAGCTGGGTTCTTAAGTTGGGATTGAACTGAGTCTATAGAACTATATGAGGTGAAATGACATTGTAACAATTTTGAGTTTTGTAATTCATGAGCATATTATACTCTTCCATTTACTTAAGTTTTCTTTAATTCTCTTGTTATTTTCTGAAGCTACTTTGTTAGGTGTAAAAAAGTTAATTAAAAACATCTTCCAGATAAACTGAATATTTTAACTTTTCTGTGTCTTTTCATATTGGTCAGCGGTCAGCAAACTGTTTTGTAAAGTGTCAGAGTAAGTATTGTCAAGTTTGCAGGTCATGCAGTCTCTGTTGAAATTATAGGCATACCTCAAAGATATGGTAAGTTCAGTTTCAGATTATAGCAACAAGGACAGTCACATGCATTTTTCTGGTTTCCCAGTGCATATAAAAATTATATGTATACTATACTGTAGCCTACTGTGTGCAATAGCATCACGTCTAAAAATAATGTACACAGCTTAATTTAAAAATACTTTATTGCTAAAAAATGTGATCACTTGAGCCTTCATCAAATTGTAATCTTTTTGCTGGTAGAGAAACTTGCCTGGATGTTGATGGCTACTGACTGATCAGGGTGGTGGTTGCTGAATGTTGTGGTGGCAGTGGCAATTTCTTAAAATAAGACAACAATAAAGTTGCTGAACTGATTGACTTTCCTTTCATGAAAAACTTCTCTGTGGCATGAAATGCTGTTTGATTGCATTTTACCCAAGTAGAACTTCTTTCAAAATTGGAATCAATCCTCTCAAACCTTGCTGCTGTTTTACCAACTAAGTTTATGGAATATTCAAAGTCCTTTGTTGTCATTTCAACAATGTTCACAGCATCTTCACCAGAAATAGATCGCATCTCAAAAAAACACCTCATTTGCTCATTCATTCCTATGAATGAGGAAGCAACTCTTTATCCATTCAAATTTTAGCATATAATTGCAGCAATTGAGTCATATGTTTAGGTTCCACTTCTAATTCTAGCTCTCTTGCTATTTCTACCACATCCGTAATACTTCCTCCGGTGAAGTCTTGAACCCTTCACAGTCATTCATGAGGGTTGATATTAAGTTCTTCCAAACTCCTGTTAATGTTGATATTTTAACCTCCAAACAAGAATCAAAAATTAATGGTGTCTAGAATAGTGAATCCTTTCCAGAAAGTTTTCAATGGACTTTGCCCAGATTCATTAGAGGAATTGTTACTTATGGCAGATATAGCCTGACAAAGTGCATTTCTTTAATAGAACTTGAAAGTCAAAATTACTCCTTGATCCATGGACTGCAGAATAAATGTTGTGTTAGCAGGCATGAAAACAACATTTGTCTTCTTGTTTATCTCCATCAGGTATCTTGGGTGATCAGGTGCATTGTTAATGAGTAGTAATGTTTTGAAAGAACTCTTTTTCTGAGGAGTAGGTGTTAATAATGGACTTAAAGATAGTCAGTAAACCATGCTTCAAATGGATGTGCTGTCATTCAGCCTTTGTTGTTCCATTTATAGAGCACATGGAGAGTAGATTTTTACTTAAGGGCCCTAGGATTTTCAGAATGATAAATGAGCATTGGCTTCAACTTAAAGTCATCAGCTACATTAGCCCTTAACAAAAAAGTCAGCCCATCTTTGGAAGCTTTGAAGCCAGACACTGACTTCTCCTCTCTGGCTATGACAGTTCTAGATGGCATCTCCTTCTAGTAGAAGACAGTTTCATCTACCTTGAAAAACCCTGTTGTGTAGTAGAGCCACCTTTATCAATTGTCTTACCTAGACCTTCTGGATAACTTGCTGCAGCTTCTACATCAGCACTTGCTGCTTTACCTTGCACTTATATGTGATGAAGATGGCTTCCTTCCTTAAACCTCATGAACCTCAAAGACCTGTTTTATCCAGGGTCTAGCTACTTTACAGTGGGAGAGTCCTTCAGAGTATGTATCCCACCACATAGGTTAAAGTGGAGGTCTTCAGGAACCATGTTCAGTTGAACTCAGTGCCTGTCACAATGATTCATTGAATGAGTAACTTACCTTCTGGGACTTCTGCTAGCTTCAAACTTTTCTCCTGCAGCTTCCTCACATTTTCCAGCCTTTCTAGAATTAAAAAGAGTTAAAATCTTGCTCCAGATTAGGCATTGGCTTAAGAAATGTTGTGGCTGGTTTGATCTTTCCAGATCACTCAAACTTTTTCTACATCAGCAATAAGGCTATTTTGCTTTCTTATCATTCATGTGTTCACTGGAGTAGTACTTATGATTTCCTTCAAGAACTTTTTTTTTTTTTTTTTTTTGCATTCATAAGTTGACCAACCGTTTGGCACAAGAGGCCTAACTTTCAACCTTTTGACCTATGTACTATTATTGTCATTCCTTTGCTTTGGTCTTTACTTTGTAAAGATCATCTGTCAGTCTGTATTCTTATGGTTTTCTTATAAATAAAATGTTTAGATTTACCTATATGTTTACCATTTTTCTTGCTCATGATTTTTTCAGCATCTCAGACTTCTTTCAGGGAACATTTTCCTACTGACTGAAATATAGTCTTAGAATTTTCTTTAGGGAAGGTTTGTTTGTGGTGACTACCAGCTTTTATTTATCTGGAAATGTTTTTATTTTGCCTTTGTTTTTGTAAGGTAGTTTCAATAGTCTACAATTCTTGGCTGACCATAGATTGAGAGTGCTCTTCTCTAGAGAGGATTTCCAGTTGTTTCTGCTAGCAGCCAAGAGGTTGCCAAACTGAGACCATTTCACCTCTGTCTAGGTTTCTGGCTTACTGTGGGAATCTCTGATTTAGACTACCCTCCTTGATGCTTAGTTTCTCAGTTATCTGCAATACTGATCAAAACAACTTGAAGAAAATCTTGTCTTTTTCTTGCTTGTTGCCCATTGATTCCCTCTCAGGTTTCAACTCTCTTTTTTGGGGGGGGAAAGGATGGGGTGAGAAAGTTGTTGATTGGTGCCTTCAGAGATATCCCGGAAATATACATTCAAAGGCCTGTTTTATCCAGGATCTAGCTACTTTACAGTTGGAGAGTCCTTCAGAGTATGTATCCCACCACATAGGCTAAAGTGGAGGTCTTCAGGAACCATGTTCAGTTGAACTCAGTGCCTGTCACAATGATTCATTGAATGAGTAACTTACCTTTGACATAGGTAAAGAAGGTAGCTGTCAGTATAGCATGTACTGATAGATCTGGGACAGAATTGGTGCTGAAAAATGCTTTCACATTTGCTCCCAGTTGATGCCTGCATCTTTTCTAAATGAGCTTCTTTTAAGTTAAAGCTGATATTATTTAATAAATGGAAATGCCTGCCAGGTTGGTCTCTGTATATAACATATAAAAATTGTCATCAGTCATTTATCATTTATACCTTAGTAAGAATTTATTATATAAACAAAATGAAAGAGTCATCACATGTTTAAGCTAAAGAAACCTTAGACTTTATACATTTAAAAATTTAGGCCCAGTGTGGTAGCTCACGCCTGTAATCCCAGCACTTTGGAAGACCAAGGTGGGTGGATCACAAGGTCAGGAATTCGAGATCAGCCTGACCACCATGGTGAAACCCCATCTCTATTAAAAATACAAAAATTAGCTGGGCATGGTGGCACATGCCTGTAATCCCAGCTACTCAGGAGGCTAAGGCAGGAGAATCACTTGAACCTGGGAGGTGGAGGTTGCAGTGAGCTGAGACAGTGCCACTGCACTCCAGCCTGGGCAACAGAGTGGGACTCTGTCTCAAAAAAAAAAAAAATTTAGACTGTGAAATTTAACATATTCTATCCATATTATTCATAGACAGTGAGTTTAAATGTCTTATATAAGATCCTATAACAAACTCTACAACCACCAAGAAAACACAGACTTTTATTTCATTTTTTATTGATACATAATAATTGTACATACTTATGGGGTGCATATGATATTTTGGTACATGTATGCAATGTGTAATGATCAGATCAGGGTAATCAGAATATCCATCACCTCAAACATTTATCGTTTCTTTGTTTGGGAACATCCTAAATATTCTCTTCTAGCTATTTTAAAATATACAATAAATTCTTATTAACTATTGTCACCCTACTGTGCAATCAAACGCTAGAACTTACTTCTTCTATCTAACTATATTTTTGTACCCATCAACCAATATCTCTTTACCACCCTCACCATGCTTCCCAGTTTCTGGTAATCATTCTACTCTACCTCCATGAGATCAACTTTGAAAAAACAGATTTTTGATAAGAAGATTGTGTGGAGGTTGTGCATGAAAAGACTGGGAGTTGGACACACTTGGCTTTGCCAGTTAGTGATGTGTGACTGGACAAATTCTTATTCTCTCTGTGTCTTAGTTCATTTTTCACTGAAATAGATAATGTTAATATGTCCCTCATAGGATTGGTTGTGAGTATTAAATGAGATAATGTATTTAAAGCATTTAGCAAATGTCTCATGCATAATGAGTTCAATAATGTTGGCTGAAGATTTGATTACTCCATCCTTCTAGCTGTAGAAGCAAGCCAACACAGAGGAGAACCTTGATCTTGAGAACATTGATCACCTTGAGCCATTAGAAAAATATCTAAATGTTATCTTAAAAAAGAGAGCCATTATAGCTTTCTTATGTAAGCATATTTCAGTCATAATATATATTTTTATAATTTAAAGGGATATTCAATAGCTTCCTGAGAAATGCAGTCATACATTAGTGCTTATTCAATTTCTGATGATGACATATAAATGAAATATGTTGTGCACATACCACTCTGCCTGATTCCCATGTTCTTGCTCTCATCTTGAGGAGAATATATTAAAGCTTAGATTTATGGAACAACTTGCCTAAGGAACTAAAAAGCCAGGTTTCTATACTAAACATCTTTACTAAGTTTGTTAAGCATGGGCTCTTTCCATTCAGAGTGCATATAATATAATCCTCTACATCTGAATTCTTCCATATATTGAAATCACCCTTGGCAAAAATATTCCTTTTTTTTTCTTTTTTTGTTTGTTTTGTTTCACGTCAGATGGGTAATGTGCCAACGAACTTTGTGTGAGACGTGCCTCCCACAAACTGTTCTAACAATGCGCATCTCACGTACTAGTGTGAAAACCCAATTATCACGCTTATGAACCACAACAGGATTGCAAAAAATATTTCCCCATTTTTTTGAGACTCAACACTGATTTTATCTCTTGACTTTAAAGCCTCTTTTCCAGTATTTCAAGTTTTAAGATTATGTAAGAACTAGTAATAGTTAAATCTAGCAACTGAGAAGTACCCTTACAAAATTGGAAAGTAGGTTATTGCCCGGGAGTTTAAATAATAAAATCCATGTACAATGAATGAGATGAGCCATCTCTAAAGTTAGGCTAAGAGATTATTAATAATCTTTAAACTTCTGACTCATGATTTTTGAAATTCCCCAAACACCAGTCAATGAGATCTGGGCATAATCTCAGTGAGACAGAATTAGAACGTGATTTTAACATACTAAGTAGAAATAATCAATTGCATTATATTATTTGCTTTAAAGTAAGGTATTGGAAGCAGACAAGCTTCCATAGTGAAAGCTAAAAATGAGGGCCGGAGAGAAAGCATTCAAATGTTTATTCAGCCTTATCCAAGGAATAAAAACTAACTTGTCGTTGTTAGGTAGTGATTCATTATCAGGACTCACAACAATGATTTGAATGAGGAGGGACCATTAAGACTAATTATTGTGTTTTGTCTTCATGTTCTCCATCTATCCATTCATTCACCCATGCCCCCACCCATTTATTTGACAAATATTTATTGAATCTCTACCATCTGCCAACTACTAGTTAGATTATGAACACATGAAAATGAAGGACACAGACCTTGAACTCAGGGAATTCATAACTTAAAGGAAGAGAAACCAGAAAGACAGATCAACCACGATTGGTGTAATTGGTAAAATGGTACAAACAGGAGTGGTATCCAGCCTCTCTTGAGGGGCTGGAGGGAAGAGTAGGTAAGAACAGAGGAAGAGTAGACATGGGAGACAGTGGTGGTTAGGTTATAGTGATGGACATTATGAAAAGAGTGTACAGGGAGGACATCACTAGTTTAAATTTGGAAGGATGTATGGAAGTTTGGTATGCAGAGAAAGGAAGAAAAGACATCCTAGGCAGGGGCACTGTGTATAAAACAGAGGAAAGACTGAAAAAGTGAGGCATTTTCTGAGAAGACCAAGAAGTTTGAAAAGAGATGAGGCTACAGTTTGGCAGAAGGCAGTTTATAAAAGGCCTCACAGACAATGGAAAACATTTTATAATTATTCTAAAATAATGAAGAATAATTAAATGATGTTGAGTGAGATTATTATGGATTTGTGTTTTGTTTTTACACATTATTGGTATTGCACTAAATGTTGTCAAGGGTGTTACAAAGAAGACTCCGGGAAACCTGAAAAAAGGTAGTAGCACTGGGAAATGAGAGAAGGAATGGGTATGAGAAATACCTAGGTGACAGTATTTATCTAGATTCATGGTTAAGTTTTTGGAGTGTAGGTAAGGAAGGGAAGGCAATTACGATGATTGCCAAGTTTCTGACTTGAATACAAGTTGGCTGGTGCCACGTTTTCTACTACTGTTAGAAAACACAGAGGAGCAGATAATGATGAAGACATGGTGAGTTCAGTTTTGGACCATGATATTTGAGTTTGGCTACTCAAGTGGAGCTTACCAGAGGCAGTTGGATATGTGAAGCTGCAGTTTGGGAGAGAGATCTGGGTTGCATATTTAAATTGGGGTTTTTAACAACATAAAGACAGAATTGAAGCCATGGATAAGAACGAGGACTGAGGACAGAGGCTTGAGTAAATTAACATTTAGGGAGACAAAAAGTAAAGGAAACTTAGAATGTTCAAAGAACTAGAAGAACCAGGTAAGAGTATGGGCTTAAACCATGGAAAGAGAGTTCTGTAAAGAAAAGTGAACAAGAGCATTTAATGTCACAAAAAGATCAAAAGAAAGGTGAGAAATGTAGATGTTCATTTGATTTTGAAATGTAGGGGTGCTCTTAGTCACCATTAAGTCCTTTCTATACAAAATATGAGTTGTGATTATGACCTACAATGTCCTAGGGGAAACTAGCTTGCCAGCTTTTAAAGATCACTTAGTAGTAATTGAGTCAGTGGCCAGGAGAAGTGAGATCTTCCAACAGTAACAATTTATGCCCACTGGACAAGTAGGGCAGCTACTATGTTTCTTGTGGCCTAGTAAAAGTTTTAAATTTTACATGTTTGGATTACAAATATGTTGTTCCTCAAGATATTTTTGTTGACAAGCAATTTGACCCATTTGTGTGCAGCCACTGTGGCTGATCTGACATTCTTATAGGGCTTTGGGTGCTTTTACAGGGAATTCTGCCCTTATCTTCCTTCTTGATTAATTGGCTAAATCATATCATCATATCAATTTATTTCGAGAATGCTTCTGGTAGCTGGAACACGTGTTCTGGAAATCTCCTCCCCTTGCTGTGCCTCCCATTCCTCTAATTAATTTTGAAACATCGTTTGTGTGGAAAGAAGTTTATTCTATGTTTATATAATCACTTATATGCTAGCTGTGCTGAGATCATATTTGATTTGTTAAGATGTAAAGTGCAATTTTTTGAAGACTACTTTCCAGTGAAAGTTTCATTGAGCTCTGCCTCATAGATATATAAAGGCTTTTCATGCTGATGCTGGGAATGGCATAAATGATGGTGGTAGGGTTACTTAATAGAGACAACGACAAATATTAAAGTAGTCCATGCCAGTTGGAACCTGAAATGAATGGGCTTGGGAGAAGAAGAAAAAATATTTCTTGTCTATTTCAAGGAGGCTGGAGATAACCAGAAATGCATCATTTTGAAGGAACAATCAGGAGAGTGTAAGAGATATATAAATTCATTCATTCATTAAAAAATAATTGAACACCTACTCTATACCAAGCATTGTGCAAAGTGCTGGCCATGTAATAGTTACCAAGATAAACAAGATCTCTGGATGCACAAAATGGGAGAATGTAGTATATTTTACATTTCAAGACTTGAAATTGTATTGAATTAAAAGTTGTCAGAAAAGGCTGGGAAAAAAGAAAATAAGACTTGGGATCTCCTATTTAAATGATCTGAGAGCATTTGGATACTGTTCTTCTTAGATGAGCAAATCTTGTTGGTTATTGAATTTAGGCCTGACACAAGAAGGATTTGGACCTACACTAAAGTTTTACACTCCCTGGGATTCTTCGTGGTGTCATTCTTCCCTTAGTGTAATCCTCCCTCCTATACCTGTCATGCTATTTCTGCCAGGAACATTTCTGTAGGAACCTTGACCATATAAACACAATGGTTAAAAACATGAGTTTTGTAATCAGACTGACCAGGACTCTCGTTTGTCATTGATGAGCAATGTATAACCATACTTACTTCAGTGGACTTCTGTGAGACTAAGTGAAATGAATACCCAAAGCTTTTAGCACCCAATGTGCCTGATACATTGTAAGTGTCCATTATTATTAGCATTGCCTGGATTCTAATAGTGACCCAGAGATAGTGCTAATGCAGAACTGATAGCAATAAAAGACAAATCCACCTTTGTACTAGCCACCCTTGTGAGTCACACCTGGTAAAAACTATTATATATTAAGTACTTATTATGTCCCAGCTTTATGCTAAGTAACTTACATATGAGTTGACAGTGTCTATTCCTCCTTGCCACTCTTCTCCTCTCATATTTTTGTTTTTACCGTTGAAGTTCTGAGGACACCCTAGAAATAGGGCATCCCCCCAAAATTGGGGTCAATAGGTTAGAAAGGCTACACAGGTCACAGCAGAACTCTAATCTCTCAGACTCCCAAGTTTAAGACTGCACTTTCCCTCAATGCTGTATTTAGGTCTCTTTCTTTATTTTCCTGGCCAAGTCATCAGAAGCTGGTTGAACAGAACAGATCCTGAATAGTTACCTTCATGACAAATAATAACAGCTACACATTTTCCCATGGTCTTCACCCCAGACAGGTTTCTGTCTCCTCACTATGGAAGGTGGTAGGGTGAATACCATGAAACCACGTGCTGCTTTCTTTTTTACTACTGGCAGAGTTTCACCCTGGTTGAATGGGTTCAAAGAGAAGGTTTCACTCTAACTGCTGGCCTTACAGACACCTGGAACATCTGAAGCATTATTATTATGGCTGACTTGTTCTGAAGAACTCAGGCTTTTCTCATTTTTAGAAAGTGTAATTTTGTGTACTTGTATGAAGGGAAGAGAAATACTGCCCTCGGAAATGAAAATTCTATCACAGCATCACTGTTAGTTAGATATCATATGTACATTGAGCTGCAGATAATAAAGCAGCCATGTTGAGCCCGCTGTGATGGCTGAAGAGCCTGGTTCTTGGGTTGAAGAGGACAGACACAGGCAAGTTCTCCCCATCATCCTACCTGCGATTAGCCCAGTGGCCTGTTCTAATCTCCCTTTCTAAAATTCAGGCAAATGTTAATTTTCTTCTCAATAGTACTTAGTCAAATTTCTTGCAAATTTGAAATGTCAAATAGAAAACTCCCACAAAGTTGAGCTCGTAAATTAATCATGGCCACAGGAGCTAACCAGCAATGCCACTGGGCTAGACTTCAGCTCCTTTCCTGTGGCTCTAAGGCCTCCAACTCAGTGGCTCCTTTCTCTACTCATTCTCTCTGCTGCTGTTTAGGTCAGGCTCATTCACTCCCAGCTTAGTGTGCTTTTCCCTTGGACAAGATGACAGAAAGTTGACCTGCCATCATAGTGTTTGAGTCCTTCCCAATCATGGGAAACTGGGAACAACTGTGTACACTCTGAGACTGTGTGGTAGAGGTGGAGAGGAGAAGGAAGAGGATAGTTAGGAGAAGTCTGAAGCCTATAGCTTAGAGAGTGTCTTCCTCATGAAAAATTGCACTCACTGGGCAGTGGCATTACAGAAACAGGCTTAATTTGGATTAATCTTTCTGTAAATCTGTATTGAGAATTGTTTCATAAAACAATGTCACCGGTCTTCTCTGTTGTTTGTCTCTCTTTTGTGTAGGTTTAACATAATTATCTTTAGTTTTTCATTCTTAGGTATGATGTTGGTTGTCGATATTGATATTCTTTTTCATGTTAAGGAAACATCTATTACACATTTTTAAAGAGTTCATTTAACTAAAGCAATGGTTTTCATTTGATTGAATTTCTTTTTGACGGCAACCAGTTAAGATGCTTTTATTGTTTTTCTTATTTAATGTAATGGCACTCATACCAACCACACTATTGGGAAGTTTTAAAGGGCTAAATATGTTAAGCTACTAGAATAGTGTCATATAGTGTTAGCTGTTATTATGATACATGATGTGGTATGTTATCTTAATAAATTACAGATAACCCATTCTTACATTCCTGGGATTAAACCCCAAAGCCTCTGTCAACCTGGGCTGCTGACTGATGTGTGTCCCATGGTGGGGAAACTCTAAACATTGTCAACAACTTTTTTTCCCCCAGGGGTTCCATGTTTTCCTTTGGGATTATAATTGTGTGAAAGCCGGCATTAACTTCCCTCTCTCCCAGAAAACACTGGTAATAAGAGATCTGCAAGTGCTTACAAATTGAACAGAAGTGGTCTCACCTGCTGTTGGTCAGATTATTTTGAATGGCCAACAGAGTGTTGTAATCACAAAAATGTGGAAATGAGAGGTGGATTTGTTCAGAGGCAATTCACCTTGGTGTTTTTACACATCTTATGACAGCTTTAGTTCCAGACTATCTTTTCCAGGATGTTTGTATAGAGCACAGAGGCTTGGGAGCTAGAGATGGTATCTCTCTCCAGGTCAGACAGTAGATTTGTTTCTTGAAAAAGATAATATAGTTTCTCTCTGTGGAGCAAAGTTTGGGCAGGTTTGCTTGCAGCCACTTAAAAGATGGGAAGTTTCCTAAGCTCAGGGTTCCTCATCTGGGATGGGACATGGATGTGTGTGCAGGATCTGCCCAGGCCTGTTCTGTGTCGTTCCCTTCCCTGATGGGACTTAGGGACAAAGGGACATATAGAGAACACGGAGCTTGTGCTGCATGCTCTGCCATGAGTAAAAATGGTCCAAATCAGTTTGGGCTTGTTGTTTCCTTTCCAACTAAATTTTGAAAGGGCAGCAAGTCAGCTTAGCACCTATGCTGTTGCTTAGAGATTGCTTAAGCCCTTGACAAGAGTTACACAAATGACGCTATAGCAAAATAGTCAAAGCAAAGTACTGCATGTGAACAGGCAATTAACTCAGGGGAAATCTAACTAAAAACATATGGAAAGTTTCTTGATTTTAGTGAGACATGCAAAATAAAGATACTCTTTATTAAACATGTATCAAAAATAAGGTACTCTTTTTTACTTATCAAATTGACTGAATTTAAAAACATATTTAACATTTGGTGCTGGTGAGAAAATGAATATAGTTACCTCATACAATGCTTTCAAGAGAGTGAATTCTTACTGTATTAATTTTCTATTGCTGTGTAACATTTGAATCTCTGAATTCTTTTTCTGGGATCAGCTGGAGAAAACGCTCTGCTTTTAAAGGGCTCATGTGGTTAGGTAAGATCCACCTGGATAATGTCCCTATAGTAAGGTAATAGAATCAGGGAATCTATCACATCCACAGTTTTGGGGATTGTGCAGGGTGTGTACACAGTGGGAAGAGGGGGACATCTTAGAATTCTGCTTACCGTGGTTACTACAATCTTGGAAAGTAATCTGGCAATATCTTTTGCAATTATACATCCATATACATTTTGATTCTGCAACCCAGCTTTTAGAACTCCATTTTTATAGAAGTACAGCAACATATAAGAATAAAAGTTCAAAAATGTTGTCTGCATTGTTTGTAAAGACCTCAAAAGGAGAATGCTTGAATAAATTATGAAATATCAAGGGCATTCTTATTGTAAATAACTTCGATCTTTATTGATTTGTACACTGACAAATGCAAGTTGTTGAGCAATATGTGTTTAACAATATGATTCTATTTTGAAAAGAAAAATACAGAAACTATATGTATATACAGAGTGTGTGTGTGTGTGTGTGTGTGTGTGTGTATGAACATGGAGAAGCAGGGACACCAACCTGTTAATTAGATTGCCTCATGGGCTAGAAATGGAAAGAGTTAGATGGGGTGGTGAATGGGGAGACTACTAGGAACTTTATCTTGACACATCTCTGCACTATTTCACTTGCTATAAGTAATATCTCACTTTTGTAATTAGAAATAATAAATATTATAGAAAGCTAAACAAAATGCATATCTCTTATAGAAAGTTTGCAAAATACAGTCAAGCCTAATGAAGCAAATACAATTATCCATAATCCAAACATCCAGCCACACTTCCTTTTAATAGTTTGCTATATTCTATGCACATACATCCAAAAATTCAAAATGCTAATATTACTTTGAATCTTGATCTTTTTCATGTGAATATATTACAGATGAAAGTCTATCTTCATCCTAGGATTATGTACATAGTTATGAATATTTTCTTCCATGGCTATTATGGTCTAATTTTAAATATTTAAATGTGTAATTCCTCTGAAATTTATTTTGGTGTACGGTGCTTAATGACGATCTAATCATCTACATTTTTTTCCCAACTGGTTAACTATTATCTCAATAACACTTATCAAATAGCCATCCTCATTGATTAGAAATGCCACTTGTATTATACTAAATTCTTATAAAAAGGGTCTTTGAAAAGTTCATAGAAAATGTAGAATATAAAGAAAACTATTTCAAAAATTTTTTGCACCACAATAAACTTATAATAACTTGTGATAAAATATCTGAACAAGATCTAGCTTGAGGCACTAGGAAGAATAAGACATCAGTTTGAAGAAAGTCCGTATCAGGAGCAACACGAATTCTGCTAAAATTGAAGCAAGAACAAACATCAAATTTATGGTGAAGCTTGATTGGAAGAATGGTGAAACCATCAATCCTTTGTGATAAATTTATAGAGACAATGCCCCAAAGAAATCAGTAGTTTACAAATGGATAACTTATTTTAAGAAAGGACAAGATGATATTGAATATGAAGCCCACCGTGGCAGACCATCCACATCAATTTGCAAGGAAAAAATTCATTTTGTTTGTGCCCTAATTGAGGAAGACTGATGATTCACAGAAGAAATAATAGCCTCACATATGTCTTAACTGATTCCGCTTACACAGTTCTGACTGAAAATTAAAGCTGAGCAACTTCTCACTCAATGGGTTCCAAAATAATTGTTCCCAAATCAGCTGCAGAAAAGAGCAGAGCTTTCAATGGGAATTTTAAATGAATGAGATCAAGACCTTGAGACATTTCTTTGAAGCACTGTAATAGGAGATGAAACACAGTTTTACCAGTGGGACCCTGAAGACAAAGCCCGATCAAAGCAATGGCTTTCGAGAAGTGGAAGTGGTCCAGTTTGCAGACAGGGCAAGAGCAAAGGTCGTGGCAACATTTTTGGGGAACACTCAGGGTATTTTGCTTGTTGACTTTCTGGAAGGCCAAAGAACAATAACATCTGCTTATTACAAGAATGTTTTGAGAAAGTAGCCAAAACTTGAACAGAAAAACAAACAGGAAAGCTTCACTAGAGAGTCCTTTTTCACCATGACAATGTTCCTGTTCCTTCCTCTCATCAAACAAGGACAATTTCATGAATTTCGATGGGAAACGATTAGGTATCCATCTTGCAGTCCTGATTTGGCTCCTTCTGACTTCTTTTTGTTTCCTAATCTTAAAAAAAATCTCTAATGGGCATGCAATTTTTTCCAGCTAATAATGTAAAAAAAGACTACATTGACATGGTTAAATTCTCAGAATCTGTTTTTTTTATTATTATACTTTAAGTTCTAGGGTACATGTGCACAGCATGCAGATTTGTTACATACATATACATGTGCCATGTTGGTGTGCTGCACCCATTAACTTGTCATTTACATTAGGTATTTCTCCTAATGCTCTCTGCACCCCCCACCACCCCACGACAGGCCCCAGTGTGTGATGTTCCCCACCCTGTGTCCAAGTGTTCTCATTGTTCAATTCCCACCTATGAGTGAGAATATTTGGTGTTTGGTTTTCTGTCCTTGTGATAGTTTGCTCAGAATGATGGTTTCCAGCTTCATCTGTGCTCCTACAAAGGACATGAACTCATACATTTTATGGATGCATGGTATTCCATGGTGTGTATGTGCCACATTTTCTTAATCCAGTCCACCATTGATGGACATTTGGGTAGGTTCCAAGTCTTTGCTATTGCGAATAGTGCCGCAATAAACATATGTGTGCATGTGTCTTTATAGTAGCATGATTTATAATCCTTTGGGTATATACCCAGTAATGGGATGGCTGGGTCAACTGGTATTTCTAGTTCTAGATCCTTGAGGAATCGCCACACTGTCTTCCACAATGGTTGAACTAGTTTACACTCCCACCAACAGTGTAAGAGCATTCCTAATTCTCCACATCCTCTCCAGCACCTGTTGTTTCCTGTCTTTTTAATGATCGCCATTCTAACTGGTGTGAGATGGTATCTCATTGTGGTTTTGATTTGCATTTCTCTGATGGCCAGTGATGATGAGCATTTTTTCATGTGTCTGTTGGCTGCATAAATGTCTTCGTTTGAGAAGTGTCTGTTTATATCCTTTGCCTACTTTTTGATGGGGTTGTTTGATTTTTTCTTGTAAATTTGTTTAAGTTCTTTGTAGATTCTGGATATTAGCCCTTTGTCAGCTGATCTTTGACAAACCTGACAAAAACAAGAAATGGGGAAAGGATCCCCTATTTAATAAATGGTACTGGGAAAACTGCCTAGCCATATGTAGAAAGCTGAAACGGGATCCCTTCATTTCACCTTGTACAAAAATTCTTTCAAGATGGATTAAAGACTTAAATGTTAGACCTAAAACCATAAAAACCCTAGAAGAAAACCTAGGCAATACCATTCAGGACATAGGCATGGGCAAGAATGACTTCATGACTAAAACACCAAAAGCAATGGCAACAAAAGCCAAAATAAACAAATGGGATCTAATTAAACTAAAGAGCTTCTGCACAGCAAAAGAAACTAGCATCAGAGTGAACAGGCAACCTACAGAATGGTAGAAAATTTTTAGAATCTCAGTTCTTTAAGGATGGACTAAATAGTTGGTATCATCACTTACAAAAGTGGCTTAAACTCGATGCAGCTTACGTTGAGAAATAAAGTTTATATTTTATATTTTTATTCCATTTTCTCATGAACTTTCAAAAGTACTCTCATATATATTTCCAAAGATTCAGTTCTACTCCATTGGTATGTATTTCTGAAAATTTGGTTCTACTGCATTGGTCAGATTATGACTCTAGTGCCACCTCATTAAAAAATGTACTATAGCTTTATAATATGCATTCACATCTGGTTGGGAAATCTCCCTGCTACTGTTGTATTTCTAATAGTTTTTGCTTTTTGCTTCCTTTTCTTTAGGCTTAGCTCCCTTGTTGCTTGTTTGCTTTAACCACAAGTCTATATAATTCTGCTCCTTCACAGCCCAACATAATTGGGAAAAAATGTACCACCATGCTGAGTGTCTGACTTTAAATTTATGATTACTCATCTTAAGTATTATGCTCCCCAATAATAGTCCATATTTCCCTATACTATTTACTCTCTCACTCTTCTAGATGATCATTTTGTACCATCTCTTTTCTCTTCAAATCTTTCGTTCCCAATCCTCACCCTCAGTTGTAACCCCTGCTTCCTCCTCAACCTTCTGCTTACTAAGCATTTGAGAGCCCCAGGGTCCTCTTCACTTTTCTATGTACAGTCATTGCCTAGGTGAGCTAATCCAAGCTCATGACTTTAAGTGGCACCTTTACACTAGCAATTCCCAAACTTACAGTCCCAGCCTCGACCTCTCCCTTTAACATCAGTGTCTAGCTGCTACTCATCTTTACTTTGAAGTATAACAGATATGTGAAACTTATAAGTTCCAAATTGAACTTCTAAATGTTTTCCCCCAAATCTGCTCCTCTCATGGTCTTCCCCATTTTAGTATAGGGCAACTCTATTTTTCCAGTGCCTCAAGTCAAAAGACAATTGAGATTGTTCTTGACTTTGCTCTTTCTTGCTTACCACACACCTGCTCTGTTAGCAAATTCTATCACATCTGCTTTCAGAGTATTCTCACAGTCTGACCCCTTCTTAGCATTCCTGCAACCTTCCAGGCTGGAGGCATCATTATCCTTATTGCAATAGCCTCTTGGCTGGTTTCCCTGCTTCTTCCCATCACAGCCCTTCCAATGTGCTCTCAGCAAGTGGCTGCAGTGATAATGTTAAAACATGAATCAAATCATGTCATCTCTTTACTGAACCCCAAAACAGTTGTCCTCTTTTATCTAAACTTTCTGTAGTTTCAGTTACCAGTGGTCAACCATGGCCTGAAAATATTAAATGAAAAATTGCACAAATAAACAATTCATAAGTTTTAAATTTCCACTGCTCTGAGTAGCATGATGAAATATTTCACCATCCCACCCAGGACATTAATCATCCCTTTGTCCAGTGTGTCTATGCTGTCCATGCTACCCGCCTGTTAGTCACTTCATAGCCATCCGGCTTATCAGATCAACTATTGTGGTATTGCAGGGCTTGTATTCAAGGAATCCTTATTTTACTTAATAATGGCCCCAAAGCATGCAAAAATAGTGATGCTGGAAATCTAATTATGCAAATGGAAGCTGTAAAGTGCTTCTTTTAAGTGAAAACGTGGAAGTTCTCAGCTTAATAAGGAAAGAAAAAAATTGTATGTTGAGGTTGCTAACACCTATGGTAAGAAAGAATCTCTTATCTGTGAAACTGTGAAGAAGTAAAAAGAATTTCATGCATTGTATACATAGGGTTTATCTATATAAACTATCTGTGGTTTCAGGTATCCACTAGGGGTCTTGAAAAGTATCTTCCTTGGAAGATTGCATTCTGCCATTCTTATTTCATCTACCCCTCTATCTACTCCCTAGACCCTCTTGATTATTACTTTCAATAGAGCTTTTAGAAATTACATTTTGCATTATAAATTATAAATACATGTAAATATTAATTCATTCCACCTTAGTAAGTCACGTGCACATAATGTCTTTTGATAAAAATAGACTATAATGAGGAGAGTAAACGTTGTACTCTATCTGAACTGCATCATTGAGGACATGAAAAATGACTTCGTCACATTTTTTGAGGTTATGTATTTACAACTGTGGTCTTTATCAGCACCACTTAAGATTTCAAATATGGTAGGTGCATAATATCATTTTGCTATATTCCTTTTTGTCCCTAATAATGTCATTATGTCTGGGTCTACTTTATCTGATAGTAGTATAGTCATTTCTGCTTTTATTGATTATGCATGATATATCTTTCCCCATCCTTTTACTTTCATCCAACCTATGTCATGTTTGAAGTGAGTTTCATGTAGACAGTATATAGCTGGATTGAGTTTTAAAAATCTACTTTGCCAATCTCTTTCAGTTTGTGTAAGTCTGACATTTTATTATTTGTTTTCTGTCCATTCCCTCTGTTTCTTGTTTTTCTTCATTTCTTGGCTTCCTTTGGGTAACTTACACATTTTTTAAGAGTTTCATTTGTATTTATTTATAACATCTTTGATTATATCACTTTGTGTAGTTTTCTTAGTGGTTGCTCTAGGTATTTCTGTGTATATACATAACTTACCTTAGCCTACGGGTGTTGCTGTTTTACCACTGTTAGTGGTAACCTAAGTTTAGAAACCCTATTTCCATTTCAGGTCTCTTTAGCTTCTTCTGCTTCTAGATATAATTGTCTTAAATATTTCCTTTACATATATTGAGCATCACATCAGATGGTATTAGAAGTTTTACATCAACTATGAAATATGATTAATGAACCTCATGAAGTGAAAGATGGTCTATTATATTTGCTGCTGTTTTTTCTCCTTCAGTTGCCCTTCTTTTCTGTCTGAAGGCCCCAGCCTTCTCCTGTTACCATTTTTGCTCTGTTTGGAGAGTTTGTAAGCTCTTTAAGTGTAGGTCTACTAGAAACAAATTCTCTTGATTTCCCTTAATCTGAGGATGTCTTTGTTTCTCCTTTGTCCTTGAAAGATAGCTTTGTCAGGTGCAGGATTCAGAGTTAACAGTGTTTTCTCTAAGTACTTGAGAAATCGTTCACCAAATTTTTTTGTGACCTCTATGGTTTCATATGAGAAATCTGCTGTCATTTGCTTTGGTGTTCCTTTACAGGAATACTTCCTCTCCTTCTCTTTCCTCTCCTCTCCTCTGCTCTCCTCTCCTCTCCTCTCATCTCCTCACTTCTCCTCTCCTCTGCTCTCCTTTCCTTTCCTCTCCTCTCCTTTCTTGTTTCCCTCCATCCACCTCCTCTCCGGAAATTAGTTTCTATTGTACTGGCAATCTGATGAAGGACTGACTAGTGAGTAATCCTGGAAGCAAATCCTCCAGCCTTAATCAAACCTTCAAATGACTGTAGCCCTGGCTGACAGCTTAACTGTAATCTCCCAGGAGACTTTGAGCCAGAACCACCTAGATCATTCATGACCCACAGAAACCACGAACTAATAAATTCTTGTTTTAAACCACTGAGTTTTGTAGTAATTTATTATGCAGGGTAAGATGACTAATGCAAAAATCCCATTAATTAGATCAATGTCCCACAATGGGTAATTACTATCACACATACAATAGAGCAGATATTTCATTTTTATGATTGGATAGACCTACTGGTATGCAAATTGGGAATCAGCATTTATAATATGTGCTGCATATATTTGAGGGAAAAGTGCACAATGGCCTTTTGTTTTGTTCATCACTGAAATCCCACATTATAGGAGAAAATATGTTTTGTTTAGTTGCTGATGATCTCATGAACTTCAATATAGCCTGGCAAAGGTATGTTGGGGCTCATAATTCCAGGATACTCACTATGTTTGCAGAAAGAATGGGTGTTACTCTGCTAAAGGAGGTTAAGCCCAAGCTCTATTTCACCTTATTTTTTAAAGGAGAATAGTTGATTAATAATACATCTTTCGATCTTAATTTATGATTAAAGGAAATAGTGAGACTTGTGGATACAATCAGGTAACAGTCACTGGCTATGCATCTTTTCAGTGCTGTGTAAGTTAATGGAAAGCATATGAGTATAAGACTGTCTTTTCCACATTGAGAACACTAGATGTCAAGAGGAAAGTTGCTCCTACGAGTTTTAAAAATAACAGCTGGGTTAAAAAGATTTCTTCATGACACCGTGATACTGAGAATGATGATAATAACCATTCAAACAATTTCATATAGTTAGAACTTCCAGTAAGTAGTTCCTGGATCCCCCAAATTTGAGTAAACACTTACCTGACACATGGAAGACATTAAATGACAGTTATCATTTTATTATTTTTTGGATATGTATTATTTTTTGAGTGCTCCCTAAACGTTTGACACTGTAATAAACACGAGGAATATAAAAATAAATGTGACCATCAAGGAGTCTAGAAAAGGGAGAAAGGCACATACACTAATCATGTGAATGCCAGACAGACATTGCTATGCTGGAGGAATTCACAGAGAACATGAAGAAAGGCATCTAGCTCAATTTGGATGGGTGGCTAGAAAGGCTTCCTGTAGGAACAATATTTGAGAAGAATCTTAAGGGAATAGTGACAATAGAGTACGTAATTTGTTGGGGGCTGATTCATGACACATTTCTATATATTTTAGAAGCCAGAAAAGCAGGTGTTCATCCTATTTTGAGGTGCTCAACCAGGACTCTCACTTGGTGGGAGGCTATCCCATTTCTCTACAGAGTTGGGCTGTATTTTCGTGGTGTAGTATATATATATATGCATACCCTTCTTGCAGTAATTTGCCTTGTTTTCTCAAACTGTATGTTTGCAAAAGCTGTTTCTACTCTCTTTGATATTCTTTACTCATCATCCATTGAACTCATTCACACCCAGCCTTCAAATACATACTCATCCTTCACATTCTTTCTTTAGAAGTATTTCCCACTACCCTAGGTTGAATTGGTTATTATCTCTCCATCCTTCTTACTCTTGCACACTCTTTACATTCATTAATGATTATCTTTGTGCATGTGATCCGGGATAGTTTTAACTTTTGGAAGACAGGACATATGTCCTATTGTGATGGTTTCATTATTATTCTAGTCAGGTTAAGCACTTATATATCACTCCATAAGCATTAAGGAGTTAAAGTTTAGAGGAAAAGAGTTTTATGATTAGATTTGCCATCTAGAAATATGACTTTTGCAATAGGGAGGATACAATATCGGAGGAAGCATTAGAGACAGAAAGGCTAGTTAGAAGGCTATTACCACTAACGCAAATTAAAATAATGAATGGGAATAAACAAAACAAACTAGAAAATTTAGTGGGAAAGAATATCATTCCCAGTCGAATTGAAATGAATAGAGATGCAGAAGGGAGTCATGTGGTTGGATTTCAGCTGTCCTTTGAAGAGTGGAAAGGATTTGCATAGACAGAGTGTGTGGGTGAAATCATTCAGGTAGGAAGAAGAAAATATGGGCATATATGGAAATGATTGCTGAAGGGACCAAAAAAGTAACTTTTCTCTAAAAGTTACTGTTCACTTATACAGTCATTGACATAATGTGGGTTTATGCAGGCTCTCCATTTGCTGTTTTATATATGATCATAAAATAGCCCATCAGAAATTAATCTGGCTAATTTCTATTGAGTCTACAGATCGCAGCTAACTTTCCTTCCCGCTGGACCAGCAGTGTATAAGCTGAGTATGCATACCCCAGAGGATAAGTAGAGCCTTTCCTAGGGGTAGTCACAAGTAGTGTCAAGGAAACACGTTTCCAGACCCTCAACTTCCAAACATATTATTTCTTAAAATTAACTCATGATATTCCACTGCCCGGCTATAGGAATATTCTGGACTCCTTTCTCAGTCCACTTTCATAATTGGTCTCTTTGTCCTTTATAAAATAAATTCACATCTCTCACTCATCTTGAATCTTACTATGCTACATTGGGGAGTAAAAACTTCTGCGGGGTCTAAAAGAAGGGACCATTTGAAATATTGGTATTAGAGAAGTCTCCTCTGGTCAAGCCTTCTTAAGGTTTTTTGTTTGTTTTATTTTCTTTGCTTTACACATATTTCCATCAAAAGCAAAGCATGCCATAGAAATGAGGTATTTTGCCTTGTGTTGTGATGGTCTGAATTCAAATTTACTGTAGAGTGGGCAGTGGAATAATGATAATTTTCATTCAATAACCTTGTCCTTCTTCCCTTCTCCAACTAATGTCACTGAATGTAGTGTCCCTGAGGGAGAGTCACTTAAGAACAGTAGAATTTTAGAAAGAAACAGGGAGGGAAGTTGGCCTTACTGCATTCAGCAACAAAATTATAGTAAGTTTCAGTACCCGCTCTCTGTCTTTCTCTTTCTCAGAATTATAATTCAGAAGAAGCTGGTTGTTACAGGAATGCATATTAACATTTTGTTAAAATTGAATAATGTCAGAAAGTTTGTTTGCTTTGCCTGATTGGTTTGGCAATGAAGATTTGCTTTGTTCATTACATTATGTGGCAGACCATTTGCACAAGTAGCCTCTACTAAGTCTGCAGTTTCAAGATTTGGAAGAAAATATACTTGAATGTAAGATTTAGTTAAATATTTCTATATGATGAAATGTTTATATTTTTAAATATAAGAACTCAAGGCCAGGCATGGCGGCTTACACCTGTAATCCCAACACTTTGGGAGGCCAGGAGAATCACTTGGGCCCAGGAGTTTGAGTCCAGCCTGAGCAACATAGAGAGACCACTGTCTCTACAAAAAAAAAAAAAAAAAAAAAAGAAGAAGCCAGATGTGGTGGCATGCACCTGTGGTCCCAGCTACTTGGGAGGCTGAGGTGGGAGGATCTCTGGGGCTCAGGAGGTCAAGAGTGCATTGAGCAGTGATCACTCATGCCATTGTACTTCAGCCTGGGTGACAGAATAATACCCTGTCTCAAAAAAATTCAAAATATTTTTTAAAAATTTTATTTTAAGTTCAGGGGTACATGTGCAGGTTTATTATATAGGTAAATTTGTATCATTGGGGTTTGTTATACAGATTATTTTGTCACCAGGTACTAAGCCTAGTATCCAATAGTTATTTTTTCTGCTCCTCTCCCTCCTCCCACCTTCCACCCTCAAATAGGCCCCAATGTCTTCTGTTCCCTTTTGAAAGAATTTTATGGTGGTTTGCTGTGGTGTGTCACCTAGGTCCTCCCTTCAGGATTTCCCCAGTTGCCTGGAATAGTGGCTGCTCACAGCCTTTTCCTCTCTGGAAATTGCCCTCTGCTGAAGGAAACTTCCCTTCCCAAGGCTATGGCTCTCCTTGGGGTCAGCCTACACTCAGTGGTTAATCCCATGCAGATGGCATAAAGACATCCTTTTGCCTCCATTTTTGGAACATCTCTGAAGGGCCATCTCAGCCCTAGGTCTCAAACTAAAGGAAGTGTTTCTCCATGACAGAGTAACAGCCACAATTACTAATTATTTATTAAGTGTTAGTAAGAGCCTTTTGGATTTACTTCCCAGAAAATGAGAAAGTGAATGATTTTGTAATGTCTGGGTAACAAATTCTTTAGCCAGTTAGGTGGTTTCCAATTTTTTGCTTTCAAAAAAATTGCAGGAGGGTCCAATTGAGTTGTGAGTGATGAATATTAAAAATAATTTGTAGAAATAGCTTATCATCCGATTTCCAGATATAACTCAGAAAGAGACCAAAGAAATTGAGTAAATTGAATTGAGTAATTGAAATAGCGTTATGCCTCCAGCTGTGTTCTTTTTGCTTAGGATTGTCTTGGCTATTTGGGCTATTTTTTGGTTCTATATTATTTTAAAATAATTTTTTCTAATTCTGTGAAGAATGTCAATGGTAGTTTAATGGGAATAGCATTGAATCTATAAATTACTTTAGGCAGTATGGCCATTTCACCATATTGATTCTTCCTATTCATGAGCATGGAATGTTTTTTCATTTGTTTGTGTCCTCTCTTATTTCCTTGAGCAGTGGTTTGTACTTGTCCTTGAAGAGATCTTTCACTTGTTAGCTGTATTCCTATGTATTTTATTCTTTTTGCAGCAATTGTGAGTGGGAGTTCATTCATGATTTGGCTCTTGGCTTGTCTGTTGTTGGTGTATAGGAATGGGTAGTGATTTTTGCACATTGATTTTGTATCCTGAGATGTTGCCGAAGTTGTTTATCAGCTTAAGAATCTTTTGGGGGCTGGGCGTGGTGGCTCACGCCTGTAATCCCAGCACTTTAGGAGGCCGAGACGGGCGGATCATGAGGTCAGGAGATTGAAACTATCCTGGCTAACACGGTGAAACCCTGTCTACTAAAAATACAAAAAATTAGCCAGGCGCGGTGGCAGGCGCCTGTAGTCCCAGCTACTCGGGAGGCTGAGGCAGGAGAATGGCATGAACCTGGGAGGCAGAGCTTGCAGTGAGCCGAGATTGCGCCACTGCACTCCAGCCTGGGCGACAGAGCGAGACTCCATCTCAAAAAAAAAAAAAAAAAAAAAAGAATCTTTTGGGCTGAGATGATTTCTAGATATAGAATCATGTCATCTGCAAACAGAGACAATTTGACTTCCTCTTTTCCTATTTGACTACCTTTATTTCTTTCTCTCGCCTGATTGCCCTGGCCAGAACTTCCAATACTAGGTTGAATAGGAGTGGTGAGAGGAGGCATCCTTGTCTTGTGCCAGTTTTCAAGGGGAATGCTTCCAGTTTTTGTCCATTCAGTATGATATTGGCTGTGGGTGTGTCATAAATAGCTCTTACTATTTTGAGGTATGTTCCATCAACATCTATTTTATTGAGAGTTTTTAACATGAAGGGATGTTGAATTTTAGTGAAAGCCTTTTCTGCATCTATGATGATAATCATGTGGTTTTTGTCATTGGTTCTGTTTATGTGATGGATTGTGTTTATTGATTTGCATATGTTGAACCAGCCTTGTATCCCAGGGATGAAGCTGGCTTGATTGTGGTCGATAAGCTCTTTGATGTACTGCTGGATTTGGTTTGCTGGTATTTTATTGAGGATTTTTGCATCGATGTTCATCAGGGATATTGGCTGAAGTTTTCCTTTTTTGTTGTATCTTTGCCAGGTTTTGGTATCAGGATGATGTTGGTCTTATAAAATGAGTTAGGGAGGAGTCCTTACTTTTCAATTTTTTGAAATAGTTTCAGAAGAAATGGTACCAGCTCCTCTTTGTACCTCTGGTAGAATTCAGCTGTAAATCTGTCTGGTCTTGGGCTTTTTTTTTGGTTGGTAGGTTATTTATTACTGCCTCATTTTCAGAACTTGTTATTGGTCTATTCAGGGATTCAACTTCTTCCTGGTTCAGTCTTGGGAGGATATATGTGTCCAGGAATTTATCCATTTCTTCTAGATTTTCTAGTTTATGTGCATAGAGGTGTTTATAGTATTCCCTAATGGTTGTTTGTATTTCTGTGGGGTCAGTGGTGATATCCTCTTTATCATTTTTTATTATGTCTATATGATTCTTCTTTGTTTTCTTTTTTATTAGTGCAGCTAGCAGTCTATATATTTTATTAAGTTTTTCCAAAAACCAGCTGCTGGTTTCATTGATTTTTTTGAAGGGTTTTTCATGTCTTTATCTCCTTCAGTTTCACTCTGATCTTGGTTATTTCTTTTCTTCTGCTAGCTTTGGGGTTTGTTTGCTCTTCGTTCTTTCATTCTTTTAGAAGTGATGTTAGGAAGTCAATCTGAGATCTTTCTAGCTTTTTGATATGGGCATTTAGTGCTATAAATTTCCCTGTTAACACTACTTTAGCTGTGTCCCAGAGATTTGGTACATTTTCTCTTTGTTCTCACTAGTTTCAAAGAACTTTCTGATTTCTGCCTTAATTTCATTATTTACCCAGGAGTCATTCAGGAGGAGGTTTTTCAATATCTGTGTAGTTGTGTGGTTTCTTAGTCTTGAGTTCTAATTTGATTGCGCTACTTTCTGAGAGACTATTTGTCATAATTTCAGTTCTTCTGGATTTGTTGAGGAGTGTTTTACTTCCAATTATGTGATTGATTTTAGAGTAAGTGCCATGTGGTGCCGAGAAGAAAGTATATTCTGTTGTTCTGGGGTGGAGAGTTCTGTAGCCATCTAACAGGTCCACTTGATTCAGAGCTGAGTTCAAGCCCTGAATATCTTTATTAATTTTCTATCTCAATGATCTGTCTAATATTGACAGTGGGGTGTTAAAGATGCCCATTATTATTGTGTGGGAGTCTAAGTCTCTTTGTAGGTCTCTAACAACTTGTTTTATGAATCTGGGTGCTCCTATATTTGATGCATATATATTTAGGATAGTTAGCACTTCTTGTTTAATTGAATCCTTTACCATTATGTAATGCCCTTCTTTGTCTTTTTTGATCTTAGTTGGTTTAAAGTCTGTTTTGTCAGAAACTGGGATTGTGACCCCTGTTTTTTTGCTTTCCATTTGCTGATAAATATTCGTCCATCCCTTTATTTTGATTCTATGTGTGTCTTTGCATGTGAGATGAGTCTCTTGAATACAGCACACTAATAGGTCTTGATTCTTTATCCAGCTTGCCATTCTATGCCTTTTAATTGGGATATTTAGCCCATTTACATTTAAGGTTAATATTGTTATGTGTGGATTTGATCCTATCATCATGATGCTAGCTGGTTATTTTTCAGCCTTGTTAATGTAGTTTTTTCATAGTGTCATTGGTCTGCCTACTACAGTGTGTTTTTGTAGTGGCTGGTAATGGTTTTTCCTTTCCATATTTGGTGCTTCCTTTAGGAGCTCTTGCAAGGCAGGCCTTGTGATGACAAATTCCCTCAGCATTTGCTTGTCTAAAAAGGATTTTATTTCTCCTTCACTTACAAAGCTTCATTTGGTTGGATAAGAAATTCTGGGTTGGAATTTCTTTTCTTTAATAATGTTGAATATTGGCCCCCAAACACTTCTGGCTTGTAGAGTTTCCACTGAGAGGTCTGCTGTTAGTCTGATGGGATTCTCTTTGTAGGTGACCTGTCCTTTCTCTCTGGCTGCCCTTAACATTTTTTCCTTCATTTTGACCTTGGAGAATCTGACGATTATGTGTCTTGGGGTTGATCTTCTCATGGAGTATCTTAGTGGGGTTCTCTGGATTTCCTGAATTTGAATGTTGGTCTGTCTTGCTAGGTTGGGGAAGTTCTTACGCATGATATCCAGAAGTATGTTTTCCATCTTTGTTCCATTCTCCCTGTCTCTTTCAGGTGCCCCAGTTGTAGGTTTGGTCTTTTTACATAATCCCCTAGTTCTTAGAAGTTTTGTTCATTCCTTTTCATTCTTTTTTCTCTAATCTTATCTGCCTGTCTTATTTCAGCAAGATAGTCTTCAAGCTCTGAGATTCTTTTCTCCGCTTGGTCTATTTGGCTATTGATACTTGTGGTTGTCTTATGAAGTTCTTGTATTGTGTTTTTCAGCTCTGTCAGGTTATTTATGTTTTCTCTAAATTGGTTATTCTGGTTATCATCTCCCATATTGTTTTATCATGAATCTTAGCTTCTTTGCATTGGATGAGAACATGCTCCTTTAGCTCAGTGAAGTTCATCATTACCCATCTTCTGAAGCCTACTTCTGTCAGTTTATGCATCTCAGCCTCATCCCAGTTCTGTGCCCTTGCTGGAGAGGCGTTGTGATCATTTGGAGGAGAAGAGGCACTCTGGCTTTTTGAGCTTTCAGCATTTTTGTATTAACTCTCATCTTTGTGAGCTTATCTACCTTTGATCTTTGAGGCTGGTGACCTTTGGATGGGGTTTTTTTGGGGTCTTTTTTGTTGATGTTGTTGTTGTTGCTTTCTGTTTGTTTTTAACAGTCAAGCCCTTCTTCAATAGGGCTGCTGCAATTTGCTGGGGGTCCACTCCAGACCCTATTCACCTGGGTCCCTCCTGCACCTGGAGGTGTCACCAGTGGAGGCTGCAGAACAGTAAAGATGGTAGCCTGCTTCTTCCTCTGGGAGCTCCATCCCAGAGGAGCACCAGCCTGATGCCAGTGGGAATGCTCCTGTATAAGGTGTCTAGTGACCCCTGTTGGCTGGGGGTCTCACCCAGTTAGGAAGCATAGGATCGGGGACCTGCTTAATGAAGCAGTCTGGCTGCCCCTTGTTGGAGTGGGTGTGCTGTGCTGAGAATTTCCTGGACTCTTCAGAGCCAGCAGGCAGGAAACACTAAGACTGCTGAATGAACCACAGAGACCATGGCTGCTCCTTCCATCAGGGGCTCCATCTCAGGGAGGTCAGAGTTCTGTCCTCTGTCCATAACCCCCTGGCTGGAGTTGCTGAAATTCCTGCAGGGAAACCCTTCCCAGTGAGGAGGGACGGATCTGGGTCCCACCTAAAGAGTCAATCTGACCACAATCTGCCACAGCTGCTGTGCTGCCCTGTGGGGAATTCCTTCCATTCCAAACCATCCAGACTCCCTGGCCCTGGTAGGACAGACTGGAGCCACGGTGACAGCAGCTCCTCTCACCCCGGGAACTCAGTCATCTTAGGCAGTTTCCAAACTGCTGCTGCAGGCCACAACCCAAACAGCTGCTGAGTATCTGCACAACTCTGTGCTTGGGACCCAAGGCCCTGGTGGCATGGGCTCACAAGGGGATCTCCTGATCCGCAGGTTGCATAGATCCATGGAAAATGCATGATTTCCTGGTTGGGGTAGCACAATCACTCACTGTCTCCTTTGGCTGGGGATGAGAGCTCCCCTTGCCCTGTGCTAATCTGCTCTCGGGTGGGCCATTTTTCCACCCTGCTTTTCCTTGCTCTTTGTAGGTCGTGCTAACCACCTAGTTAGTCCCAATGAGAGAACCTGCATACCTCCGTTGAAGGTGCAGACTTCACTTACCATTTTTGTTCTTGGTGGGAGCCTCTGACTGCAGCTGCTTCTAATCAGCTATCTTAGCCCCTCCCCAATCCTGCTTTTTTATTACTGATTCAATGGAAGCCTGCTAGAAGTCTGCTGGAAGCCAAATGGAATTTGGTTGGTCTTTGTCCCTGGTTCCCGGGAGATAACTGCTAACCTCTTGGAATTTCCCAAGTGATATAAGAGTGACTTTATTAATGGTGGGCCCTGATAGTTTACCAAGCTGACTTACTTTGACTCCTGCTAACGAATGACTCAGGATGGGGATGCTGGCCATGGCTGAAAGATCAACCATGAGATTAGAAAGTTGAGGCTTTGAGCCATTGTGATATCAGTCTGACATCTGGAGGGTGGTGCCAGAAATTGAGTTCAACCACATAGGTGTTGATTCCATCAAAGATCCTATGTAATTAAATCCCAATAAAACTCTGGACGTCAAAGCTTGGGTGAGCCTCTCTAGTTGGCAGTTCTCTGTGTACTGTCCTACATGATGTGCCAGGAGGATAATCTACCCTAATTCCATGGGGAAAGGATAATAGAAGCCTCATGTTTGGAACCCTCCCAGATCTTGCCCTCTGCATGTCTCCCTTTGGCCGGTTCTAATTTGTATCTTTTTGCTTTAATAAAACTTTAAAAATAAATATAGTGCTTTTGTGAGTTCTGCAAATTGTGCTAATAAGTTATCTAACCTGACAGGATAGTGGAAACCCTAAAATTTGTAACCCGTTGGTCAGAAGTGAGGGTGGGCTGGGGACCTCTGCACTTGCAGCTGGCGCCTGAAGTGAGGGCAGCCTTGTAAAGGACTGTACCCTTAACTGTGAAGTTTGGCCCAACTCTGGGTAGTTAGTGTCATAAGTCATTGAAATGTCCATTCCTATTTCTGCCTAAGCCTATTAATAAAGTGTTATCTAAATATACCTCTCTCAGTGTAGACACTAAATAGCTAAAGCCACAATGATGCTGTGAATGGGAGTTAATAAAGAGGGACTAGATTAACATCAGAATCCGCATCATACAATATGGAGTCATCAGTGCATAGGTGTTGTTTAAAGCAGTTAGACTGCATTAAGCCTTGGAGATACGAAAGAGTTTCTTTCTTGGATTTCTGAAGTAGAAGCATTGGATAGTGCCTTCTCCCACGTGAGAGGGAGATCTGGGCTCATCTAATCTCATAAGCCACATGGGCAATGAGTTCAACAGTGGAGAAGTGATGAAGAAGGAATAGGCATTCAAGAAGATGACTTTAGTCCCTTTGCTTATCCACCCAAATCTTCAATTTGACCCAATTTCATCTTTAGAATCCATTTATATTTAAACCACAATGGAACTTGTGTTTGAAGAGCTATGAATTCAAGAGTAAGGAATATGTTCAAACATTTCAGTGCCCTTTAGAGGTTAAGTAAGAGGTTAAAGATAGAGCAGGAGGCATGGCCTGGCCACTTCAAGGGTCTTCCCCAATAGATAGGGGAGGTTTCTGGTTTTTGGTTGTTGCAAGTCATGTTTCTAAGATAGAGTAGTAGGATAATGCAGTAAGAGATGGGTAGAAGCCTCATGCTGTCTTCATTCTATCCAAGTTTAACTCTTGCCCCTAAGGCCAGAATCTACATCAGGCTGTGAAAGTTTCTCAGTTTGACTGTCTCTCTTCTACCATTGTTATGGACCGAATTGTGTCCCCTTCCCCCAAATTCATGTGTTGAAGCCCTAGCCCCCAATGTGATGGCTCTTTGGGTATTTTGAGATGGGACTTTTAGGGGTAATTAGGCTTAGGTGAAGTCATGAAGGTGAGGCCTTCATGAGAAATCAGTGCTCTTATAAGAGACACCAGAGCTGTCTCTCTGCCATGTGAGATCACAGCGAGAAGGTGGCCATCTGCAGGCCAGGAAGAGGGCCCTGGAACCAAATCAGCTGACATCTTGATCTGAAACTTCATAGCCCCCAGAACTGTGAGAATAAATTTCTGTTGTTTAAATCACCCAGGCCATGGTATTTTGCTTTAGCAGCCCAAGCAGAGTAAGATAATATTTAATGTTAATTATGCTCAGAATCTGGTGACTATGTTATTAATATTCTATTTTACCATGTTTTTGTTTGTGAACTCCCTCCAGTCTTCATTGATATGTTTATGGACAATTGGGGCAAAATCAGGCATTGCTGTCTTCCTACTATTTAAACCAAGAAGTTCAGCCTTGGTGCGTTTGGCTTAACTTCCTTTATCTTTTCAAGAAATTTTCAAGGAATTGTAAGAACTACCCTCTCTTTTCCACTTCCACCTTTCTCTCTTTCTTTGAATAACACCCAAATAAAAATGATGATGTTATTACAATGGTATCTTGTTAGGACACTAACTGAATCCTGACCTACACCAATCCTCCCCTCATTTAGAGATTCTCTGAGGTCTTGGAGGTGGGGGCACAGATAAAAACAGACAGATTGTGACGATGAAGTAAGACAAAGCAAAGCAAAGAGATGGTTATTTCTTAGTTATAAGGTTAGCTCCTAAGCCTAATGCAGAACTCTAAAAAGTTTCAGTGGATCTTGTGAAGAACTCCCTTTTGCTGTGCTAGTATGTGTCTAACTAGTCAACAGTGTAAACTGTCTATTTTTGTTTCACAAACAAAAACCCACATGCAGATCATACCCTCTTTTCCACTCTGTTTGCTAAGAATAAGGGAACCCAAAAGAGGCCACACCCACATTATAACGATTGTTAACTTGGCAATGTGGTAACATTTAATACCAAATAGCCAATACAATCCTAAACTTAAACCTAAATAATACTTCTCCATAGGGACTGGAAAGAAAGGAGATGGGGAGAAGGAGCCTTGAGCTCCCCCTAGAGGTCAGCAATTACAGTCCCATAAATTAGGTTTGATATTATAAACTGACTTTTGCTTTCTTATATAATTAAATTTTCCTTCACCAATCGTCCTGCCAAAGTCTGTTCAGAACTTTAGGGAGCATTAAAGTAATTAGATAAAAAGGAAGCATAAGTAAAGCACACAGCCTAAAAAAGGCACAAAGACACATGCTGTAATTGTACACACATTCTTTTTGACCCTTGTTACAAGCAGCCTGGTAGGGGCATGAGCGTTGAGGTTTTTGCCTATCTCAATTAGCCACTTCAGTTAGAAATGACCACACAGGTTACTTGAAAAAGAGAAAGACTAGTTTTACCCCCTTTCCCCAGCAACTTCTCAGACCACTAATTCAGAATCTCTAAGGGTGGGACTCAGTGTTTTTAAAAAAACTTCTAAGGTGTCTTTAATGTGCAGCCAAGTTTGAGAACCAGTGCACTGTGGGCAAAGATTTGTTCTTCAAACCTAGCTTCTTCCTTCTGAGCCCCATGTCTTTTCTCTTTTTATAATTTATGATTCCATTTTCTATGATTCCATTTTGTTGCAGGCAGTTCCTCTTTGATCTCTTTTATATTTTAATTTTGTCAATCTTATTTTCTTCACCACTTTCAGTCTCTGTTCAAAAGATGCTTCTAATTTGCAATTATTAACAATAAGCCTAAGATAGTCTAGGTTTACCCCCATCACCCTTGATCTGGTGATTCCTACTCTTCCAGGAGCCTGGACCTTGTTTATGAGAAATAGGTATTAAAAAATTATAGAAGGTCATTTTTTAGACTGAACTTTTACTAAGTCCCAACAGGTGAGAACAAGCCAAAATGGAGTCACTTTGCTAAACGCCACATAGTGAAACTGAAACTTTAAGGGAGCAGACAGAACCCAAAACAGACCATTTTATCCTGAAAACAGGAGATTCCAGTCTACTGGAGTCAGTTGAATAAGGAAGTCCCTTCTGCTTTAACTCTTAGAAAAAAAAAGTGAACTGAAGCAGCCTGATATTAATAATCAGCCATTTTTTTCCCTACTATTTTGTTTCCTTGTTCCCACCTTACAAAACCCACTGTATGCCATTGCCTAGTGGGAACTCATATTCTATTTTATAGAATGGAGGCTGACCTGATTAATGAATTGTGAATAAAAACAAGTTAGATTTATAACTAAATTTGTTGTAACTTAGTCTTTGACAAAGGTAAAGATCTCTATCAGGCACAAAGGCCTCAACTAAAGAGTTTGAGTCTTAAGACTTTTCCTGAATTCATCACACTTTGACTGATGGCTACCTTTGCATTGTATTAATTTGTTCAAATTGCTCCCCTTAGAACTCGATTTTTAAATAGAACATCAAAGAGTTTAAGATCTTATACACAAATTCATCCAACCATAACCCTAAATTCAATAGTAGACCTAATGCCTCCATCTCTCCACTTCTGTAACTGTCCTGGAATGTCTTTCAGAAAGCTGGGAAGATAGACTGCTGGCTGCATATTGACTTCTTATCTACTGCATACACGTCCTACAACTAATATTTAGACATGACTAAAGAGAGACAGGGTAACTTTGAAATTTCTAATAGAAAAAAACTCATCTCACTTTAATTTATATGCTTGGTTCAATTTTAGCAGGAAAACCCCACAACGTCAGAGGAGCTTATCCAGCTACCTTCACAGCATTATGTAGTATTCTCTGTCCACAATCCCCATACCAGAGTAGGGCAGAAACTAGACGTTCATATGTCTTGGCTTTATCCCTCTAACCCATAGCTCAGTTCTCTCTTTGTTACCAGGCAAGAATCAAATGAGAAAACAGTTGCCAGGTCCTGATGTTTTTGCCTCAATTTGTCTGTGTTATTAAGGTTGAATTGCAAGGCCTATGTCTTCTTCATTACTCCCCTTCTCCAACTCCCAACTTTACTTTTTTGAATACTCACACTCTTACCAAGTATCTAGGAGAACCCTTTGCCAGCACGGCATGGGGCAGAGTCACTGGTCTACTATGGATCCTGTTCCTCTAGCTTCTGCCGGCTTTCTTCTTTGCCATATGCCTTTTGTATTCTATTCTAAGTTCGTTCACTTATGTTTGAGGATTCTTACTTTTGACCTCCCTCCCAGATAAATGGGGATACTAGAGCTGAGCTCTTGTGGTTGGAATGGTTATGACTAATATACAAGTATAGGGCTTGAAGAAAAAAAAGCCTGATAGCTGAAAACTGCAGAAGAGTTGCCTATGAGAGAAGGTCTAAAATATCAAGTCCAGATAAACAGGGGAAAAGCAAGACATTGACCAAAATTGAAGGGTCAGCCAAAAATTCTGGTAAGACAGAGTGAATGGATTTAAGAGAAAAAACCTGAAAATATTCCTAAATGCAAGGAAGTACAGGGGATGGGAATCTTTTATAGTTTGACCATGGCTGAGCCCATGGAAGGGAGGCATGTAAGATTTCAAGGAAGTTCTGAAACTTATCCTGCTAGAAGGAAGCTTGTAATCATTTCATCTGCAAACTCTTAAATACATCGTAAGTATAATTTTCACCAGAAATTTCTATGGAAGTTTTCTATTACCAGGGTGTTCTGTGAAAAGTCTGCTGCAGTTCCTTGTTCATTTGGGGAAATTTCTCTTGCTCTCACTCCTGATCAGTGCTCCCCCTGATGTCTGAGTTGCTGCTTTCTATCAGCCTTCAGCATGGGTTCTTCACAGTTATGAACCACACATCCTACTTTGGTGGGAACAGTTGTTCCCTAATTGTAGTCCAAGCCAACCTGCAGTAAATATAGACATTGAGAAATTTCCTATGCAAGGCAAGTAAACGTTCTTCCAACCTAGATTCAGGGCAGAAGTGCAGTGAGTATGTAACCATTTAATATCTAGTATTGCACAGATAATTATCTCAAAGGAAGAGAAAAATGGTGGAAAGGCTCCTTAAGGAATTCCCTATATTTAATTTCAGCAAATAATTATGTATTTTAATAATTTCAACAATCAGAGCTTCACATCTCTGATTAGATTTGTATGAAGATTATATGAAGCTATATCAAGAGATCCAAAATTAAGCTGTTAAGCGTTCTTCCAACATAATTATTGAAAATTGGACTTACCTTGTAAGATAGACTTTCTGGAAGACTTTATTTTTTCCCTCCCTCCTTTCTTTTCTATTTTTCTTTCTATCATGAGAGTTGAGGACTGGAACTATTATAAAAAGTGGAAGAATCAGTATTTTGACAGTATTATCTATTAACATAAAACATTTGATCTAGTTAGCCAACTAAAACCATCTATTAACATAAAACATTTGATCTAGTTAGCCAACTAAAACCATCTATTAACATAAAACATTTGATCTAGTTAGCCAACTAAAACCTGCCTAAAATTCAAGCCACACAATAACAGGGCATTTACCTTATTTTCCAATCATAATTCTCTGTCTTCTAGAAAGGACTTCAACAAAGGACACGTTCCTGTGTTTCTTTCCAGGGAAAATAGGTTGCCATATAGGGTAGGCACAAATCCTTATAATGGCAATTGACACAGGGGCCTTAGTCTTAAGCATTGACTCCTCCACAGTAGTGTCATTGTAAAAACCACAAAAATGATCACAATAACCATAAGAACTAACACTTATTGACAATTTCCCAGGTACTCTGCTGTGTCCTTTATATGTATTTTCCCTTTTAATCCTTAGAATACCTCTATGGGATAGAAACTGTTACCATCCCTATTGTACATATAAGGAAAATAACACTTAGATTAAATAACTATTGCAAGGTCACACAGCTGCAAGGGCTAGAACTGGGACTGAAACCATGTCTTCCTCACATACCCTCCCCCTGGCCCCTTTCAGACATCTTGAGGGCCCACCTTGGTCAGCCCTTCCCACATGTGAGATTGCCTCATCTATTCACCAAATAGGTATTGAGTACTATGTGCTAGGCACTGTCATAGAAAATGGGGGTTCAATAATGAACAAGATCAGTCTCTGCTATCAAGGGGCTCAAAGATTAATTCAATTTCCCTTCAATTTTTTCTGTAACAAGATTTCTTTTCAGATTTCTTTCTTGGGCAATTAACAAGAAGTGAAAATTTAGATGCCTGTACAGAACCTGCAGTTAAATGGTGTGAAGTATGCCAGGCAAAGGTAGAATTCTGGGAGCAAAGCTGTTTTTATTTTGACCAAATGCACACATCTGCCTAGTTTTTGCCATATTAAACACCTGGCGGCTTTATAGTATCTATGGACTGTATTTGTGCCTTCATTTTCAAACGTTTCCAAACCTAAGTGTTCATCAGAATCACCTGTAGGGCTTAAGACAGACTGCTTAGCCCCATCCCCAGTTTCTGATTCAATAGGTCTTAGGTGGGGCCTCAGAATTTGCATATCTAACAAGTTCCCAGGTGACATGGATGGTGCTGATGTGGGGACTACATTTTGAGAAACATTGTCAGGCCACCTATGCATAATTTTAGTCTTCCTATTATATTAGTTATATTATTTCTGGTGAGATTCCTAAGGAGTTTAGTCTCTCAATAGACATTTGATCTTAAAAGCCCCAGATCTCATACTACTTCTCTCCCTTCAATCCTCCAAAAAATATTTATTGAGATCTGTGTTAAGAAACTGGAGAGGCCGGGCGCGGTGGCTCACGCCTGTAATCCCAGCACTTTGGGAGGCCGAGGTGGGCGGATCACGAGGTCAGAAGATCGAGACCATCCTGGCTAACATGGTGAAACCCCGTCTCTACTAAAAATACAAAAACTTAGCCGGGCGTGGTGGCAGTCGCCTGTAGTCCCAGCTACTCGGGAGGCTGAGGCAGGAGAATGGCGTGAACCCGGGAGGCGGAGCTTGCAGTGAGCCAAGATGGCGCCACTGCACTCCAGCCCGGGTGACAGAGCGAGACTCCGTCTCAAAAAAAAAAAAAACAAAAAAACAAAAAATGAAACTGGAGATACTGAAATGAATAAGACAGTATGGCTGGTAGCTTTGTACATATAAGACATGATTTTCTGTCTCTTAACCTCTATTTCTATATTCTCTTTCAGTATAATCTGTTCAATTTATTGAAATTTGTTTCAGGGTGATGAGCTAAATTATAAGTTAAACTAAGAATTCACCTACATTTTATTAATGTGTTAAATGGTAAAATTAATGAAAACCTTTAAAAGTTTTCATAGAACAAATAAAAATAAACAAGTAGATTAAAATAAAGATCTCAATTTAGTCACTAGATGCCGTATATATAGGATAGTTAGCTATCGAATGGCTTCTCAGGTGCACTGACGAACAGGGAGTATGCTCAGCACTAAATTTTCTTTGGAAAAGTACACATTTGAAGATTTAAGAGGTTCAGGAACTTTTTTTTTTATTTTAAGTTCAGAGGTACATTTGCAGAATGTGCAGGTTTGTTACATAGGTAAACATGTGCCATGGGGGGAAATAGAACATATTATTCTTATGAGTTATCAGTATGACTACCATCGATACTGCCAGTATCACCCAATATTTATTAAGTGTTGACTGTGTGTCAAGAACTATGGTTCGTGTTAATGATGCATTATCTCTTCCTGCTCACGAACTCTGTGAAGCAGGTACTATTATTATCTCCATTTTTACTAAGGCTTTAGGCAGATTTAATACTAAGTGTTGGTACTGAGTGTAGTCTTGCTGCTAAAGGCAGGAAGCTGTGGTGTCCTGGCACATGAACTGTTAATATACTGTGTGCTTGGGAATTAGGTAGACTTAGGCTATTTTCCAGAAGTCATGAGTGCCCTGCCCAGGTCCACCCACTGACTTCACAGCCCAGCTGAGTTTTGCCCTTTTCTTGTGTCCTCCCACCCTGTGGTGTACTGGGTGTGGCACTGCTAAAAGAATGACATCACAAGGAACAGAACACTTAGCTCTACCAGAGTGTAGCTTTCTAAGAGACACTAAGAGTATAGCTTTCCCTTGCTATGATATTGTAGAAATTGAATGGACAGTTTTATTTTTGGATAGTTCCCTCAAGCTTGCATTTTGTTAATATGAGAGATGTCCTCAGAGACTAACAAAGATCTTTTCCCTGATATCTAGGTCAACTTTTCGGCATTCACAAGTCCTCTTGTTGCTTTAAAATGTATCTCAATTTTGATATGTTCAAAACTGAGCTTACCTCTTTCTGCCTCTGCAAACCTGCTCACTCTCTAGTATTTTCCACCTTGAAGAATGGTCCTGTCATGAATTCAGTTGTCCCAGCCAGAAACTCATCCTTAACTCTGGTCTTCTCCCTATCCCTCCCTTCTACTTAATTAAGTCTTGTCGACTCTACTTCCTAAAAGATCATCCACTGTTTCCCCAACCTGCGTATTTACCTTTCTTACCTTCTTTCCTTTAGTTGGCTACTCATTCATCTTTTATTCATGTTGTTGTCAAAGTAAAACTTCTAAAACTTAAATTATTATGTCATGTTCTTACTTAAAATCCCATTAATGAAAACCTTTAAAAGTTTTCATAGAACAAATAAAAAATAATCAAGTAGATTAAAATAAAGAGCTCAATTTAGCCACTAGATGCCGTATATATAGGATAGTTAGCTATCGAATGGCTTCTCAGGTGCACTGACGAACAGGGAGTATGCTCAGCATACTTTGGCAGCTTTCCATTGCTGTTACCATAAGCTCCAAATTTGTAACATGACTTACAAGATATTTCATGTGTCTGGCTCCCGCCTGCCTCTCTTGTCTTTTCTCTACCCACTTATAATCCCACCATGATTAATTTTCTTTGGCATCTTGAAAAGGTCTCTCTCCCATGTGAAACTTCTTTTTTCTTTTCTTTCTTCCTTTGTTCTTTCTTTCGTGAAATTTTCTTTTCTTTTCTCCTTCCTTCCTTCTTTCTCTTTCTTTCTTTCTTTCTTTCCTTCCTTCCTTCCTTCTTTCTTTTTCTTTCTTTCTCCCTCTCTCTTTCTCCTCTCTTTCTTTCTCCCTCTTTCCTTCTTTCTTTCCTTCCTTCCTTCCTTCTTTCTTTCCTTCTTTCTTTCTTCCTTTGTTTTTTTTTGACAGAGTCTCACTCTGTTGTTTAGGCTGGAGTGCAGTGGTGCAATCTGGCTCACTGTAACCTCCGCCTCCCAGGTTCAAGCAATTCTCCTGCCTCAACCTCCTGGGTAGATGAGACTACAGACGTGTGCCACCAGGCCCAGCTAATTTTTTTTGCATTTTTCATAGAGACGGGATTTCGAAGTGTTAGCCAGGATGGTCTCAATCTCCTGACCTCGTGATCCACATGCCTCGGCCTCCCAAAGTGCTGGGATTACAGGTGCGAGCCACTGCGCCTGGCCTGGAACTTTTCATATGCTGTTCTATCTATCTAGAACACTCACCCCTCAAGTCCTGTTCATCAGCTTAAATATTCATTTCTCCTGGACACTTTCTATTCTTCTTCATTAAGTAAGCTATGAGGCTACAAGGGCTTTGAACTTCTTTAATGTAACACTTGTTCACTTTATTATAAATTCTTGTTTAAAAGTCTTATCATTTCTGCTGGCTTATAAACTCAGAGATGGCAGAGACCATATCCAACTATTCATAAATGTATCACGAAGCTTGGCACATAGTAGGGACAAATTAAATAGCTTTTTAATTAGTTAATCATTTGAATGACAAGTAGGATCAAGTTTTCAAATAAACTTATACTTTCCTACATCACTGAAGACATGTAGACATGTAGCATTTTAATCTCTACCATCTTTTCCTTGTTTTGATGATTTTAAAAAACAAAAAAAATAAAAAATGCCAAACTGGGTCAGAGATAACCGAAACTTTGTTTAGCTCTAGGTAAAACTATGAAATAGAGAAAAGATGAATTCAGTGGCCACTATTTTCAACTGGCTGAGGTTTAAGTTTCTCTCCTTTCTGCTCAATGCCCTCAGTTGAGAATCTTGGGTAGGCCCAGTTCCCCCTAGAATTTATAATTTTTCCTCTTAATCTTTAAAAAAAACTCACTAAAACTCAGCTCAGATGTATCTTTTCTCTCCCTCCTCCTTCAGAACATACTCTGTATTCTGCTTTTCCATGGAGCCACAGGTTTGGAGGAAATCTCACACCGTATCTAGTCTAACTCACCCTTCTATGCTTTAACTTCTCTTTTTCATTTTTTATGTTAAGGGTTATCCAGTGCTAGTTGCAGTGATACTCAGTGACAGGGAACTCCTTACCTCCAGAGACAGCCCATACAGATAGTACTAATTGGTCAGAATCCCCTCTTAAAAGGGCACCCATCCCTGAGTAGGAGGACACATTTTGCTTTATTGCCAATATAAACTTTGATAGAGTTTATTCATCTTTTTCTGAGACAAGGTTTGGTAGGGGAGGAGAGGAGACAATATTTAAGGCATTAGATTCCCTGGGAAAAGAAGGAGGCACTATAGAAATAGGAAAAAAAGGTATAGAAATGAAGATCTAGCCCTTATAGGCAAAGTAGAGATACTGCCAAGTTTGGCAAGTTCTTGTCTTAGACTTGGGAATGTTTGAAAAGCAAAAGAGAGAATATCTGGAGGACAGAAGACCCAGAGAGACTAACACTGATAGGTTGTTTTGGTGGTGGTGTGTGTGGGACCAGGAAGGAATAGAGGTTGCAAGGTTGCATTATTATTTTTTGCACATACTTTATCATAAGTGGCAATTAAGATCTGAGAGGAAAAAAAGATCTTTACATCTAGTACTTTAGTATGTGTGCTAATAAATGGGTAAAAATATTTCACTCATCAGCACTATTGCTGAACATATTCAGCAAATTTATGTTCAGCATTTCTTAGGAAGTTCTTGTTAAAAACCTGTCAGTTTGAAAATAGTATAGAGGTGTATATGTGTCACACTTTGTTTATCCAGTCTATCATTGATGGGCATTTAGGTTGGTTCCAAGTCTTTGCTATGGTAAATAGCTGCAATAAATATATGTGTGCATGTGTCTTTATAGTAGAATGATTTATAATCCTTTGAGTATATACCCAGTAATGGAATTGCTGGGTCAAATGGTTGAACAATGAGAACACATGGACACAGGGAGGGGAATGACACACACTGGAACCTGTTGGGGAGTTGGGGGCAAGGGGATGGAGAACATTAGGAAAAATACCTAATGCATATGGGGCTTAAAACCAAGGTGACCAGTTAATAGGTGCAGCAAACCACCAACACCTATGTAACAAACCTGCACATTCTGCACATGTATCCCAGAACTTAAAGTGAAATAAAAAAAAGTATAGATGTTTCTCAAATTAAAAATAGGACTACCCTAAATAAGATCCAGCAATTCCCCTACTCAGCATATATCCAATGGAAATGTAGTCAGTATTTGAAATTCCCATGTTTATTGCAACACTATTCACAACAGCCAAGATATGAAATCAACCTAAATGTCCATTGGTGGATGAATGGGTAAAAAAAATGTAGTACAAAAACTCAATGGAATACTATTCAGCAACAAAATGAATAAAATTCTATCATTCATGGCAACATGGATGAACCTGGAAGACATGTTAAGTGGAATAAACCAGGCACAGAAAGACAGATACCACATAATCTCACTCATATGCGGAATCTAAAAAAGTAGATCTCATAGAAGTACAGAGTAAAATATTGGTCAGCAGAGGGGAAGGGGAGAAGAAAGGGGGTCTTAGGGAGATTTTGGTCAACAGGTAAAAAGTTACAGTTAGATAGAAGGAATAGGTTCTGATGCTCTATTGCACAGTAGGGTGACTATGGTTAACAATATTGTATATTTCAAAATAGCTAGAAGAGAGGATTTTGAATTTCCTCACCACAAATAGATGATAAACATATGCAGTAATGGATAAGCTAAATACCCTGAGTAATCATTATGCAATGTATACATGTATGGAAACATCACGCTGTACCCCATAAATATGTATAGTTATTATGTGTCAGTTAAAAGGGACACACAAAACGAAACAAAGCAAATAAAGAGCTTGTCATTTTGCTTGTAGTAACTGAATATTCTGAATGAGGACGAAAGCAAGGGAACCTGGAATAATCTCTATAAAAGCAAATATTGTCTCAATGAGAAATTAAATATTCAAGAAAAATAATAAATATAGTATCAGCAACAGCAAAATATTTTTTATCTATAAAACCACAGATGAGTATCTTTATTGATCACCTAGTCCAGTGGTTTTAAAACATTTTTAAAAGAAGGTAATGTCTACTTTTTGCTATTTTGAAGTGGAATATGCCAAAATCAAAGAGAAAACAACTAAAAGGAAGCTGCTTTGATTGAAGGTGTGGTGGTACCCTCTAAGTCATGTTCACTTGTTTCCTTTTCTCTTCTGTAGAAGTGAAAAATTTAGTTTGAAAACTACTGATCTAGTATAGCTCATACTAGTCATCATATAGATAAAGTTAAGACCACATTAGATAAAATTAAGATCGCATCAGGTTTATCTATCAATGTCCTTCTAAAATAGAATGGGAAAGAAAAGATCCAATTACATAGAAACAACTGAGAAGTAACACACTCTATAAGCATGCATTTCTTATAGACACACACACAAACATGCACAAGCACACAATCTGCAAAAAGTTATTCAGATTATGCTAAGCTACATAGTACAAAGTAACTTATTGTGTATGCATATCCAAAGGTCATTTGCGCGGCTGTGAACATAATGGAAAACTCCATGTGCTACCCCCAATTTTTTTTAATTCGAGGGTTTATGTTTTTTTTTTGTTTTTTTTGTTTTTTGTTTTTTTTTGAGACAGAGTCTCGCTCTGTCGCCCAGGCTGGAGTGCAGTGGCGGGATCTCGGCTCACTGCAAGCTCCACCTCCCGGGTTCACGCCATTCTCCTGCCTCAGCCTCCCAAGTAGCTGGGACTACAGGCGCCCGCCACTACGCCCGGCTAATTTTTTGTATTTTTAGTAGAGACGGGGTTTCACCGTTTTAGCCGGGATGGTCTCGATCTCCTGACCTCGTGATCCGCCCACCTCGGCCTCCCAAAGTGCTGGGATTACAGGCGTGAGCCACCGCGCCCGGCCGGGTTTATGTTTTAATAGTCATCTCTAGCTCAAAGCTTTTGCTTAAATGTAATTAGCTGTATTTAGGAACTGTTGCACTGTCTAGCTGACACTTCCCTCATTTCTACCATGTCATACCAGACATGGGACTCAGCCCTAAGACATAATACATAATCTATTTCATTTGGAATGTTGTTATTTGATTCTAGTCTTGTAACTCCCAAAACGATAGACTTAATTTTATTCTGTCAAATGCATTGTTTTCAGAGTTTATGTAAACTTCACTCTTTGAATGTTTAATATTGATTCATCAATATGCAAGTATTTACAAGATCAGGAGAAGAAAACGTGGCTATGAAGGGGCTGCTAAAAAGCTTAGTGAACTTGGAAATTGCAAGAAGCTGCTCCCTGTTCTTGAAAACTCCTTGCAATAATGTATCAAGATACACATTTCCTAGCCTACTCTAAGGTGACAGAGCAATGATTAAAATGGTTGTGAAGTAGATGGGGACAAAACTGAAAGCAGAGACATAAAAGAGGGGACTGCAGAATAGCCTCACCACAAACCCATGATATGGGGAAGACAGGGATATGAGAAGAATGGGCAGGTTTTAGTGTATCCTGGGACTCAGGATCAAAAGAGAGAAGAAGCAGAGATGCCACCACTGTGTGTTGATCAGTAGGCATGAGCAGATAGTGGAGAGGACATATGGCAGGGGGTGATGATATAAAAGTGGAAGAGCTAAGGTTTTTGCCAGGTGGAAGTTGTGACTAGCTTTTTCATGTTTTGTTTTGGGGATAGCTAGATGCCTATTTTTATTCTTGCCAAAATTGGACCAACAGGTTCATGTATCCACTGCATAGTAACAGACCAATTACACTGAGACAGCAGGGTTTGCAGTAGAGAAAGAATTTAATAATCACAGGGTGGTGAGTGAGGAGATGGGAAGAGACCCGCAAATCCACTTGCCCAAGGAGTTCTGGGCTGAAGCTCTTAAGAGGACTGTGGAGGGTAAGGGGCTGGAAAATGGGATTATTGATTGGTTGGGATAAGGGGGATGAAATAATCAGGCTGTGGAAACTGCATTCTTTGGTGAGTTGGCTTCTGTTGGGTCCTTCAGATCAGCTGGATCAGTAGTTTTATTGATGTGTAGGACGTGGAAGAATATCTCAAATGGAACTTAACAATTCACAGTGCTTAAGTTGTTGTCTATAGAGTAGTTAAGGGGAACTACCATCTTGTGAGAGGTCTATTTGATCCTGGGGCAATAGGCATTAAGCAACTATGAGCAAGGAGGTCAGAGAGAAAGTTGACCTCATGATTAATGTGGAATGTGCCACAAGCTTGGTTTATTTTTGTGCTCCCCCCCCCCCCCCACCCACCAACTTCTTACCTGGTTAATTTCATAAAGCTTATAGAAACTGTTTCAAAATTAGGGATGTGTCTTAGCTTTCTAATATAACAAAGTACCACAAAATTAGTGGCTTTAAACAACAAACATTTATTATTTTACAGTTTTGTAGATTGGAAGTACATGAGTCTCACAGCAGGGCTGCACTCCTTTGGTAGACTGCAGGGGACACTCTGCTTCCCTGCCTTTGCCAGTCTCTACAGCCTGCTCATGTTCAGTGGCTCATGGTTCCTCCCTCCATCTTCAAAAACCACATCACTCCATCTCTCTCTGACTATTTGCCCATTGTCACATCTACTTCTGGAAAGGTCCTCTGCTTTTAGGGACTCACGTGATTTGATTGGGTCCACCTGGATAATCCCCCCTAATCTTTAAAGTTCCTTAATTTAATCATGCTTGCAAAATCCCTTGACCATGTGAGGTGACATACTCATAGGTCATTATTCTGCCCACCACAGGAGAATGAATTCCTTCTCTGATCTCAGTGCTACTCTAATTCTTTTACTCAAAGCAAAATGAACCTACTAGTAGCCAAAGAATTCTGTTCTCTATTTCCTATAAAACTAATTGTCAAGCAATATCCTGTTATTTTCTGTTTCCTCTGTCCTGCCTAAAGAAGGGAGTCTCTAAATAGCTGAATGGTTCGGGGCCCCCATACTGGCTCAGTTTCTTGGTGTTTGGAGGGTGGATTAAAAAGCAGGAATACTTCTGTCATAACCAGATGATCATTTTAAAAGGAGAGTGAGTATTTTGGCCACTCTAACTTTATCCTCGGGAAAATACTGTGGCCTGGAGTGCTATCCACTTATAACACTCTAATCTCCCTCTTCAGGCTGGGAGGGGCACATTTTTCTTCCATATATTTCAAGTCAAGCAAGTATGATTAGTAGAAAAAACAGACTTCTCATTGTGAAACTCTAAGCATTACATATTGTAAGACCTAAAATTCCAAGTGCTTCTTTGACATCTTCGAGACTTGCAGGCCCCCAAAGGCCTGGCTGTAAGTTCCCCTACTCTTGTCAGATGTCATCTGCTCTTAACAGAGTCTCACGCAATGCAAAAGGCTATCCACTTGGGCAGTTCCCGTATCAGCCAGACCAGCTTCACCCTACCTCGTCTTCCACCTAATGGGTTTCACCTTCCTGCAGCCCATGAAATTATTCAAGCAAGCAAATCACATCCTCCCACAGGAAACAAGGGTCACCCCATTCTCTTGTCACTTCTAAGCCTGCCTCCCATAGCCTCTGCTGGCTCACTCTGTTGTCCCTGTGTGGTCCCTCATGGCATGGGTATATTCATTCCCTCAGCCTGTAAGTATATGTGACTAATAAACTGTTGCCAATCTTATCTGGGCAGTTTCAGACATCATGTGCTCAGCCATCCTGTACTCTTTATAAGCTGCAGACTTTCTCCTTTACTAATGCTGTGAATAGAGAGTAGTGCAGACTTTCTCTTTTACTAATGCTGTGGATAGAGAGTAATCAGAACACATGCTTACTTTCCAAATGTATGGTCTATCCTCTGGATAAAAGACAAATGGATGCTCGTAGTCCCTTGCTAAGAACTGCAGGCACCGTCTTCTTCATGCAAAAGGAAAAGAAGTCAATATATATTCAGATCAGGGGGGTCACAGGATTTTTCTAGGGAGTTCCAGTAACATTATTGAAATGTGGCAGAGGACAGAGAATAAGGAAATTGGTTTAACAGGCAGCTCAGTATCTTCACTGGGTGTAAACTGATCTTCTGAAACTACATTAATAGTCTCTGGAATGTGTTGGGGTTGGGGAGAGGTTCCTGGTAAGACTAGGCTCCATTCTATTTCACTTTCCCAACAAAGTTTTTTCTTGACTTTTGTAGAAATAGGAAGTATGTGTGTCATAGTGAGGTCTAAATCTAGAAGAGATAGATGGCTAGAAGGTAAAAGAAACTCCTACAAATCAAGAAAACATAGTAAATTCAATAGAAAAAATAGGTAAATGTTGTGGCTAGACAATTGGCAGAAAGAGAAATCCTGATGGTTAGTAAATACTAAAGAGATGCTAAATCTTAATAGTAATCAAGGAAATGCTGTTCAAAATAACAATACTACTTTACACTCATCATTTGGCAAACATGAGAAAGTCAGATAATATCAAGTGCTGGTGAGGATAGGGGACTGGGTTCCTCATGCTCTGCTGGGGACAGTGTGAACAGGTACAGCTATTCTGCAGTGCACCCTGACATAATTTTTGAAATTAAGCATACTTGTACTCATGACTAGCACCTTTGTTACTCATAATATATCCCAGTGAAGTCATCAAGGAAATGTTTATGAGGGTATTCAGCCAAGTGGTAATTGTGATAGCAAAGAATTGGAAGCAAACTAGATGACCACTGATTGCCAAGGCAATATATAAAGTGTGATTGTATGATCAGATTCTCAGTATCAGTTAAAAATAATAATTTAAGTTTACATTTAGCAACATGGATAGACCTCAGAAATATAATATTGAATACAAATAACTTGAGAAACAGGATAGCACTTAGATTTAATTGCTTTTATTTAAATTGAAACTCCAACATGAAACATGCCATATATTTTAAAAATATCTCTAAGTAGATGTTTGAAAGGTGTATTGGAAAGAGAATGTCTATGGAGGGGAAAAGGGAAGTGGGATTGTAGATGGGAAATAAAGATGAAAATATAATAAAGTAAGATACAGCCAACAAGAGGCCCTACCTTGACTGATAATGATAGTGTGCCACAAAGTGGGGTTTTATTTAACTCAATTCTGTGTACTTATTCTTAAGAAATAAAAAAGGTAGGGAGGAAGGAATGAGGAAGGAAAGAAAGAAGGAAGGAAGCTAGTTGTTGAATGTGGGGGCCAGGTAGTAGGAAACTGACTTTTGGAGTTTGACTCAACCACTGAGCCCATTCTCTTTTTTTCTTTTCTTTTTTTGAGACAGAGTCGTGCTCTGTCACCCAGGCTGGAGTACAGTGGCGTGATGTCTGCTTACTGCAGCCTACACCTCCCAGTTCAAGTGATTCTCCTGCCTCAGCCTTCCAAGTAGCTGGGATTACAGGTATTTGCTACCAAACCTGGCTAATTGTTTGTGGTTTTAGTAGAGATGAGATTTCATCATGTTGGCCAGGCTAGTCTCGAACTCCTGGACTCAAGTGATTCGCCTACTTCAGCCTCCCAAAGTGCTGGGATTATAGGTGTGAGCCACTGTGCCCGGTCCCACTGAGCCAATTCTCTTATTGCCACTTTGGACTCCTCCCAGTGAGGACAAATAGACACTGAGGACATCATGATATGCAGAAAGAAACTTGGAGTGCAAGACAAGAGACCTGCACCTTTCTTTCAGCTCCGTTCCAAGCTGCTTGATCACAGACATCTCTTCTGTTAGATGAGGATAACAGGATCTGCTCTACCTGCCCTGGAGGATCTTTGCAAGAATGAAGTTAGGGGGAAAAAAGTGACAGAACATATTGAAAACTTTTCATAAATATCAGATGCCTTATTTGTTGTGACACTATGGGTGGACAGATGATTTCAGTTGAGAGAAGAATTAAGATTCCTATGCCCTGCGTTTAACTGGGTCTTGGTTACCCTGAAAGACTGAGAGAGCAAAACCCAAATATAGAGGGAGTTTTTCTTAACTGTCCTCCCACCATGGCTTATTTGCTTCCTTCTGAAAGTTCAAAATTGATGCTATTAATTTGGGGTGTCAGCAGTTATTAATGGATCCTTGGGCCAGCAGATTTTTGTTCCTGCTCTGGAGGGCAGGCATAACTCTGATGTGAATTGGACGTGTTGAATACTGGAGTGGATTACTGAAAGAAGGAAGAAAGGGAAAGTTGCATTTCTTGAGTGCCAAGAATGGATATTTGAAACTTCATTTAATTATACAGTAGTTCAGTGAGGTAGCAATCACCATCAACATCTTGGAGATAACAGGCTCAGGGAAGCTTAACATGTTCTCAGTGACAGAACATCATACACACAAAGTGGCAGAATTGGAGTTTGAATTAGAATGATGCCAAAGCCAATTATTTTGTTCTCTATCCCCCTGAGGTCTTAGGGCTCATCTAATACCCTTTTTTTGGCCTCTAAAACTTCTCCCTGCATTTTCAGGTGAGAAAACTGAGTTCACTCCACAATGACTGAACTAATCTACACTCCCACCAGCAGTGTATAAGTGTTCCCTTTTCTCTACTACCTCATGAGCATCTGTTATTTTTTGACTTTTTAGTAATAGCCATTCTGACTGGTGTAACATGGGATCTCACTGTGGTTTTGATTTTTATTTCCCTAATGATTAGTAATATTGAGTATTTTTCATGTTTGTTGGCCGCATGTATGTCTTCTTTTGAAAAGTGTCTGTTCATGTCCTTTGCCCACTTTTTAAAGGGGTAGTGTTTTTGCTTGTATGTTTGTTTAAGTTTCTTGTACATTCTGGATATTAGACATTTGTCAGATGTAGAGTTTGCAGATATTTATCTCCCATTCTGTAGGTTGCCTGTTTACTCTGACAGTTTCTTTTGTTGTGAAGAAGCTTGTTAGTTCAAGAGCTTCTTTAGGGTCCCATTTGCCAATTTTTGCTTTATTGCAATTGCTTTTGGCATTTTTGTTGTGAAATCTTTGCCATTTTCTATGTCCAGCATGGTATCACCTAGGTTATCTTCGAGGGTTTTTAAATTTTTAAGTTTTGCATTTAGGTCTTTAATTTATCTTGAGTTGATTTTTCGATATGGTGTAAGGAGATTTTCAATCTTCTGCATATGGCTAGGCTGTTTTCCCAGCACCATTTATTGAATAGGAAATCCTTTTACCATTGCTTGTTTTTGTCACCTTTGTCAAAGATCAGATGGTTGTAGGTGTGTAGCTTTATTTCTGGGCTGTCTATTCTGTTCCATTGTTCTATGTGTCTGTTTTTATACCAGTACCATGCTGTTTCGGTTACTGTAGCCTTGTAGTACAGTTTGAAGTTGGGCAATGTGATTACCCTAGCTTTGTTCTTTTTGTTTAGGATTGCCTTGGCTATTCTGGCTCATTTTTGGTTCCATATGAATTTTAGGATAGTTTTTTCTAGTTCAGTGAAGAATGTCATTGGTAGTTTGATAGGAATAGCATTGAATCTGTAAATTGCTTTGGGCAGTATGGCCATTTTAATGATATTGATTCTTCCTATCAATGAGCATGAAATATTCTTACATTTGTTTGTGTCATTTCTGATTTCTTTGAGCAGAGTTTTGTAATTTTCGTTGTACAGCTCTTTCACTTCCCTGATTAGCTGTATTACTAGGCATTTTATCCTTTTTGTGGCAATTGTGAATGGGATTGCATTCCTGAGTTGACTCTTGGCTTGGATGCTATTAGTGTATAAGAATGCTACTGATTTTTGTACATTGATTTTGTATACCAAAACTTTGCTGAACTTGCTTTTCAGCCCAGGGAGCTTTTGGGCTGAGACTATGGGATTTTCTAGATATAGAATCATGTCATCTGCAAGCATGGATAGTTTGACTTCCTCTCTTCCTATTTGCATGCCTTTTGTTTCTTTCTCTTGCCTGATTGCTCTGGCCTGGCTCCTATTATTTTAAAGTATGTTCCTTGGACGTTGAATTTTATCAAAAGCCTTTTCTTCATCTATTGAGATAATCATGTAGTTTTTGTCTTTAGTTCTGTTTATGTGATGATTCACATTTATTGATTTGCATATTGTATTAGTCTGTTCTCACGCTGCTAATAAAGACACACCAGAGACTGGATAATTTATAAAAGAGAGGTTTAATGGACGCACAATTCCACATGGCTGGGGCAGTCTCACAGTCATGGTGGAAAGCAAAGGAGAAAGAAAGGCACATATTACATGACAGCAGGCAAGACAGCTTGTGCAAGACAACTCCCGTTTATAAAACCATCAACTCTCATGAGACTTATTTACTACCATGAGAACAATATGGGGGAAATCACCCCTATGATTCAATTATCTCCATCTGGCTCTACCCTTGACATGTGGGGATTATTACAATTCAAGGTGAGATTTTGGTGGGGGGACACAACCCAACCATATCATGTATGTTGAATGAACCTTGCATCCAAGTGATATCAAACCTCTTCCTAATTCCCTTTTCCTCCTACCCTTCCCAGTCTCTAATATCCTCCATTCATTCTATTTTGTACTCCTGTGAGATCAACTTTTTTTTAGCTTCCACATATGGGTAAAAATATCTGGTGTTTAGTTTTTTGTTCCTGGCTAGTTTCACTTAATATTATGTCCTCCTGTTCCATCCATGGTGCTGTGAATGGCAGGATTTTATTGGTTTTATGGCTAGATAATAGCCCAGTGTGTATATATACCATATTTTCTCCATCCATTCATCTGCTGTTGGAGACCTAGATTGATTCCATATTTTGGCTATTGTGACTAAACAATAAACATGGGGTTGCTACAATAAACATGGGGGTATACATGCAAAACATTTCTTAACATCTTTTTTTCTAACTCTTCTACCCCTTATTTTATCACCAAACCCTGCACTATCTCCTGTTTTTTTTTTTTTTTTGAAATAACTGGTGCTTGCTTTACAGGAAGCCCCAGAAAACACTGTGCCTTGGAATTCCTAGGCACTTAACTTACAAATATAATGGAACCAAGGATCAGAAGCTGGATTTGAAGACATTGCAAGGAAGGTGTTTCCTAGAGTAATCTATAGATGGAATTGATTCTGTAGAAAGGTGATAAACCCTGACCATTGAGTGTTGAAGCTAAGATGAGGAGACTACTGGTAGAAATATTCAAAAGTAACTAAAACACATAGGTGCTGGGGATGGATGGTTAGTCAGATTATTGACTCTCATGGCTTGTAATTAGTTTGTGATCTGAATTTAAATTACTTAGGAAAGGAATGGCTTTTCAGCAGAAAAATATATGCATCAATAGCACCTACCAGTCCCAACAAATGATTCTATATATTTTTTTAAGTTGGTGAATTTTATTATATTTTGCCACAATTAAAAATAAAAAATAATTTGAAGGGAAATGATTTTAACAAATAAAATAAATGGAGTGGAAGGAAATATGGAGGGTTAGTAATCAACAGGCATTAAGTCCAGCAAGATGAATAAGCTCTAGAGATCTGCTGAACGACATGGTACTTATAGTCAACAATAATTTATTGTACACTTAAAAATTTGTTGAGATCTCACGTTGTGTTCTTGCCACAATACAGTAAAATAAAAATAAGTTTTACACATTTTTTAAAAGGTTATACACCTCATAAAAGTGATAGAGAAGGAGACAGCCAAATGCTGCCCAGGCCATTGTGCACATTGAGCTTATCTAAACATGCCCACAGTGAAAAATTCTGTCCCTTAACACATGCGTAGTATGTGTAGACAAGCTCCTTGGGTTTTCCTACTTTACTGTGCATTACAACTCATGTGTCAAGTTCAAAGACATTCTGTCCCTGAACACATGCATAGTAAGGGAAATAAATCAATATGGAGTGGCTCAGACTAAGGGCCCACCTGTGCACTGGGACAATGGGGTGGACCCACCTGGAATCCACGCCTTATAAATTGGGGAGAAGCCTGGCCTTTTCAGCTCATGTGTGGTGGCCTGGTATTCAATCTGTGAGGTGGAAGCCTGTTGAAAGGTCCCCCTTTTTTCTCTGAGAGCTTTCTTTTAATTCTGCTCTCTCCACCTTTCAATGTGTCCACGTACCTAATTTTTCCTGGTTGTGACACAAGAACCAGATTTTAGCTGAACTAAAGAGCAAAAAATCCTGCATCAAAAGGAGAGCCAAGACTCAAAAAGAGAAACAGTCTTTCGAATTTTTCATTGATTTTAATTCAGTGACTTCTCTGAACAATAAAGTTGCAACTTATTTGAATAAAAACACTCAAAATAAAGGGAACACTAAAACTTACAATTGAATGTGTCATTTGCCTGATTATAGGTCTTTGGGAATCTGCAAGGTAACCTTTATTCCTGCAAGATATAGATCTTAGCTTTTCTTTTTTTAAATTATTATTATTATACTTTAAGTTCTAGGGTCCACGTGCACACAACGTGCAGGTTTGTTACATATGTACACATGTGCCATGTTGGTGTGCTGCACCCATTAACTCGTCGTTTACATTGGGTATATCTCCTAATGCTATCCCTCCCCACTCCCTCCACCCCACGACAGGCCCCGGTGTGTGATGTTCCCCTTCCTGTGTCCAAGTGTTCTCATTGTTCAATTCCCACCTATGAGTGAGAACATGCAGTGTTTGGTTTTCTGTCCTTGCGATAGTTTCCTGAGAATGATGGTTTCCAGCTTCATCCATGTCCTACAAAGGACACTAACTCATCCTTTTTTATGGCTGCATAGTATTCCATGGGGTATATGTGCCACATTTTCTTAATCCACTCTATCACTGATGGACATTTGGGTTGGTTCCAAGTCTTTGCTATTGTGAATAGTGCTGCAATAAACATACATGTGCATGTGTCCTTATAGCAGCATGATTTATAATCCTTTGGGTATATACCCAGTAATGGGATGGCTGGGTAAAATGGTATTTCTAATTCTAGATCCTTGAGGAATCACAATGTCTTCCACAATGGTTGAACTAGTTTACAGTCCCACCAACAGTGTAAGAGTGTTCCTATTTCTCCACACCCTCTCCAGCACCTGTTGTTTCCTGCCTTTTTAATGATCACCATCCTAACTGGTGTGAGATCGTATCTCATTGTGGTTTTGATTTGCACTTCTCTGATGGCCAGTGATGATGAGCATTTTTTCATGTGCCTGTTGGCTGCATAAATGTCTTCTTTTGAGAAGTTTCTGTTCATATCCTTCGCCAACTTTTTGATGGGGTTGTTTGATTTTCTCTTGTAAATTTGTTTGAGTTCTTTGTAGATTCTGGATATTAGCCCTTTGTCAGATGAGTAGATTGCAAAAATTTTCTCCCATTCTGTAGGTTGCCTGTTCACTCTGATGGTGGTTTCTTTTGCTGTGCAGAAGCTCTTTAGTTTAATTAGATCCCATTTGTCAATTTTGGCTTTTGTTGCCATTGCTTTTAGTGTTTTAGACATGAAGTCCTTGCCCATGCCTATGTCCTGAATGGTATTGCCTAGGTTTTCTTCTAGGGTTTTTATGGTTTTAGGTCTAACATGTAAGTCTTTAATCCATCTTGAATTAATTTTTTTATAAGGTGTAAGGAAGGGATCTAGTTTCAGCCAAGACTCAAAAAAAGAAATAGTCTTTCGAATTTTTCATTGATTTTAATTCAGCGACTATTTCCCTGAGCAATAAAGTTGCAACTTATGTGAATAAAAACACTCAAAATAAAGGGAACACTAAAACTTACAATTGAATGCATCATTTGCCTGATTATACATCTTTGAGAATCTGCAAGGTAACCTTTATTCCTGCAAGGTATAGATTTTAGCTTTGGTGAATCTGACAATTATGTGTCTTGGAGTTGCTTTTCTCGAGGAGTATCTTTGTGGCATTCTCTGTATTTCCCGAATTTGAATGTTGGCCTGCCTTGCTAGGTTGGGGAAGTTCTCCTGGATAATATCCTGAAGAGTGTTTTCCAACTTGGTTCCATTCTCCCAGTCACTTTCAGGTACACCAATCAGACGTAGATTTGGTCTTTTCACATAGTCCCATATTTCTTGGAGGCTTTGTTCATTTCTTTTTACTGTTTTTTCTCTAAACTTCTCTTCTTGCTTCATTTCATTCATTTGATCTTTAGTCACTGATCGCCTTTCTTCCAGTTGATCGAATCAGCTACTGAAGCTTGTGCATGTGTCATGTAGTTCTCGTGCCATGGTTTTCACCTCCATCAGGTCATTTAAGGTCTTCTCTACACTGGTTATTCAGTTAGCCATTTGTCCAATCTTTTTCTCAAGGTTTTTAGCTTCTTTGCAATGGGTTCGAACATCTTCCTTTAGCTCGGAGAAGTTTGATCATCTGAAGCCTTCTTCTCTCAACTCGTCAAAGTCATTCTCCGTCCAGCTTTGTTCCATTGCTGGTGAGGAGCTGTGTTCCTCAGTTGGAAATTTTAGACCAATATCCCTGATGAACATTGATGCAAAAATCCTCAATAAAATACTGGCAAAACAAATCCAGCAGCACAACAAAGAGCTTATCCACCATGATCAAGTGGGCCTCATCCCTGGGATGCAAGGCTGGTTCAACATACACAAATCAATAAATGTAATCCAGCATATAAACAGAACCAAAGACAAAAACCACATGATTATCTCAATAGATGCAGAAAAGGCCTTCGACAAAATCCAACAGCCCTTCATGCTAAAAACTCTCAATAAATTAGGTATTGATGGAACGTATCTCAAAATAATAATAGCTATCTATGGCAAACCCACAGCCAATATCATACTGAATGGGCAAAAACTGGAAGCATTCCCTTTGAAAACTGGCACAAGACAGGGATGCCCTCTCTCACCACTGCTATTCAACATGGTGTTGGAAATTCTGGCTTGGGCAATCAGGCAGGAGAAAGAAATAAAGGGTATTCAATTAGGAAAAGAGGAAGTCAAATTGTCCCTGTTTGCAGATGACATGATTGTATATTTAGAAAATCCCATTGTCTCAGCCCAAAATCTACTTAAGCTGATAACCAACTTCAGCAAAGTCTCAGGATACAAAATCAATGTACAAAAATCACAAGCATTCTTATACACCAATAACAGACAATCAGAGAGCCAAATCATGAGTGAACTCCCATTCACAATTGCTTCAAAGAGAATAAAATACCTAGGAATCCAACTTACAAGGGACACGAAGGACCTCTTCTAGGAGAACTACAAACCACTGCTCAACGAAGTAAAAGAGGACACAAGCAAACGGAAGAACATTCCATCCTCATGGATAGGAAGAATTAATATCATGAAAATGGCCATACTGCCCAGGGTAATTTATAGATTCAATGCCATCCCCATCAAGCTACCAATGACTTTCTTCACAGAATTGGAAAAAACTACTTTAAAGTTCATATGGAACCAAAAAAGAGCCCACATCGCCCAGTCAATCCTAAGCCAAAAGAACAAAGCTGGAGGCATCACACTATAAAGTACTTTATTTTATTCTCTTTGAAGCAATTGTGAATGGGAGTTCACTCATGATTTGGCTCTCTGATTGTCTGTTATTGGTGTATAAGAATGCTTGTGATTTTTGTACATTGATATTGTGTCCTGAGACTTTGCTGAATTTGCTTATCAGCCTAAGTAGATTTTGGGCTGAGATGATGGGGTTTTCTAAATATACAATCATGTCATCGGCAAAGAGGGACAATTTGACTTCCTCTTTTCCTAATAAATATTCCAAATAAATAAAATTCCTTTTATTTATTTGTCCTGCCTTATTGCCCAAGCCAGGACTTCCAACACTACGTTGAATAGGAGTGGTGAGAGAGGGCATCCCTGTCTTGTGCCACTTTTCAAAGGAAATGCTTCCAGTTTTTGCCCATTCAGTATGATATTGACTGTGGGTTTGTCATAAATAGCTATTATTATTTTGAGATACATTCCATCAATACCTAATTTATTGAGAGTTTTTAGCATGAAGGGCTATTGAATTTTGTCAAAGGCCTTTTCTGCATCTATTGAGATAATCATGTGGTTTTTGCCTTTGGTTCTGTTTATATGCTGGAATATGTTTATTGATTTGTGTATGTTGAACCAGCCTTGCATCCCAGGGGTGAAGCCCACTTGATCATGGTGGATAAGCTCTTTGATATGCTGCTGGATTCGGTTTGCCAGTAATTTACTGAGGATTTCTGCATCGATGTTCATCAGGGATATTGGTCTAAAATTCTCTTTTTTTGTTGTGTCTCTGCCAAGCTTTGGTATCAGGATGATGCTGGCCTCATAAAGTGAGTTAGGGAGGATTCCCTCTTTTTCTATTGACTGGAATAGTTTTAGAAGGAATGGTACCAGCTCATCCTTGTACCTCTGGTAGAATTCAGCTGTGAATCCATCTGGTGCTGGGCTTTTTTTGGTTGGTAGGCTATTGATTATTGCCTCAATTTCAGAGCCTGTTATAGGTCCATTCAGGGATTCAACTTCTTCCTGGTTTAGTCTTTGGAGGGTGTATGTGTCCAGGAATTTATCCATTTCTTCTAGATTTTCTAGTTTATTTGCGTAGAGGTGTCTAGTATTTAGGTATTTTATAGTATTCTCTGAAGGTAGTTTGTATTTCTGTGGGATTGGTGGTGATGTCCCCTTTATCATTTTTTATTGTGTCTATTTGATTCTTCTCTCTTTTCTTCTTTATTAGTCTTGCTAGTGGTCTGTCAATTTTGTTGATCTTTTCAAAAAACCAGCTCCTAGATTCATTGATTTTTTTGAAGGGTGTTGTGTCTCTATCTCCTTCAATGCTGCTCTGATCTTAGTTATTTCTTGTCTTCTGCTAGCTTTTGAATGTGTTTGCTCTTGCTTCTCTAGTTCTTTTAATTGTGATGTTAGGGTGTCAATTTTAGATCTTTCCTGCTTTCTCTTGTGAGCATTTAGTGCTATAAATTTCCCTCTACACACTGCTTTGAATGTGTCCCAGAGATTCTGGTATGTTGTGTCTTTGTTCTCATTGGTTTCAAAGAACATCTTTATTTCTGCCTTCATTTTGTTATGTACCCAGTAGTCATTCAGGAGCAGGTTGTTCAGTTTACATGTAGTTGAGCTGTTTTGAGTGAGTTTCTTAATCCTGAGTTCTAATTTGATTGCACTGTGGTCTGAGAGACTGTTATAATTTCTGTTCTTTTACATTTGCTGAGGAGTGCTTTACTTCCAACTACGTGGTCAATTTTGGAATAAGTGTGGTGTGGTGCTGAGAAGAATGTGCATTCTGTTGATTTGGGGTGGAGAGTTCTGTAGATGTCTATTGGGTCTTCTTGGTGCAGAGCTGATTTCAATTCGTGGATATCCTTGTCAACTTTCTGTCTTGTTGACCTGTCTAATGTTGACAGTGGGGTGTTAACGTCTCCCATTATTATTGTTTGGGAGTCTAAGTCTCTTTGTAGGTCTCTAAGGACTTGCTTTATGAATCTGGGTGGTCCTGTATTGGGTGCATATATATTTAAGATAGTTAGCTCTTCTTGTTGAATTGATCCCTTTACCATTATGCAATGGCCTTCTTTGTCTCTTTTGATCTTTGTCGGTTTAAAGTCTGTTGTATCAGAGACTAGGATTGCAACCCCTGCCTTTTTTTGTTTTCCATTTGCTTGGTAGATCTTCCTCCATCCCTTTATTTTGAACCTATGTGTGTCTCTGCATGTGAGATGGGTCTCCTGAATACAGCACACTGATGGGTCTTGACTCTTTATCCAATTTGCCAGTCTGTGTCTTTTAATTGGAGCATTTAGCCCATTTACATTTAAGGTTAATATTGTTATGTGTGGATTTGATCCTGTCACTATGATGTTAGCTGGTTATTTTGCTCATTAGTTGATGTGATTTCTTCCTAGCATCGATGGTCTTTACAATTTGGCATGTTTTTGCAGTGTCTGGTACTGGTTGTTCCTTTCCATGTTTAGTGCTTCCTTCAGGAGCTCTTTTCGGGCAGGCCTGGTTCTGACAAAATCTCTCAGCACTTGCTTGTCTGTAAAGGATTTTATTTCTCCTTCACTTATGAAGCTTAGTTTGGCTGGATATGAAATTCTGGGTTGAAAATTCCTTTCTTTAAGAATGTTGAATATTGGCCCCCACTCTCTTCTGGCTTGTATTGTTTCTGCTGAGAGATCCGCTGTTAGTCTGATGGGCTTCCCTTTGTGGGTAACTTGACCTTTCTTTGTCTTGCTGCCCTTAACATTTTTTCCTTCATTTCAACCTTGGTGAATCTGACAATTATGTGTCTTAGGGTTGCTCTTCTTGAGGAGTATCTTTGCGGTGTTCTCTGTATTTCCTGAATTTGATTGTTGGTCTGCCTTGCTAGGTGTGGGAATTTCTCCTGGATAATATTCTGCAGAGTGTTTCCCAACTTGGTTCCATTCTCCCCGTCACTTTCAGGTACACCAGTCAGACATAGATTTGGTCTCTTCACATAGTCCCATATTTCTTGGAGTCCTTGTTCATTTCTTTTTACTCTTTTTTCTCTAAACTTCTCTTCCTGCTTCATTTCATTCATTTGATCTTCAATCACTGATCCCCTTTCTTCCAGTTGATTGAATCAGCTACTGAAGCTTGCACATTCGTCACTTAGTTTCTTTGCCATGGTTTTTAGCTCCATCAGGTCATTTAAGGATTTCTCTACACTGGTTATTCTAGTTTGCCATTCATCTAATCTTTTTTCAAGGTTTTTAAGCTTCTTTGCGATGGGTTCAAAATTCCTCCTTTAGCTCGGAGAAATTTGATCATCTGAAGCCTTCTTCTCTCAACTTGTCAAAGTCATTCTCCGTCCAGCTTTGTTCCATTGCTGGCGAGGAGCTGTGTTCCTTTGGAGGGGGGAGAGGCGCTCTGATTTTTAGAATTTTCAGCTTTTCTGTTCTGTTTTGTCCCCATCTCTGTGGTTTTATCTACCTTTGGTCTTTGATGATGGTGACGTATAGATGGGGTTTTGGTGTGGATGTCCTTTCTGTTTGTTAGTTTTCTTTCTAACAGTCAGGACCCTCAGCTGCAGGTCTGTTGGAGTTTGCTGGAGGTCCACTCCAGACCCTCTTTGCCTGGGTATCACCAGCAGAGGCTGCAGAACAGCGAATATTGCTGAACAGCAAATGTTGCTGCCTGATCATTCCTCTGGAAGCTTTGTCTCAGAGGGGTACCCAGCTGTGTGAGGTGCCAGTCTGCTCCTACTCGGGGGTGCCTCCCAGTTAGGCTACTCATGGGTCAGGGACCCACTTGAGGAGGCAGTCTATCTGTTCTCAGATCTCAAACTCCATGCTGGAACAACCACTACTCCTCTTCAAACAGGGACATTTAATTCTGCAGAGGTTTCTGCTGCCTCCTGTTTGGCTATGCCCCGCCCCCAGAGGTGGAGTCTACAGATGCAGGCAGGCCTCCTTGAGCTGCAGTGGTCTCCACCCAGTTTGAGCTTCCCAGTCACTTTGTTTACCTACTCAAGCCTAAGCAATGGTGGGCGCCCCTCCCCCAGCCTCGCTGCCACCTTGCAGTTTGATCTCAGACTGCTGTGCTAGTAATTAGCAAGGCTCTGTGGGGGTGGGACCCTCCAAGCCATGCGTGGGATATAATCTCCTGGTGTGCCGTTTGCTAAGACCATTGGAAAAGCACAGTATTAGGGTGGGAGTGACCCGATTTTCCAGGTGCCATCTGTCACAGCTTCCCTTGGGTAGGAAAGGAAATTCCCTGACCCCTTGTGCTTCCCGGGTGAGGCGATGCCTCGCCCTGCTTTGGCTCACGTTTGCTGGGCTGCACCCACTGCTCTGCACCCACTGTGCTGCACCCACTGTCTGACAAGCCCCAGTGAGATAAACCCAGTACCTCAGTTGGAAATGCAGAAATCACCTGTCTTCTGCATCACTCATGCTGGGAGCTGTAGACTGGAGCTGTTCCTATTTGGCCAACTTGGAACCGCCCCTACCGTGATAATTTATAACTAGACCAGTCTTCTCAGGGATTTGAGGATGAATGGAAAGTCTGAGATGCAAGAAGAAATGGTGATCAAATATATAATCAAATATAAGTAAACACTGACAATATAAAATAACAATAATTATAATGCTTAATTGGTGGAAAAAATCAAAATAAGATAGAACCAAAATACTATGCAGCTAAAATATCTAAATTCAGGGAGTGGCATTAATTAGATTTAAACATTCTAATGTCTTTATAGTGTTTGAGAGAAGGGTAAAAATATTTATGAAATTTAAAGCTTGTTAAGTATTCCTGAAAAAAAAAAAAAACAAAAGAATAGACTAGATGTTCCATTTCCTGAACACCTCTTGAATTTTTCTCAAGTATCATGAGAACTTAAGTTGTATTATCCAAGTCCTTGCAGTTAGGTCATAAAGGGAAGCAAAAGTTCTCACAATATAAAATATTCATTAATGAACTGGCTAATAATGAAATTAGTTCTCATATAAGCATACTTCCCCTTTTCTCTATATCCATGATTGTAAACATTTGAATGCAAAGTAAATTAAGTAATAAGTAAAGCTGCAAATCTTGTAAGAGAGTCAAGATATCAAAAATTCAGTGAAAGTAAAATTAGAGAAATACTTAAATTGCACTTAAAGCTTTTGAAAAAGGAGTCTCTGGCAGAGTCAGTTCAGTTAACAGCTGAAGAAGAGTGAATTAGTCGAGATGATAGCATGACTAGATGACTCAAAGGAGAATGATTTTGAAACATAAAGATTAAGAGAGCCCTTGAGAAAACTGATGAATCTTTAATTGTCTCTCTAACTGTATTAATTATGGGAAAAGCTAAGGTGCTGAAAAAGTGACACCCAAATACAGTGATTTAAAGATGAAAGAAGTTTATATCTCATGTAACCATCTAGCTCTTTGAGGTCAATCATGGGTCCACATTCCCTATATCTCTAATTTCTCATAGGGAGAGATGCTCATTTGCATAGTCAAAGCTGGATCATATGGCATATTCATGTTTTAGTACAAAAAAAGGGAAAAGAGAGAAAGCCCAGGGCAAGCAATTTCCTTTTGAACAAGTAAGATAGAAGGTGTGTACATATCACATCCCCCCACATTCCACTGGAGAGATATAAATCATGTGGCCATACCCAACTGCCAGTAAATCTGGGAAATGTCTCTAGCTGGATGACAAAGGGCCTAAGAATAAGGGGAGAATGGATTTTGGGGGAAAACTGATAATCTGTTTCATAAACATTTATGCAAAAAATTATTGTGTGATCATAGTCTGAAAAAACATGAAGGATGATGTACATATAATTAGGTCTGATAAATTATGCCTACCCAAATAAATACCTGATTCATTCTTTAACTTAAAAGAGATCACATATCAATACTCACATTTTATAAATTCAGATAAAATGAATTTATTTTTAAAAATGAATAAAACACAGTGAGAGTTTACTAGGTTATGAGGTGCTTAATAGCCTGTTTTATATTTTCTAGTAGGATGATTAGAAAAATTCTTATTTCTCCTTCATATCTGTAGTTGGTATGATTCTCCATCCACAGTCTCTGTGTTCAAGAATTTTAACCAACCTAATTTTTGTCTTTCTATTTCTGTTTTTCACCATCATGTATTTTGGTCTGAGATATAGCAATTTAATTTCAATTCATGGTTCCTCTTTTTACTCTGGTTGCACCTAAGTTCTGGGGCTTTACATAGCATCCAGGAATTATTAAGGGAAGCTAGTCCTCAGTATTATCTGTCTAACCTAGCATTTGCTGAGATAGTCATCTGTCATTTGGGCCTAATTCATTCAGAGAATACTTAAAACACCGACATATGCCAGGTACTGAAAATAGTGTTGGTCAAGAGAAACACTTTAGTCCCTTTTCTTATGAAAGATAGTGTTTAGTAAATTTTGGTGCATTGCAAAAAATTCTGGACCAAGGGCAAAGCCAAGCATACACACGTGTAGAGAAAGGGGTCATTTAAAAAGTTTGTCCCAAAATGAGGAGAAGAAAGTTAATGATCAAATGAAAATTTGTGGATTATTTATGATTTTCCATTTTCAATGACTTTTCCATTCCACCATAACCTATGAAAATTGAGAATTGGTGATGTTTAGAAGTCAGGAAAGACTTAGAGAAGATAAGGATGAGTGAGAAAGTGTGACTTCCCTTTCTCCTGGGTAATTCCTCTTTTAGTGTTAGGGTGCCTGGAGAAGGTCTTCTGTAAACATTCAAACTAATCCAGTAGTATTTAACCAACCTCTTTCTTACCACATAACCTTCACTTCCTGGTTGCTGTGGATAACAAGGGGAGTATGAGACACAGTTCTGAAAGTTGGTTAAAGTCTCTATACCAAGAAAAATTATAGCCAGGACAGGCAGGAAACAGAACTACACTAATAAAAAAGCACTGTGGCAGAAATAAAGCCTATTTTGGATTGCAGAGAGGAAGGGGAGATGATTACCAGATGGGAGAATGGTGTAGTCAATTAATTGCAAAGGTGTGGCAAAAAACATGGTGGACAGAGGGTCTAGGTGGAGGGAGGACAGGCTTGACTGGAGCTAAGGTTTGGGTAGAAAGTGTGATTCTGTGGCCATGCTCTCTCTTCATCTGCTCATGCTGTGTAGCATTGCAAGCCTACTCCCATGCCCCCAGTTTAATTGCATTACTCTTCACTATAGCTTAGGGAGTGGGAGCACTGGCTGTGTAGCCAGACAGACCTGAGTTTGTCTTACTCAGTGTCTAACCACTGCTTACTAGTGTCTAACCTCAGGGAAGTTACTTAACCTCTCTGAACCTGATTTTCCTTACTGCGTTGCATGTTTCTGACAGTTTAATGAGTTACCACATGCAGTGCTCAGCAAGAGTTTTCAAAGCCCTCAATAAGAGCAGTACCATAATTACGGCCTACCAATGAGGGGTTGAGTGCTGGGACCAGGATGGTAGCATGAGGCATAAAAAAATAAGTGTTTTCGTTTCAGACAGTCATGAGTGTTCACATTCCAGCTGCATCACTTCCCTTCTAATTCCCACTCTGCAGGGATTAAATTAGATCATGAATATACAGTATTCCACACAGGGCTGGAGTACCAGTGAGTGCTTTTAGAAAATGTTTGTTTCCTTCCTCATCACTTACCCACACTCGTTTATTTCTTTATTCCTGAGCGTACATCTAGTCTTCTAGTTTTGTGTTTGTGCATGGAATAGGGCAATGGACACTTACTAGGATGTCTGGATAGTTCTGATGTAACCTGTTGGCACAGCTTTGTTATGATCTTCCCTTTCTGAAAATGTCCTATGTTTGGACAATAAATTACCCTAGTGCTGCTTAGGGCCTTTTACTCTCTAGTCTAGTGGGTCTGGTGTGATCCTAGGCTTCCTTTTCTGAGGAGGAAATCACCTGGGGGCTTTGGGCTAGAGCATGTCCTTGCAGCGTTACTGCTGAGTTGACAGGCATCCCCTAGGCAACCCCCCGGGTGTATGTCTTCTTCATCATCTGGGGGTCCCCAGGATTAACTGTCCCACGTTCTGCTTTCGGCCACCACCCATTCTTTCCCCTGGGGTTTCTCTCCTTTGCCTGGAGCTCTTGCTGGAACAAGATACGAGGCGTGATAGAGTTTCCCCCACCCCCTTCTTTCCTACTCGTTTGAATTGTACAAAACAATACACTCTTTTTCTGGTTGTGTAGGTTTCTAAGATATGTCTAGGAAAAGGAAGACAGGGCAACAAAGTAATACACAAGGAAAAGTTCCAACTCTTTATGACATTAAAAGTTATCCTAACCTTCGTAGGCATTTGAATAGAACTAGAGTTGGTCTTTCTTGGCCCTCTTCACTGATTCGTCTCTTCCAGTGAACTTCTGAAATCCACCTTTACCTGATTGTCTTTTCCCTCTATTTTTATTCTTGGGACTTTATGCAATGGTTTCCCTCACTATTTTCTTTAGCTTATTTTTTTTGGGGGGGCGGGTGGACTTAGGTACTCAATAAATATTCTTTTCTAGAGTGGTGGTAAGCAATAGAAATGAATTGAAATGGAACAAAGTTGTGACTGAGAATTTTAAGGAAATGTTCATTGCTACCAGAAAGAAACCCTGGTCCAGCCAGAATGAAACTCCAGATAATAATATAACAAGTGTAAATGCTTGTTAAAAGCTGTATGCCAGGTACTTTACATGCATTATCTCATCCTCTCACAGCAACCCTGTGAATTGAGGTACTAGTTACAGTCATTACACTCTTTCCCACATTTATTAATAAGAAAATTAAGGCTTAAAAAAGTTAGATAATTTGCCCAGTTACTTCCATAATTCTTCCATTATGGCTGAAAAGCTTGAGGCAAGCTGGGATTCAGATTCAGCCAGCCTGTCTCCAAAGCTCTTGCTCTTAACCATTACATTAGACTGTCTCCCCAGACTGCAGGAACCAGAGACTCCACCCAGAGGTGTAGCCCTGCTTGAACTGGAGAAAGCCTTGTCAAGGATGGGCCTTTGTCTGGGGTAAGAGTGGGCCCTATATTACTGAAAAGAGGCATTACAATTTGATGATTCATTTCTACATGTCTCACCATGGTCTTGCTTTTACCCCACTTCCTCTGATAGCTTTTTGTACCAGTTTTAACGATCATATTTTCATTTCACCTTTAATAGCTATTAAAAAGACACCATTATGGTGACTAATCAGAAGGATCACCCTCCTTCCAACCTTAGTGGGCACTCATTTTTCATTGTAGTTCATTCTTGCCAAAGTATGTACTGTGACAGAGGAGAGACCATATCACAAAGGTATTCATATGTTAGGATGTACTTTGCTTGATGGAAGAGGCTGCTGCACCTATGAGGGCCCAGGGAAGGAAATTTGTATGCATTTAACCTAAAACCTCTAAATCTTGCTAATTTTAAACCAGTCCTTCCTCTGAGGTCAGTCTTGGGGAAATGCTCTTGAATACTCCCAACCTTTGGCCTTCCAGTATCAAGATCTCAATTGCCTGATTGTATCGTGTGTGGTTATTTTTCTTTATTGATGCAACTAACTTTCCCTGATTAAGGTTGGGACTTTTTCCCTTTGTCATTTCAGACCGTTTTGGTGAAGTTTTCATATCTTGTCTTTTGCCTCAAATGTTTCCTTTACTTAGTCAGGCTTTATTTTAGGTTTCATTTAGTACTCCCTACCCACCCACCCATGGGAGAGTACCCATTATAGGAGACCAAGGTTTTCATTCTGATCTGTAGTCAAAATAATAAGAAGTAAGACAAGGACCACACACTGGTGATCTATTGGAGGGAGAAAATATACCTCCTTGATGAGTTCTTTTAGTTGGAGTAAATCCAGGATTATAATGCTACTGTAGCTTTGGAGATGACTGACTATAAGAATAGCTAATATTTATTGAACACTTATTGTATGCTATGCCATGCACATTGCCTGCTTTGCCTCACTTAACCCTTACATAAAGCCTTGACAAGAAAACTTCCAACTTTAAGAGGAGAAAAATCAAGGTTTAGAGAAATTAAGTGACTTGCTCAAGGGTCATACAACTAGTAAATAGTGGCCCTAGGATTAGGATTCAGCAACCTTAACCTCTATGCTACTGTGTAAAGAAAAATATCACATAAAATGAGTTAGCCAAGTGACCAAGGCCAAGTTGCATAACCTCTCTGTGCTTTAGTTTCCTTGTCTATAAAATGAGTAAAAGAAAATGACTCTTGGATAATTATTGTGGTGCTTATATGAGGAGCTGTGCAAAACTGAGCTCTTCATTTGCAAACTGCCTCTCCCTATCTGCTCCTCTTTGGTCTTCCCCTTAATCTCAGTCAATGGCACCACCACACAGTTACTCAGCCCAATGATGTACAAGTTATCGTTGATGCCTTAATTTCCATTACTTACCGTATCTAATCCAGTAAGTCTTATTGCTCTGCCTCCAAAGTATATCCCAGATCTGATAATTCGTCACCCTCTTTTGCCATGGCCTAGAAGTCAAGGCACTTTACATCTTATCTGGGCCACTTTACATCTTATCTGAGAGTCCTTTAACTCATCTCTCTGCTTTAACTCCTATTCCATTGTGGTCTGTTTTGCCACGCAAAAGCCAACTGGCTTTTAAAAACATGAATCTGAAATCACTCTCCTAATTGAAACCTTCCAATGGCTTTCCGTAAAATTCATGATCCAAAGGCTCCATTCAGTCTAGCCCCTGCCTACTTGTTAATGCTATGGCCTATTACTTAGTTGTCCTCACACCTGCTTTACTCTGCTGTAGCCACTTTCTTTTCTTCAGGCATGCCAAAGTTGTTTTTGTCTTAGGCTTTCAGACTTACCAATACCAGCCCTACTGCCTAGAATGTTCTTCCTTCCCCTAGCTCTTTCCCTGACTGACCCATGTGAAGGCTTTGCTCCACTATCATCTCCACAGAGAGGCCTTTGATGGCCCAATCAAAGTGATGCCCCTTCTTGTCCCTGTCTATTTCATTACTCTGTGGGTTTTGGGTTTGTTTATTTTATTTTTTTTGGTGAGTGTGAGTATGTGGGTCACAGCATTTAACCACTTTTTAATTGTCTTCGTCAGTTCAGGCAGCTATAACAGAATCCTATAGTTTGGGTGGCTTAAACAACATTTATATTTCATAGTTCTGGAGAACTAGGAAGTTCAATATCAAGGTGCCAGAAGATTCATTGTCTGGTGAGGGCCTTCGTCCAGATTTGTAGATAGCCACCTTCTTGCTGTATCCTCACATGGCAGAGGGATCATCTTTCTTGTGTCTTTTCTAGTAAGGGCACTAAGTTCATCATGGCACCCCCACCCTCATGACCTAATTACATACCAAAGCCTCCAAATACCATCACATTGGGGATTAAGGCTTCCACATATGAATTTTTGGAGAACATAAATATTCAGTCCATAACACTAAGATTATTCATTTTTCTGTGCATACAGTTATTGTCTATTTTCTCCAACAGGAATATAAACTCTAAGAGAGTAGGCACTGTATTTGCTCTTTAGGAGGAACTGAATAAATAGTTTTTAGTAATGAAAAAATGTGCAAATGAGCAAAGTAAGCAAAATTCAAAGCTTGTGTGCAGTACCTACCTATGTTTAAAACAGGTTAATTTCCTTTATCTTTTAACTGCTCCTTGAGTTTTTGCTAAGAGAAATATTCTGAGCCCTGAGATCCAATTCAGTTTTATCTGGGGGCTCAGAGTAGCAGAAGAAATTTTGCTTTTTTTTAAAAAAAACTTTATTTTCATCAAGAGAACGATATTTGAAGGTTGCTGAGTTTCTACTGCAAAGAAACCACTTTGAATAAAATCCCTTTGTTTTGGGAAGGTGAATAGATTTTTTTTTTAGTCTTTACAATTTTTTTTTATTTTAATAGGTTTTTGGGGAACAGGTTTTGTTTGGTTACATGGATAAGTTCTGTAGTGGCAATTTCTGAGACTTTGGTGCACCCATCACCCGAGCAGTGTACGCTGTACCCAATGTTTAGTCTTTTATCCCTCAGCCCCTCCCACCATTTCCCTTGAGTCCTCAAAGTCCATTGTATCATTCTTATGCCATTGCATCCTCAAAGCTTAGCTCCCACTTATGAGCAAGAACATACAATGTTTGGTTTTCCATTCCTGGGTTAGTTCACTTATAATAATGGCCTCTAATTTCATCCAGATTGCTGCAAATGCCATTATTTCATTCATTTTTATGGCTGAGTAGTATTGCATGGTGTGTGTGTGTGTGTGTGTGTGTGTGTATCACAATTTCTTTATCCACTTGTTGATTGATGGGCATTTGAGCTGGTTCCATATTTTTGCAGTTGTGAATTGTGCTGCTATAAACATGTGTGTCCAAGTGTCTTTTTCATATAATGACTTCTTTTCCTGTGGGGAGATACCCAGTAGTGAGATTGTTGGATCAAATGGTAGTTCTACTTTTAGTTCTTTACGGAATCTCTACTAGTTTACATTCCCACCAGCAGTGTAAAAGTGTCCCCTTTTCACTACATTCAAGCCAACAAAACAGATGATCTTTAAAGGTAAATAGTCACTAATTTCCAGGGAAAACCAGGTGTTGTGAAATGGTCTACAAGCAAGTATTTCTTACTAGTCTCTTGAGGATTATATTTAAGTCAATAAAAACCTCGAGATAACCACCCTTATGCAGTGATAAAGAATTTAACCAATGGAAAAGTGTTCAAAAACTCCTGTGTTAGCTAGCAGGCTTCTGAATGTACTGCTGTGGTCCACAGAGAAGGCTAGAGAAGGTAGCAAGGAGATGCTGTATCAGCTACTACAGCCTTAAAACAAAGTAGGTGTCTCTTTGGACTTTAAAATTGTTCCTATGAAGCTTATTTTATTTTTGTTTAATCAAATAAACAAGACAGTTTTTCCATGAAAAAAAAAGAATTTGAATATAATACAATTGGCAATTGGCTCTCATCCTCTGCCCAACCCTATTCCCAAGGGAAATGATGCAGCTAAAGTTCTTTTGGTGGGAGTGGGAAGGTGTGAGGAGGTTAGAAAGGGACTAATTTGTGGTTACTTGGGACTTTCTCAGTTTAGTATGTAATCTATTACATATATTTTATGTTTCTTATGGCTTACATAAGTTGTTAGTATTAACCAATCTCCTATACAAGTAATAAAAGAAAATGAATACACTTTTCTGTCTTTTATTTTTCTAAGCAGTAACTAAGAGATCAATGAAAAAAAAATTTATATATATTTGCTAAGTTGGCAATAACCAAATGCCACATTTTACACATTATAGAGGAGCTTCGATGTAATGTAAGGGTTAGAAGTAGGGAATTTTTTTTTTTTAAATTTTAGGGGAATTTTGTTCCTCATATCTGGGGCAGGGATGGAAGACTGGGTCATAGTAACTGAAGAGAGAGTGTGAAAGGAGAGGGGGCTTCTGAGTATAAGGAGTCTTGGGAATTTTTTCATTGATGGGCACTGAGTTGGCTTTCCCACTGCCATCTGAAAGCTGTGAGGAAGTGGGCGGTGGCCCTTGAAATGGTGTACTGAGCTCTTGGGTGCTGAGACTAGTCATTTCTAGTACCCGTGGAGGGGACCTAACCCACAGCACATAGGAACAAGCAAATAGAGAGGTCAGTCTGGAATATCAAAGTGATTAGATCATGGGAGGGACCTGAAGATTCAGGAAGAACAACAGTTCAGAGAGAGAACAGCTGACAGAGGTGACAAGCATCAGCCTGGACCAATTTGTGGAGCATATGAGTGCTCCCTGGTATTCCTAGAAATACCTGGGGAACCACACTGAGAGGTGTGACGGCATCATCCTACCATGTGTGTTAGGGTCTATCTAGCCCAGCACTGTCCAATACAAATATCACAAGGTAATTCAAAAATTTCAGCTGGGAATGGTGGTTCACGCCTATAATCCCAACACTTTGGCAGGCTGAGGCGGGAGGATTGCTTGAGGTCAGGAGTTCAAGATCAGCCTGGGCAACATAGGGAGACCCTGTCCCTACAAAGAATAAAAAAAATTAGCTGTACATGGTGGCACGTTCCTGTGTCCCAGCTACTCAGGAGGCTGAGGTGGGAGGACGCTTAAGCCCAGGAGTTCAAGGCTGCAGTGAGTCGTGATTATGCCACTCCAGCCTGGGCAACAGAGTGAGACCTTGTCTCAGAAAATTTTGTTTTGTAGCAGTCATATCAAAAAAATTGAAAGAAACAGATAAAATTAATTGTAATAGTGTTTTATTTACCATAATAGATCCAAAATATTATCATTTAGATATGTGGCACTAGCCTAGTCATTTGCTGGTAAAGCAGCTCTCTGAAAAAATTTATAATGTTTACCAATTTCCATGGTATAAATACTCTCATCATGGTCAATTTTAAGCTACAATAGTGATAACTAACAATTATTGAATGCTAATATGTATCAGGCACGGTAGAAGGTGTGTGCCTTCTACCTATATTTATTTATCTATCATTTGTGGATGACTAAATGAAAGATAGGAGCTAAATAACTTGCTCAATTAGAAATAGTAATGCTTTTACTTGCATACAGATCTGACTTTTGCCCAGAGTGTCAAAAATAAAATCAAGGTAGGATCAGAGAACAGTGGGGAGCTGAAGGGGCAGAAGGAAAGAAGGAACTCTGAATAAAACTTCACCCCACAATCCAGTCTATTCTGTTCATGTGTTGAGCACAGCTATGGATTAGTGCTGGAATAAGCAGGGGAATATGAAGATGAATGGGTCTTGGAGTTTCTCCACCCAGGGGAGACAAGCACATACATGCATAACCCTGACACAGGGCAGACTATGGTCTGTGCTAAGAGAAGAGTGTAATTATTCTTCCCCAAACTGAGTCCGGAGCAGACGGGAGGTGGTGTGGTAAGAAACAGGGTTGAACACTGGGGAGAGGGATTTTTGGGACCTGGAGCTTGGGCAATTCCTATAAGGACATCCTTTGGGACTTCTGGGTCAGTGATGAAGCAGAAAGTTGAGATCTCTTCCAAATATAACCAGGGCGAATTTGAGCCAACATAGGAAGAATAAGGGTAAGAACAGCAGAAAACACCAGGGAACATGGCAGACAGTAGGAAGGAAAGGTCTACAGTAATTCCCTGAGCCAATTTGTAGAAAGCTGAAGAGGTTTTTGTTTGTTTGTTTGTTTTTCATGTGTGTGTTTGTGTATGTGTGAGATTTGCAGAAAGGACATACCCCAAAGACTTCTGAGCACAGCTTAAGGAGGCAGAAAGGGGTGAACAAACTGTATACAGTGGTAATGAGTGTGGAGATAGGGAATACTACCTCCAAAAAGAGAGAGAGAGAAAATCATGGCTCATTGCTATACTTCTCTCCATCCACCCTCAGTCTCTGATCATAAGGAACCATTCATTTGGTTCTTTATGTGGCAGGGCACTATTTTGAAATTAATAATTTATTTTTTTCCCTGGCTATTTCCTTTTATTTCCTGGCCCCATTTAGTTAGCTTGCCTATGTTCATTACCTTTGGGGGAAGGAATGTGGTGGCACAAAGCAGAAAAAAAGATTCTCTTGACTTTAGAGTTTCAAAAGCTCTGTCCCAAAGGGGAGCAGAAAATGTTCGATGAGTAAGTGGAAAGCTTTCTGGCCCCCTGATGGTGTAAAGATCCCTGGGCTGGAGAAAGAAGGGAATTAAGGGGATGAATTGGGTGCATAGATGAGGGTAGATGCCCATGTAAGGGGATTCCTACCCTGCTGATGCCTAGGGTGGGGATGGGGCTCAGCCAAAACTCATGTATGTTTTAAGATGTAAGATGTTGTTATGGAAGGAAGTTTCTAGTGTCTTGTCAGGGATCTGCGCTTAGTCTTCTGAGTCTTTATGAACTCACTCTTTCTGTTAATAATTTAACTAAGTGCTTTTCAAATTTCATGTGGATGCAAATCTTTTTAAAATCTGGATTTTGATTTGATAGGTCTGGGGTGGGGCCTGGGATTCTGCTTTTCTAACAAGCTCCTGAGTGACGTGGATGCAGCCATTTGTGGACACAGACCACAGACCACACTTATCGCAATTATTGTGCACCTTCTATTTGTAAGACAGTGCTAATGGGTGTAAACATTGTCCCATGTAAACCCTATAGCAACCCCAAGAGGTAAATCCCATTGAGGATTTGAGGCAATTTTAAAACTAGAGCTTACTGGGGTTCAGTGTCTCATGCTATGATTGGGATAAAGATGTTGATGATTGCTGATTGCACCTGAAGAAAGCTTTAAGAGATGTTTAATGCAACATATGTCAGTGAAACAATAAACACTAAAAAGGCTTACAGGTTTTTTGTTTGTTTGTTTTGCAACACCATAACATTTGCATAGGCCTACTCTGTCTAGACATGCTGCTTAGTGTATTACGTAGACTATTTTATTCTAGCTCCAAAATAGGAAAGACATTTAAGAATATTCTTATAAGGACATCGAAGGTAACAGGATAAAATTCTTGTTATCATAGAGAATGATAGGTAAAATTCTTGTTACCACAGAGGATAAAATTCATGTTATCACAGAAGAAGTTAGAGAAACTTCAAGAAGCAATGCTCTTTTGGTACAATTTTATAATTTCCAGCCATCTTAGTCTGCTTGGGCTGCCATAAGACACCCATAATGTGGGTGCTTAAACAACAATAATTTATTTTCTCACAGTTCTGGAGGCTGGAACTCTGGATCAGTGTGCCAACATGGTTGGGTTCTGGTGAGGGTTCTTTTCTTGGCTTGCAGACGGCCACCTTCTTGCTGTGTCCTCACTTGGTGGAGAGAGAGATGGCTCAAGGTCTCTGGTGTCTTTTCTTCTAAAGGCCCTAAATTCCATCAGACCAGGGCCCTGCCCTCATGACTCGACTACTTTCCAAAGGCTCCATCTCCAAATACAATCACATTGGAGGTAGGGCTTCAACATATGAATTTGGGGTCGGGGGTTGCAGGAACACAAACATTCAGGCCATAACACCAGCAATTGAGTGGTCTGGTACAGTTAAACAAGCAGGCAAACCCAGATGATCTTGGTTTAACTCCCAATGCTGTTGTGCTTAGGTTACCCTGAGATTCTGGTTCCTTGTGTTAAAGATGTGTTAGTAATAACCAGGCAGAGTGTTCGCAGGAGGATTGAATGAAAGAAAGCTTTTGTGCCTGACACAGAGAAAGCACACAATAAATGGAAGATGTACTCCCATTCATCAATAATCTGAAAAGAAAAGATCTAATTTAAGTTTGTTCAACCCGTGGCCTGTGGTCCACATGTGGCCCAGGACGGCTTTCAGTGCAGCCCAACACAAACTTATAAACTTTCTTAAAACATTATGAGACATTTTTGCAATTCTTTTTTTTAGCTCATTAGCTATCATTAGTGTTATTGTATTGTATGGTAGCCCAAGATAATTCTTCTTCTTCCAGTGTTGCCAGAGAAGCCAAAAGATTGAACACCCTTGATCGAATTGACAGGAAGAAGTTATTTTTTTCTTACTGGATTAGTAGCTGTGTGCATTTGGTGTATTAATATCTGCTTAGATAAACTTTACTGGGCATCTAGGCCAGATGCAGAACTTATATTTCATTTAAAAAGATCAGTAGTATCACACACAGTTTAAGAACAGGCTCCAGAGTAAACAAAGCTGGATTCGGATACCAGCTCTGCCATGTACTAAGTGTGTGACCTTGGCCAAGTTAGTTCATCTCTCTAAGCCTCAGTTCGTCTCAACTGTAAAATGGGGAGAAAATAGTACCCGCTTCATAGGGTGGTTGCTGAGGAGTGGAGAGGTGTTTCAGACAGGACAATAAACATATGCAAAAACTCAGAGAGTGAATATTGTATTGCCTCATTCCTAATCAATTATGAGCATGGATGTATCCACATCAGGGTTTCTCCACCTCAGCACTCTTGACATTTTAGGCTGATAGTCCTTTGTTGTTGATGGCGGTGAGGTATTGTCTGAGTGGAATGTTTATTAACATCTCCAGCCTCTATCCACTAGATACTAGTGGCACCCTACCCCCAATCCAGATAAACAAAAATGTCTCTAAATATTTTCAAATGACCCCTAGGGGGCAAATCTACCCTTAGTTGAGAAACATAGGTTTATGCTAATTCTAATTTATACTCAGTTGGATTTATTCTGAAAAGAAGAGGGGATTAATGTCTCATATATTCAGTATAGATTTCCTTTTGGAATGATTTCTATTTAAAGAAAATTATCTTTTGAAGATGAATTAAGTTTATCTTGATTGTGTTGGTGGTTTTGTGAGTGTATACAATTGTGAAAGCTCATCTAATTGTACACTTTAAATAATGCAATTTATTGTCTAAAATTATATTTTAATAAAGTTGATTTTTTTGAAAAAGAAAATTGCTTATATCCTATTGTGAGTTGAAAAATGTACTTATAGATTTTTACATGTTCTTGTCGTTGCACACATATTTTAAATACGCAATTTAAAATGTAATTTTTTGTGTGTCAAAAGTCTGTCTAGATATTTGCTTTCTATAATGGTGTGGCACATCATGGGTACAGTTCCATTCAGAGAAAAATTTCAGTAGCTGTTTTGTGCCACTAAGTTTTAGAATCTGTCATCATGCCCTAAAATAACTGCCAGTGGTCAAGATTTAAAAAAAAACAAAACTAAGCAACATGAAGAATGAAAGGGAAAATTGGCATCAGAACAAAAGGGGTTGACAAGTGAGAGACTAGTGAGTCTGAAACCCAAATGGAATATCATCACAGGAGTTCACATTTGTATTTGAACTAATGGTGTGCATCCGGTTTCAATGAAAAGTGTACATTTCAGGTTTGCTAATCTTTCACCTCTAAGATCAAAGTCCAGCTACCAGGAGACTTCTGTATTTAATAGTGCTGTTTTCAGTATTGTTTAGACTCTCATTATTTCTGGTCCTGTGAACAGTGTGTTTCAGCTCTATTGCAGGCAAATTCAATTTGGCCCTCTGAGAGTACAATATAGGACTCCTAACCTCAGGAACTTGCAGCATCATGGGGGAGACTGAAATAGATTTATTTATTTATGTATATTTTTGAAATTTTATTTTTATTTTATTTTTTATTTAAAAAAGTTTTAAATTAATTAAAAAATTGTGAATACATAGTAGGTATATGTATTTATGGGGTATGTAAGATATTTTGATACAGGCATGTAATGTGAAATAAGTCCATCATGGAGAATGGGATATCCATCCCCTCAAGCATTTATCCTTTGAGTTACAAGCAATCCAATTACATTCTTTAACTTATTTAAAAATATACAATTAAGTTATTATTGACTATAGTCACCCTATTGTGCTACCAAATAGTAGGTCTTTTGATTCTTTCTTTTTTTTTTTTTTGTACCCACTAACCATCCCCACCTCCTCCCTCCTCCCCGTGAAATAGATTTAAAGAATTACAAGATGAAACAGAGCATAATAAATGCTCTCAACACAGAGGTGAAAACAGCTGCATTCTTCTGGGAAATCCGGGTGAGGCTTCCTATCATAGAAAGTAATGGTGAAAGAGACCTTCAGTGGTTGTTTAGGGAGATTCACAAGTCTGGCTCTTATGGACTATTTTAGAAATATGGCTTCAAAAGGCATCACTCCAAACCTACTGCTATGGTTTCGATGTTTGTCCCCTCCAAGCCTTATGTTGAAATTTGAGCTCCAGTGTTGGAAGTGGGGCCTAATGGGAAGTGTTTGGGTCATGAAAGCAGGTCTCTCATGAATAGATTAATGCCCTCCTTTTGGGGTGAGTGAGTTCTCACTGTATTTGTTCCTGCAAGAGCTGGTTGTTAAAGAGAGCCTGGCACCTCTCTCTTGTATCTTGCTTTCTCTCTTACCATGTGATATCTCCACACTCTAGCTCTCTTTTACCTTCCACTATGAGTAGAAGCACCATGAGGCCCTCACAAGATGCAAATGTTCAACCTTGAATGTTGCAGCCGTCAGAATTGTGAGCCAAATAAACCTTTTTTTCCTTACAAGTTACCCAGCCTTGTGTATTCCTTTACAGCAACACAAAATAGACTAAGACACCCAAGGAATCAGAATTTCTAGAGTGAAGGTATTAGGAGTCAGAATCATTAAAAAGTTCTCCTAGTGATTCAGATGATAAACTAGGCTTTGGGAGCCACTGATCCTATCAACAATCTACTCAATGCTAGAATTCTCTGAACAGAATTTCTTCAAGGTTTTGTTTAGTACTTCTAGAACACAGCAAGCTCACTACCTCACAGGACAGCCCTTCATGGGGAATGTGTAACGTGTAGGGTTTTGATAGTCAGAGGTGGAGGGTAAGGGTGTTTGAGGCAGAGTGAATATTAGAAATAATCAGAAAATAGAGGGAGATAAGTTTGGAAGGAAAACTTGGAACTCCTGCAGGAGGAAACCTGTGCCAGGATGAAGGGCTTGGAGAGCTGACTGCAGGAGCTCAAGTGAGGAGTAATAAGAGTTTGGATTAGAAGCAATAGGAATGGCAAAGAGGAGGAAAGAAAAAACTGCATTGCAGGGCTAGCCTACAAAGCTTGATGACTGGGAACGAGGATGATTCAAAGTTGATTCTTGGATTTTGAGGTCCTGGAGTACAAAAACATTAACCAGGACAGTGACATTAGGATCAGGAATAGGTTGAAAAGGCAGATTACAAATCAGATTTTGACATTTGAAAATGCATTTGTTTCTGTCACCTCCGACATCACTCTATCACTTGTCCCAGGGCAGAGTTTATCTATGACTCCCTGTGTATGCTCAGAGATTGGCACTGAGTACACTCTCAGAATGTCTGGTGAATGAAGAGCCACTGTAAGTGTCTTCTCCATTTGTGTCCTCCCTGCTTTAGTTTAGGACCTTATTTCTCACTTGAATCATTGCAGACTCAAGGTCCCTAGCTTATACCACTGTCTTTGTGTGTTTTAGAACAAGGCACCCCCTGCGGGTTTATAAATTAGAAAAAGAGCCTGCATTTAAATGAGTACAGCCCTTTGTTCAGGGCTTAGGAAGCAAAGTTCACCTTTGTGGGATGATAAACATATCCCTTCCTGCAGGAGGAAACTTCCTGTACCAGGATGGAGGGCTTAGAGAGCTGACTGCAGAGGTGGAATTTTAGATCTCACTCATTCCCTCAGCTGGCACAGAGCACCCTGGAAATGTCTCCCAGTTGGCCAACTTGATCCTGCCTTGCCATATCTGTCTCTTTTCCCCCCCCTAGAATTATTTCCTGAAGTACCTGCCATTTCTATTTCCCTCAGTCAGAGTGATTTTTTTTGTAATTCTAAAATGTAATCATATCATATCATATCACATTCTGCTTCAAACCTCTCCATGTTTCTCCAGTAGCTGCAGCATGAAGTCCAAAGTCCTTAACTTGTAACAAAAGTCCATTTACGACAGATTCTTCTGAGCCTCTTCTCCAGCAGCCACTCTCCTTCACCATCTTCCTCTTCAGCTGTAGTTCCCTGAACTGACACTGCACAAACAGGCTCCACTGCCCTCACTCCTGGCCCAACAGGCACTGCCCCTCCCCAGTGCCCCAGATGGCCAGACTGCTTCTCGTTTCTCCCAGATCAAGGAAGCTGTTCCTGTCCTAATTCCAGTGTAGATTAGCACCTGTCCCCCTGCACCCTTCCCTTCTGCACTGATACCTAGGACCCAGAACTTTCCAGGTTGTGGAGATTCCGCTTTCCTGTCTGTGACCTCCCTGAGGACTAAAAATGTGTTTTGTTTGTGTCTTTTCCTCTAGTATTTGGCTCAGTCTTGTTGAATGGACAAATGAAAATCTGACTTAGAGATAAATGAAAAATGTAGATTTTTTTTATCACCAAAAAACCCCAAAACCAAAACCCAGACACCAAAAAATCCAAACAACAACAAAACCCTCAAACCAAAGAAAAAAAAAAAACCCAAATGTTTTTTGCTTCTTTCTGAACATGAGGTATCTTGTGAGTGGTCAAAGCCCTTTTCTTTTCCATATTTTCTGTAGTCTTGAAATGGCTATTCATTTAGGAGGTTAATAGTCTATGGGAAGATAATTACTTTGGTTTATTTTACATCCTGTGGCTTTATTTTAAGGCTGATTTGCTCTGGTGTGCTTATGTATTTAATATTTGTGAGATACTTTAAGAAAAATTGCCACCAGGCTTGGTGGCTGATGCCTATAAACCCAGTGCTTTGGGAGGCCAAGGCAGGAGGATTGCTTGAGGCTAGGCATTTGTGACCAGCCTGGGAAACATAGGGAGTCTCTACAAGAAATTTTAAAAGAAATTAGCCAGACCTGGTGTTGCGTGTCTATAGTCCTAGCTACTTGGGAGGCTGAGGCAGGAGGATCGCTCAAGCCCAGGAGTTCCGGATTACAGTGAGCTATGATTGTGCTACTCTACTCCAGCCTGGGCAACAGAGTGAGACCCTGTCTCTAAAATAAATAAATAAATGCAAATGAAAAAAATTGCCCATAGATTTAGTAACGTATTTGACCCCTTTAAAAACAATTAAGCTTTATTTTTTGAAAAACGTTTTGAAGATGGAGGACTCTGCTTATGTGCCTGAGACTGAAAGGTCAGCAATGATAACTCTAATAGTGATTTCATTTGTTCAAATGCTAGACTAGCCCAGTGATGAACTTTGGAATGCCTAGATAGTCTATCAGAAATCTGTGCCTGAAACTTCCAGCCTGGTGTGTGTGTATCTCTTCCCACAAAGAATGTGAAGAGCTGTGAAAACGTGTTCAATAAAAAAAGAGACAATTAAGTGTAAAATATCACTTAAACATCAACAAAAATTACAACTAGGCAAAATATGGTAGTAGGACGACAAGACAATAAAAATGAGAGGTGTGTCATCCAAGTGTTAGCCTAAATGTGGGTAGAGATGACTCTGTGCAAAGATTTTTCTTTCTCGGAGCCATGATATTAACACTGAGAAGAAATGCTGCTTAAGGTACAAGTATGTGCATGGTAAATGTTTATTTTTTTCATTCTTTTGACAGTAATTTAAAAATGTTATCTACGATTTTCAGCATGAATAGTTTTTACTACTTTTTCAGCTTATTTCTAGTTTCCAATAGTATTTATGGCTTTTTTTTTTTTTGCTGTGACTCTTAGTCATTTTTTGAAAATTGACGAGTAAATAGTTACTGATTTTAATACTCTTTTATGAAGAACTATTACACAAGAATTGGGCTTTACACACTGATTTTTCCTTCAGCTTTTTTCTCCACACCCTGTATGTAACACAAGCTTTGTTCAAGGGAATAACTATGACAAATATGTTTGGATACAATTTGATTTCTAGTTTTGGCTTGGAGTCTATGATATTGTGCCTTAGTTACCTTATCTTTCAGATAAAACTTAAATTTCTCAACACCAGTATGTTCTCCTAATGCAAGGCATAATTATTGTAGTGAAGGTATTAATTCATATTTTAATTGATTAATACTGTAGTCATAAATGTACTTTACATTTCCCACAAACTTTCTCTTTTAAGTATGCCTCATTTCCATTTTTTCTGTGAAGTGGTATAACAACTCATACTGTCAATATCCAAAATATTTCTCCCTCCTTTCTTTACATATCTGCTGGGTGCCTCATGGGGAGCTGAGAGAGACATACTTGGCCACAAAGAGAGACAATTCCGTCTTAAACAGCTTTTCCCCAGCATCCTTATGTTGTCCAGTACAGTGCCAGGCTCATGTGATGTACTCAGTAAATATTTGCCCATTTGAACTTTACATTATAAGTAATTTTATCATTTATTTCATTTCATTGTTTATTTTAGTGGTAAAGGGTACCTGGTGTCTATTGATAGAATACTCTTACTTTCCAAGTTCTGAGGCCAGCCACGACCTCAAAGAAAGAAATAATCTTCAAAGCTTATTTACATCTATTCATTTGTTCATTCATGGAAAAATTATGTACGGGAAAAATGTGAAGTGGAAGGAAAGGAGACAAGGATACCCTTCTGCTTCTTTTCTGGTATGCAGAAAATTAATCATATAATTGTTTATTGAATTTGCCTCAAAGGGTTAAATGAGAGAAAGATTGCAAGTCCATCTAACACAGTGTCTGACACATAGTAAATGCTTCCAAAAGGTAGTTTATTTTTATGCAATAGACTACAACCAAGGATCTCTCCTTTACTTCTGCATGACCCAGTGTCCTATTTTCTTGTTTTGTCTTTTTCATTCAAGAATGATCTGTGTGTGCTTTCTTTCTGAATCTGTGAGAGGGGTTCAATGTTTAGTTACATAGTAAAGTGCAGATAAGAACCTTGGGCCAGCATTTCCCCTAAATCTTTTCTATGATTTAAGACACCTTGGGGAAGGGATATATGAGCTGCTACATTAACGGATGATGATTTTTATCTTTACCAAGTGACCCACAATTTGTTACTGGTGCAATAAGTTAAGAAAATAGCATACTTTTATGACTGTCATTTCACAGTCACTCAAATCAGAACTGGAATGTCACAAAAACAACTCCCTGTTAGCCCAGAGGAAAAAAAAAAAGAAAGAAAGTAAAGGGGAAATTCAGATTAGTCACAAAGAAGTTCCCCCGCCTGCCTGCAAAAGTTGCAGCGTTAAAACTGAGAGAGTCCGCTTTGCTCTTTCAATCGCCTTTTATCTCTGGCCCTGGGACCTTTGCCTATTTTCTGATTGATAGGCTTTGTTTTGTCTTTACCTCCTTCTTTCTGGGGAAAACTTCAGTTTTATCGCACGTTCCCCTTTTCCATATCTTCATCTTCCCTCTACCCAGATTGTGAAGATGGAAAGGGTCCAACCCCTGGAAGAGAATGTGGGAAATGCAGCCAGGCCAAGATTCGAGAGGAACAAGCTATTGCTGGTGGCCTCTGTAATTCAGGGACTGGGGCTGCTCCTGTGCTTCACCTACATCTGCCTGCACTTCTCTGCTCTTCAGGTAAGATGCACCACTGGGCGCTGTTTTCCCACCAGCTCATGCTGATGGCAGCTGCAACAGCTGCAAACAGTCGCTTGGAAATAATCTTATGCCAAAAGTGTTGAGTTTTTTTTCCCTCTCCCCACAGCAATCGTAAAGTGTGGTTAAACGCCCTTCTGTCTCTCCTTTCCTTCCTTCTTTTCAGCAGTGGCAGTGGTAGGGCAGAGTGGAGGTAGGGCAGAGGCACAGCTTCTAGATCTTTTTCTTTTTCTTTGCAATGCAAGATTCCTTGTATCCCTTTATAAGCTGTCACTTTGAAGCTTTGAGTCACTGATATACCTGGTCTACCCATTGTGATAGTAATGTGTTTGATCAGGCAATTAATATTAAAAGGAAATAGGAAAGAGACCAGTTCCACTTTCCCATAATATTCATATACCCTATAGACCTGCAAGGTGATTTTCTTTGTAAAGAATGCTGAAGGTATCAATATTAATAGCGGAGCAATGTGTGCGTGCATGTGTGTGTGCCTATGTGCTCACTCATTCACCCCAATGATTTAATCAGATATTGTTTCTCACAATCTATCTCTTCCAGTCATAATTTAAAGACATCATTTCACCTTTTCCCTACCTTATTAAATACATCATGTAGTAGGAGATTATCCTTCTAGTATTTTCCCCATATAGTTAAAATATTTCCATTTTTCTTTCACTTTATTCTTGTTCCACACTTCTCTCTTTTGCATTATTTTTTCTTATTCAGTAGTTCAGATATACAAACATTATTAGGTATTTAAGGATGTTCTTCACTGCAGAAGATGCCACTGGAGAAAAATAAATCTATACTCTCTTCGTGTTCCTTTGTTGAGCTAGTCTGATAATCTTGTTTTCTAGGTGGTTGCTTTGGGTTAGAAATGTTTCTCCCTGATAAAGTTCAGGTAATACAAACTGATTTCTGATGGTCTTGTCTGAGATTAAGCACCTCCAATGAAACCAGAATGAGATGAGCAGTCTTGGCAAATGCCTGGGCTTGTTTCTGCCTACAGGAAATAGGGTTTTCAGTGCATGGAGGCTGGTAAGAGTGTGTGTGGTTATGATCACTGTACCACAGACAGTGCTTGTGTCTCCAAATTCCAGAAGTGTAGCTAGTGTCATGCTCAGGTCTGCAGAACAGTGAGCACAACAACACATTGATCCTCTCCTCATCACACCACACTCTTATGTCTTCTCGCAGAACTCTTTGGGTGAAATTAAAGTAGGCGACTCGGGGAGAGGGTGTGGGGGAAGAGTAAGGTGTCCATGGCAGGATGCCCAAGACATCGACCGGATGCCCAAGACATCAACCGGAATTAGGCTCTTTTGAGAAGAAAACAAAGAGAGTAACCAAATATAGAACAGCTGAGTGCATTCACCAGTCTGGGAGCCCTGAGAGTGCTTTTTCTAACAACCACAGTGTTACATATTTCCTTACACCATGGGATGATAAAACACAGGACACATGGCTCCATTCAAGGCTAACTGATTGCACAACGGCTCTGAGCAGGAGAGAGCAAAAGGTGAACCACAGTTGTACAGCTTGCTGGTGGTTGGGGTCACATTGGACTATCAATATCCAGGAGATGTTGAGAAAAAGAGGGGATCCTTTCCAACAAGTCATCCAGCAACTCTGGGACAGAAGGAAAGCTGTGGGAAGAAAAGCAGGGTGCTGGTTTCTAGGACACTAAACCTCATGGTGAGTGATCTCTAGGGGAGAATTAGCTTCTATAGTCCTGGCACAGAGATGGAAGCAAGACATAGGTGGTATATTTGAGTTGTTTGCTTAAGAAACATGCCCTGTCTACTCTGAAAATAGATTTCTTTTTTTTGCTCAGGATATTTGAAGTTCTTCACTTGATGTTAATTATAATTTTTTTATTTCTAATTAGCTAATGTAATTTCTTATATTGTTATAGGATCTGGGACAGCACAATGGGTCCTTACATTTAATCTTATATTTATTATTTACACTTCATTATGAGAAGGATAGCATAGATGGGTTGTGTGTGTTTTCCCTAGAACCTGATAGTTTACCAAATAATGTTGGTGGCAGTGATAGCAGCAGTGTGTGTGTGTGTGTGTTTGTGTGTGTGTGTGTGTGTGTTTCTGTGTGTTTGAGAGAGAGAGAGAAACAGAGACAGAGAGATTGAGAGAGAACATTGTAGAGCAGCTGCTGACAAAGAGACATAGACTAGTAGCCATTTAAAACTCATCTACAATACTGTTTGGAAGTTTGATTGAGGGATCGGGTGGTGGTGGTGGTGGTGGTGTTGGTAGTGATGAGGCAAGTCAAACCTCTATTTTATAAGACATAATGTTACAGTGATGTGTATTGGAGGTGAAATAGAGCTGAAATGCTCACCATTTACCCAGTTAAATTGGACCTCTTTTATTGTGAGAGAAAGGTTTTTGGGAAATAATTGTGATTTTCCCTTTTATTTCTTAGATTTAATTTTTTAGCCTTATAAAATAATTGCCTACATGAATGGCTCTGTAAATACAGATATAGCTACCAAGCTCCATTTGGCCGTCAGCTTTCCTTTCAATCAAGTTTATTTAGTAGCCTCTGTTTTCTCATCACTGGGTTAGGTCTATCTACATGCAGGAAATGCAGAATATTTTGTTTTTAAGATGCTAGAAAAAAAGTTAGACCCTACCCACTCCTCATCTAATTTACTTTCCTCTTTGAGCCTTGATTTTTATAATCTGTATTATGAGAAAGTAGGATCAAATGATCAATAAGATGTCTTCCAGCTCAATATCTTATGAGTATATAGTTTATATATTCATAGAATGGATATAAGGATTTGAGAAATACAAAATGTGAGTTAGTATATTTGTGTTTAAGCTTATGGATTTCCTGGCTCCTAAGAAGGGATTGAGGGGAATCAAATTTGCACATATGTACTTTTCTATACTTAAGTTATATATTCTGTACATATCTAAATAACCTATTCTGGATTAGCAAAACACACTGTTTAGAAAAGGGAAAGAAGTGAATGCCCTGTAAGAATATTCATGACATAAGGTATATAATTCAGTGCTTCTGTCACCAAAACCAATACACACTGTTTGGATATTACATTGGGACATCCACTTAAATTGTCAGGCTTCCAGTCTTACCTGGAACTTCAGCTATGGAACAAAGGCAGAAAAAGCTGACCTATAAGGTGTGAGAAACCTCACTGAAACCATTGAAACTTGGCTTTTCCAAGATTCATATCACCTTTATCATCATGCTCAAAGACCTGAAGGCTTTTAGTGATTTTTTTCAGCAATTCCTACTTATCACTTTTTTTCAGTTCTTATCACTTTTTTTTCAGCTGGGAACAACAGAAGTAGAGATACTTAGAAAGTGAGTTGACCAGTTCTGTATCAGTGAAAGCTGGAATTAGAATTCACAGTTTCTTAATGAAGTTTCGGGCTACAACTTGGACCTTTCTTTGTATCATTTAATAAGAGAAAGAGGAGTTTGCCTGAAAAAAATATTGTTTCAGATTAGCTTAATTTAAATGTCTCCATGTCATTTAGAAAGTTTTTAGAAGTTCTTTTTTAACAATAGACCTGCAAATAAGATAATTTCAAAGGCATTTGAATTTGCTTTTCATAAGCAAATCTTTGAGAATTAAAAAATTAACATCTGAAGTTGACTTGGCTTGTCATAAGGCATTTTGAGGCTTCTAAAGGAGGTATTAAACATATAGAATCATTGAATTTGGGGGCAGGTATTAGATATAGTCTATTTACAGATAAGAAAACAGAAACCTAGAGAGGGTAGGTGAACCATTCGTGACCACTTAGCTGGTTAATTCACCAGAACTCCTGATTCCTACACTATGGTTCTTCTTATTATCAATGAAACCATCCTTACACAGATTTTTTTCCATTGAGTGTTTACTTGTGCTAGGTACCATTTGAGGCACTGGCGATATAAACATCCATTGGAGAAGGTTTTTGAACTATTTACACTCACAGTCAAGATGCAGGGTGGGGACAAAAGAGTGACATGCTCAAGGGACAATGGGAAGATGAGAGGAGGGAGGAGGGAGGGCTGCCTCAGCCTTCTGGGGAGTCAGGAAAACCTGCAGGAGGAGATAATGCTTCAGCTAATACTAGAAGGAGGAGGATAAATTATTTAAGCAGACAAGCGGATGGGAATTGGTGGGTAGGGGTAGAAGGCTTACTAGGCAGAACAGCAAGTTTTTCTGAATAGCTCAAGTTGAGTGTTCCTGTGGGAAAGTGGTGGAGATGAAGCTGAAAAGCTGGGGAGGTGGGGAGCAGTTCACAAAGGATCTTGTGAATCATGCTAAAGGAACACGCTTCATTCTCTCCTACGCCAAAGGAAATACAGGAAAAATTACCAACATTGTTACCTCTCCAAATTTTGCTTCTCTTGTGTAGTCTGTATTTTGGCAAATATAGAAAGTGAGTCTAATCTGAACAGCACTAGGGGGCACCACAGTAAAAGTAACGATTCTCTTGTGTCTGAAGACAGCTTATCCTCTTTTCCTGAAGAGTTGATTAGAAAACTTCTCAGGCAGTCAAGTGCTCATCCACAAATAAGAGAATGAACAATATCAGGGGCAGCTAATATTATTCACTATTTGCAGAGTGATGATATTTTCTAAATGAAGTGTTTAGATATATGTTTTGATCTGGGTATTCAAAATAGGACAGAATAATTTGGATGGGGATGATGCTGGAAAATATTGCACGTGTATGCACATATAGATCCAAATATACACACACAGAGGAGAGTTGGGAAACAAGCCAAAAGGCTCTAGGTATAGATCTAGGGATACAATCTCTCTGTTCCTCTTCTCTGACCTCAGCTGCTGGTTACTAGTACTGAGTAGACCCAGCCTTGTTTAGGGGCTGGCCACCTTGGCCTTCCACTTCTTCTTCTTCTTTTATATATATGTGTATGTGTGTGTGTATATATATATATGTATATATATATAGCAATTACTTCTCTCTCAAATGACAGCTTACCCCACTTCAGGGATTCTCCATTCATGGAAAATGAAAGTTAATCCTTTTGCATCATTTGGGTTAGAGGAGCTACATACAGTGTTGTTATTACTGTTTAATGAGGGAAAAATAACCCAGCTGAGTTGTAGGTGGAAAGGTTTATGTTTCCATAGTCACTAATGAAATACATGGTAGAGTTGGATTGAAACTGAATTTTCTACCATCCTATGCTTTGTATATTTCGTTTGTAATCACCCATGCTTTTGATAACCAATCTTTTCAAACAAAGGAATTAAAACATTTGCTTATACAAAGCTATAAAACATCATCTCAGATTTTGGAGGACTCATTGAAGTATAAAGGGAGTGCCCTGGGCCAGGAACCAGAATTTTTCAGTCCAGGCTTTTACCTCTTGACCCCAAGTAAATTTCTTGAAATTCCCTGGGCATCAGTTTAATCATTTCCAAGACTGGAATTTGGTTGTGGTGAGGATTAATTGATACACAGCTTTGTAAATGCTAAGATTATTATTATCATTATCCATGAACATGCTTCCGTTAACATACTGCTACTAAAATGTTGACTTTATAGTATGTGTGTGCACACATACACACACACTGTAACTCAAATCTCAGAAAGCATATCAAAGTTAATGTTAACCATAACTTCATGAACCTTGATTTCCCCAATGTAATTTTTAGGATTAAAAAATCCACCTTGGAAGAGTCCTATTATTTTTAAACATAGATTTCTAATTAAGATTTCATGGGTGCATTAGAGAGCAAAAGAATGAAGGGGAGAATTTATGAGGTTATGAAGTGTGATTAGGTTCAGTGTCTGCACGTGGTTCAGAGATCTAAAATTACGTACTCAGAGCACATGGCTTAGGCTATTTCCGTTTCTTCTTATTTTGATATATTTCATCCAATTCTCCAATGACTTGGCTACCAAATAAGGCAGGAAATTAGATTTATAAGAGGCATATCATCTGGTTCACTAATCTAGAAACATTGGGGAATATTCCTGGCATAACTAAAATCTTTTTTCAGTAGGCCTTTCATTCTGAAATGCACCTTAATTTTTATAAGTTTGCCTAGCTTGATAACATGCAAATGCTATTTAAGAACACATGCTTCTTGACAGAAAGATGGACAAACAAATCTGAACTTTAATTCTTCTTATACTAATTTAATAAGATCTTGTGGTTAGAGAGCCTTCATTCCCAAAGTACTATATTGTACAGGTGGGGAAGTGAGGGCTCCAGTGAGTTTAAGTGATGTAGCCTCAGGGCTGGGCTCCCCAGCGGCAGCCAGACCTTCATCCTAGAAAGCCAGTGAAACAGTGTCAAAGATCAAGATGGAATGACAATATTACAAAAATGATAAAGAACATCAAAACATGCATCAAAGGAAAGCATCTTAATGAGATATAAAATAAGTCATAAAACATGTATTTTACAGTTTAGTAATGTAAAACATATTTTGAATTACTTGTGTGTTGGGTGATGACAATTTTTAGCTTCTAAGACCCCCATGCATATTAATCTGGCCCTGTATATGGTGCAATAAAACCTAAACTCAAACCGTTTTTTAGAATGGACGGGTAGCAGGGAGGTTGAATGGTATTATTCAATGTACTACTTGCAGTAACAGTCTCTCATCTTTGCAGAGCTTTTTCCTACTTCTGACCTCATTTCTTCACTAAGACCTTGGAGAAAGATGGTGTGCAGTTTTACACTGAGGAAATATGAGGTATAGAGACTTGACTAGGTTTGCACAGAAAGGTCAGGGTTAGAAATTAAGACTCAGTCTAAATTCCAGTCCTATCTTCTGTTATGCCTGGCCACGAGGCCACGAGTCTGAGCTTTAAGAATGTTGGCTAGCTGTTTTTAAAATTCATTTTCTTTTTTGGCATTAGTGTTTTTTGAAGAAAAATTGGAGGAAGGATTTATGCCATCATAAAGGGAAGAAAGACTCTTTTTAAAAAAAGATTTAAATATACTTACACAAATGTAGATAACATAATCAACAAAGCTTTAACAATCACATAATAACTTATGGATTATTTTTATAAAATGGTCAAAGCATTGTATGTATGATATATTTGTACAAGAGAAAGAGGACCTGAATTCTAGTACTAATTCAGTAATTTATTCTCTCTGAGTCTTACTTTCCTCTGCATTTTTTTTAAATGATAATGAGATTAAGCTATATAATCTCCCAAGGCCTTTCTAGTTCCATCAGACTGATTCAAAGAATTACTTAAGTGATAGTGTAATTTGCACACTCTATACAAATACCTATTCAACCATGAAGAAGTTTCTTAGGGCTATTGGAACAGATTACTACAATCTGGGTAAATTATAACTACAGAAATTTAGTCTCTCACAGTACCGGAGAATAGAAATGTGAAATCCAGATGTCGGAAGGCCACGCTCCTCTGAAGGCTCTAGAGAAGAATCCTTCCTTGCTTCTTTCTAGCTTCTAGTGGCTCCCAGCAATCCTCAGTGTTGTTTGACTTGTAGCTGTATTGCTCCAAGCTCTGCCTCTATATTCACATGGCCTTCTTTCAAATGTGTATCTTGTGTGTCTTCTCCTTCTCTTCAAGGACACCAGTCATATTAGATTTAGGGCCCACCCTAATCCAGTTGACTGCATGTTAACTAATTACATCTATCTACAAAGACCCTATTTCCAAATAAAGTCACATTCTGAGGTTCCACATGGACATGAAGTTTGGAGGGACACTATTCAAGCCGCTATAAAGCACTTATTCATCAACTTATTCAGCAATGTTTATGGAGCATCAGTTACCTGTCAGGCACTGAGGACACAAAGGTGAGTGAAATAGACGTGGTCCTCCCTGCCCTCCCAGAGTTTGCAACCCAGTAGGAAAACAAGGCAGTTAAACAAGCAATAGCGTATGATAAGCACTGGATAACCAAAGAGGGTACGGTTCTTCAGTAAGAAGTTTCACAGAAAGCTACCTACCAGCTTTAATACCTAGTATCTTGATTGGGATTATAAAGTGGGCATACTTGTTTTTTGCATTAGGTACTTGGTTTCACTGCCATTAATTAACAGGAAGGGTTTAGTTTAAAATGACATGGTCATCATTGTCACCACCATAATCCTCATCCCACTGCTATTCTGTGATGATGTTACCATTCGCCAGTCTCAGTTTGTATCAGAGCACAGGTTGAGGATTATTTAGCCCCCCACAGATGAGGTGAAGAGCTTCACTGCATGCACAACACTAGGGATCATCTTTTTTTAACTTTTATTTTAGGTTCAGGGGTACATGTGCAAGCTTGTTATACAGGTAAACTGTGTGTCATAGGGGTTTGGGGTACAGATTGTTTCATCACTGGGGTAATAAGCATAGTACAGGAATAATCTTTTTGTTTGTTTGTTTTTTGAGATGGAGTCTTGCTCTGTCACCCAGGCTGGAGTGCAGTGGCACGATCTCGGCTCACTGCAAGCTCCGCCTCCTGCGTTCACGCCATTCTAGTACAGGAATAATCTTAGTTGCTCATTTACTATCGGAGGGAGCCACTTGGGGAAAAAGAGGCCTGCTGCTTTTGTTACAGCAGAGGGGTCTATTGTGTTGAAAGTGATCTTCTGTTCAGAAGGTCTTCTTATCACACAATCCTTTGAAATCTATCTCGCTTTTGAATATTGTGATTTGCCTAATCTTTGAAATGGAAATTTTTCATTAGACACTTTATTCCAATAATCTAAATTGAGTTTAGACATTGAAATGAGAATATTAGAAGCTGAGGAAGGGAAAGAACATTTTCTGGTCCGGGAGAAGAACTCAGGTGTGCCTAGTCCCAGTGCAATGTCTTGTTCAGTCTACCAGGTTGCCTTCTCAAGACTATATTCCCTCCTTGTTATATAGCAAATCAGATAAGGGAATGAGTGATTTCAAATAAAGAGACTGACTGCAGTAATTCTGCTACTGTCTTTGTATTCAAGGATGAATGGGCCAATTTCTTTTTTTTTCTTCTCTACATTGAACTTTTATTATGACAATATGCAACTGGTAATGTGCACCGTGACTGAAAAGAGTTCTTATATAATTTGATTTGGTACTGGCATAAGAATAGACAGATCAACGTTTGGAATTTAGAATCCAAAACTAAAGCTGCACATTTATGGTCAATTGACTTTCTTTTCTTTTTTTTTTCTTTAACTTTTATTTTAAGTTCCAGGGTACATGTGCAGGATGTGCAGGTTTGTTACATAGGTAAACGTGTGCCATGGTGGCTTGCTGCACAGATCAAACCATCACCTAGGTGTTAAGCTCAGCATCCATTAGCTATTTTTCCTGATGCCCTCCCTCCCCTTGCCCCTGCAACAGGCGCCAGTGTTGTTCTCCCACATGTCCATGTGTTCTCATTGTTCAGCTCCCACTTATAAGTGAGAACATGCGGTGTTTTTCTGTTCCTGTGTTAGTTTGCTGAGGATAATGGCTTCTAGATCCATCCACGTCCCTGCCAAGGACATGATCTTGTTCCTTTTGATGGCTGCACAGTATTCCATTCCATGGTGTATATGTACCACATTTTCTTTCTCCAGTCTATCACTGATGGGCATTTGGGTTGATTCCATGTCTTTGTTATTGTGAATAGTGCTGCAATGAACATATGTGTGCATGTACCTTTGTAATAGAATGATTTATATTCCTTTGGGTATATACCCAGTAATGGGGTTGCTGGGTCAAATGGTGTTTCTGCTTTTAGATCTTTGGGGAATTGCCACACTGTCTTCCACAGTCCTCTACAATGGTTGAACTAATTTACATTCCCACCAACAGTGTAAAAGTGTTCCTTTTTCTCTCCAACCTCACCAGCATCTGTTGCTTCTTGACTTTTTAATAATGGCCATTCTGACTAGAATAGGCCAATTTCTAAAACCTTGAGCAATGTATAGTGTTGACTAGAGCCAGTGTTAGATATTACATGATCTTGTAGCTGATGAAGGTCCAGGGATGTCCTGAGGGGCTAAGTTCCACCTTAGTTCAACATTTATTTACTAAGTGCCATTATGTTTGAGACATGGTAGGAGGTATGGCAAGGCAGTGGGTACCTTGTAAACCTACCCTTCCAGTAGCTTAGAGACTAAGCTGATCTGAGAATATTACAGTAGAGACTTAACCAATCATTGAGGTGGGGACAGGAGTTCTCAGAAATGTTTTAGTAAATCCCTCTGTCAGTGTACTTTGAGTGCTTCCTCAGTTGTATGTGGGAAGGGAAACCAAGATACAAGAAAATCTTCCCTCTGACGATATGAAGAGTTGGTGCATTAGGTCAATCACATAGATTTCATGTCACATGGATACTTTTGGTTGATTTGATTGTTTACCTAAATATAGGACATTTCTCTTGGGAATCTGTCAGTTGCTAATTGTATTAGGGACAATAAAACCACAGTTCATGCTCTCTCTGAAACAGAGAGGAGAGAGGCTTCTCTGCGGGAAAACTCATAGCCGTTACTTAGTAGACTCGATGAGAAGAGTGGAAGTGGTTAGAGAGAGAGGTGGCTATGAGGATATCACGCAGGATATACAGTGGGGAGGAAGGTGGAGGTTAAGAGAGAGATGACTGGGAAAATATGCTGGCAGAGATGGTAAGGGTTTGGCATGGAGAAAGAGAAGGCTTTGGATGGCAGTTAAAATGGCTTTTCTTTGTGTTCATTAAGTCCCAATAAACTCGTTATCCAACAAGGTTTTCAAAGCCACACATCTTTGTCTCTAAGAAATGTAACTTTTGGGATAAGTCTTTCTGAATATGAGAAACTCCTTCACCAAAGAATCAGTTTTTCCCATTTTTCCTACTCCTCTCTCTAGGTGGAATTCTGAACTTCCGTGATCAGAAGTCAGGGCTCATCTTTTTGTAAGGGGGCTGCTTCCACTGAGAATAGACCATGTCTGTCAGATAAGGATCTATCCTCTCAGTCTACTGTGGTGGCTAAGAGTGAAAAATTCTCCCTTTCTCTTCTGAGGCCCCTTGAGACACACCCTGAGAGCTTGTGAGGTCATGCTTTCATGATCTCTCAGATCTCCACTGGTTGGCATGAAGCCCAAGGTGCGGGGAGGAGAGGTTCACGTCCAGTGGCAGTGGTTTGGTGAACTGGGGAGTCCCCACTCCAGATGTGTTTCCCTCTACTAGCCCACTACTACCACCCTCTACTAGCCCACGTCCCACTGCTGCCCACCACCAAGGCCTTGACATTGTGGCCTTGTACCAAGCAAGGAATGGCAAGGCCGGTATAGTGAGTGCAGAGCCCACTTCCTGGTTTCATGCTTGGTGAGTATCATTTGCTCCTGCCACAGATACCCTTCACCAGGACAAATGTCAAATGGGTTTAAGGTCGACAGCCCCATACCACATCCTAGTGAGTCAGAATTAGAGGTACACACTCTCCAAAGATGAGCTCTTGAAACAAGTGTCACTTTCTTGGGAACACAGCACAGCCTGCTGAATAAATGCCAGATATCAGACACTTTCCACCTTTGTTTTTGGACAGCCCAGTGCTAAAAGCACTGAAGGAGGCCAAGAAAGAACCTAATTCTGACTCTTCTTTGCTACACCTGCATGGGGAGCCTGCTTTGTACTTGTCCATGGGCCTGCAGTTCCTTGCCAGGACAGTTTTACCTAATCAGAGCTGAGCTAATAATTCTGGCAACCTGAACTACATAGGCAACCCTGCAACATTGGTTGAGGAGCTCTTTCTAGAGCAGGGTTTCTGGATATTTTGATGTATATCTGTGTATTTTGACAACTATTCAAAAATTAATATTTAATCTTATTCAGTATTGATGATGAAAACAATTCAAGTTAATTTAGGACCCTCAGATAAATGCTTTTTTTTGGTGTTATTTACTCTTATGATAGTGTAGGATAAAGAGAAGGGATGTTATCATGAACTTGGGATTCACCTGAACTCAAATGAATAAATATTTATTCCCGACCAAGTTCTTAGCAGCACTAATTTTTATTTCCCTATCTGTAAAATATGGGTAGTTATTCTTTCTACATCACAATGTTATTTTGAGCAGCAAATGGGATAATACATTTGAAACAGTGCATAGCATATTGTAAGTACTCAATAAGGTTTTATTTATTCTTTGCCTTTTTTTTTTTTTTTTTTTGAGACAAGTTCTCTCTGTCATGCAGTGGCATGATTGTGGCTCCCTGCAGCCTCAATCTCCTGGGCTCAAGCGATCCTCCCACCTTAGCTTCCCAAGCAGTTGGGACCACAGAGGTGTACCACCATGTCCAGCTATTTTTTTTATTATTTTTTTATTTTTTTGTAGAAATAGGGTTTCACCATGTTGTCCAGGCTGGTCCTGGACTCCTGAGTGCAAGTGATCGGCCTGCTTTGACCTCCCAAAGTGCTGGGATTACAGGTGTGAGCTACCGCACCAGGCCCTTTTTCTTGAATGCACAAAGGATGGCCTCATTTCTAGACTTTTCTTCCAACTATTAATAATTATAGAATGTCTTTTGCTCATCCAGCTCTTCTCTGTCTTTCAAGGCCTAAGTCCAGGTCTTTCCTCCTTGTGCTGTCAAAGCCTACAGTGATTTTTCTGTTCTTTGAAATGTTATGACTTACATTGCCTGTAGGTATTTACTAAAGGTTTTATGTACAGGGACTATTTTCCCAACTGGCATAGAAGTTCATCAAAAGTAAGGATTGTATGTTCTATCTCCTTGTGTTCCAAGAGTTGAGTGTAATAACTGCTGCATAGCAAGTACTCAATAATTGCTGATGTTATTTTTAACCAAACTACCAAATAATATGACAACCATACTATTCATTCAACTACTGAATAACACTTACAGCAGAGAAAAAATTTCTTGAGCACCAGCTTTTGGACAGGCATGCTTTTTGCACAGGGTGTGGTTGAAGATAAATTCTCTGGATTTAGACTTTTGGAAGTTCATAGTTAACAGCAGTGATTTTTAAATCTGAACCTTGGTTACTTGTAAAAATGAAGATTCCTTGATCTACCCAGACCTTTTGAATTAGAGTCTTTGTGAATAATCTGACCATCTGCACTTAAAACAACAACAACAACATATTTTGGTGGTGATTCTAATGCACATTTAGAGTTTAAGAACCACTGGGCTGGTAACCTTCCTGTTGCATTATCAGCTGCTGCCAGACATGACGCTTGTACATTACATTATTCAGTCATTTGGTCAAAGAGCCCATATTTGCCAAGTGGGTACTTGATTGTTCCTTTTTTTTTTTTTTTTTGCTTCACTTATGGGAGCCCTGAAACCCAAGAGGGAAGCCTGGAGTGTGGGCTCTCCCTTTTCTTTCTCATGATGAGGTCATTGCCAATCATCTGTACGGCAACTTCTTCTTTTCTCTAAGCTTGCTATTAAAGTGGACATAAGGAATGGAATATTAAAATCTTCATAGAATTTTTTTCTTCAAATTCGCGTGGGAGAAAAATAGTACTTGTGTGGTATAATAAAAATTACTGAAATTGAAGGGCATGCATCAAATCTCTTCACTTCTGTGAGCCTTAATTTCTTCATATGCAAAATATAATGTTCAACTAAAATATGACTTCTTTTGCATTTTTTTCATGCTTCTAAGACCATTACATTCAAAATTCACGGCTATACTTCAATTCTGGCATGGATACTTAGGAGCATTTGCATTTCATCCTTGAGTATGGTGTGGACTCTTCAGACCTTCCAGATTGAAGAAGCTTTAGTCTATAGACTGTGCTTAGATGGAAGCCCCCTGGCCCTTTGATATTTTCTATTTTCTTTGAGTATGTGGAGAAGATCTGGGGATTTTGCTTTTCTTGATATACAAAACACTAAGTCTATGTGTGGGGGTAGACCAAATGTCTTCTGATTGTTTTCTGTCAACCTTTCTCATGAAACCCAAATTCTTTTGTATTGTTTCTCTGAGGTACAGGGAGTCAGAGCACTGATATGATAACTTTGTTAGTCTTTGTTTTTTTCTTTAATCCATTCCTTCATTCTGTTGTCATATAGTTTATATAGTATTATGTAGAATAAATTATGAACATGACATGGATATTGTTTTCCGTGTGCATCCAAGAATAATTGCTGATGTTTATTAACTTCTTGCAATGTTCCATGACAGGTCCTGATCACTGACATATATTATTTCATTCAAACTTTACAACTCTCTGATATACAGATTTTTACTATCTCCATTTTACAGATTAAGGAACAAAATCAGCAAGATAAATGCAATTTTCCCAAGGTCACACAGCTAAGTAGTCTTGAGTAGAGGAGATAAGACTTGTATTCACTGGCAGTATAATCAGTCAATAGAGTGTTTTTTAATGTTGGGGTTAACTGTACATTCTGTGGGTTTTGACAAGTGTATATAATGACATGTATTCACCATTACAGAATCATACAGGATGCTTTCACTACCCTAAAAACACCCTGTGCTCTACCTGTTTATTCCTCCCCCATTCCTAACCCCTGGCACCCACTGATCTTTTTAATCTCCATAGTTTTGCTTTTTCCAGAATGTCATATAGTTAGGTCATTCAGTATATACCGTTTTCAGATTGGCTTCTCTTGTATAATAATATGCATTTAATATTCCTCCATGTCTTTTCATAGCTTGATAGTTCATTTCTTTTTAGTGCTGCATAATGTTCCATTGTATGGTTGTATCAGTTTATTTATCCATTCACCTACTGAAGGACGTTTTGGCTGCTTCCAAGTTTTGACAATTATGAACAAAGCTGCTATAAACATCTTTGTGAATGAGTGACTTTAAATACTTGTATGGGAATACAGAGACTGAAACTCAAGGATTTGATTTAGGCCTTGAAGATGGTAAGATTTTAATGGGCAGAGACAGATGGAGGGACATGCTGGAGGCAGTGGTGTGATCTTGGCTCACTGCAACCTCTGTCTCCTGGGTTCAAGCGATTCTTGTGCTTCAGCCTCCCCAGTGGCTAAGATTACAGGTGCATACCACCACGCCTTGCTAATTTTTGTATTTTTTGTAGAGACAGGCTTTTGCCATGTTGGCCAGGCTGGTCTCAAACTCCTGATCTCATGTGATCTGCCTGCCTCGGCCTCCCAAAGTGCTGGGATTACAAGCGTCAGCCACTGCATCTGGCCTACATTTTTAAAATGCTTACCACGTACCATGTGCTGGCAAACTGCTGGATGCTTTAAGTTATCCTATCTAAACTTGGTGTTCATCTTCTGGAAAGTTCCGCTCACAGTATTATGTCTTATTTTCACATGTATAAAGGCTAAAGCGAAGAAATGCTATAACTTTTCCAAATTCAAAGAACCAGAGAAGTCACAGTTTGAACTAAATCTGACTCCAAAGTCTATGCTCTTTGTGCCATCCTACCAGGCTGCCTACCCAAGTGCAAGGAGATCAGAACAAATAGTTGGCTGGATCATTAGACACAGAAAGGATATATGTGGCAATAAAGCTTGACAATGAGGTTGGAGCCAGGCTCTTCAGAGCTTTGACTTGGGCACTGTGGGGGTGTCTCTGGGCACTGGGGTAGTCAGCATGAGGTCATCAGGTATGGAGGATGAGGGGGAAGATGGTTGGAAGGCCAACAAATAAGAAGAAGGACCATCTTTTTCTACTTCACAACATTGCCTAAACTTGATGTTAGTAAGAGACTTCTGAGGATATGCAAACTTCTACCCCTATGTGACCTTCAGGAGAAGGAACAGGATACCTGAGTCTGGAGTTCCAGTAGGTCAGCTTCCTCCAGGTTGATCTACTGGAAGTCTAGACTCCAACACGGAGGAAGTCACATGTGCTTTACTCACTCACTGCCTGTCAGCATCATCGTCCCAGAGAATGTCTGTTTGGTCACTGCCACCCTTACTTCATCAGGGCACCTCAAAAAGTTGGAACATTCCTTAAGTTGCAGGATATTTTTGGAGATCTTTGCAAAGTCAGTCAAAATAATCAAATCACAAGGGCTTTTAGATCAGGGAGTGAAAGTAAATTTGGGAATGAGGAAGCTTTATGTTTTTTTCTCTTTTATTAAATTAAACTTAAAGTCACAACTTCTAAAATCTAAATCATGGAAAGCTAGTGCTGAAAGGAATGCCCCTGATCTTCTAGTGACTTTTAAAGATGAGAAACTGCCATCTAAGGAGATTATGAAACTTGCTTAAGTTGGCACAGTGCCTGCCTGCCTGGCATTAGCACTCTGTCACTGCACGCTGAGGCCTGTGCTGTTTGTGCTACTCCACAGAGGGCTTCTTTCTAACTTTAGCACGTGGCAATTCATGCTGGCACTTAGCCCAGAGAGCAGTGGAAACATTTATTTACCCAGGAAACTATGGTCATTGGGTCATTTGCCTTCTGACAGGTTTTCTTCCAGAGCATTGCCCTTAAGCACGAAGGGCACTAATTAGCTATCACACCACGAAGAGTACAGAGAAGGGGGAGAGCTAAAGACTCCTGCTTCTACCCAAGTCAGTGCCTCTCTCCATGTGCTCAGCACATTGAACTCATATTGTTCCTGCAGCCCAGTCCCTGGCAGGGCTCAGAATGACTCTCCATTCTTCCTATGCTGCCTGTTGGTTTTAGCTGGTAAGGCTTGTGATTATACTTGTAATAGAAGTAGGGAATTCCTCGTCTGTGTGGGCAGGTGCCAATGGAATATGCTTGACTGAAGCTACCAGTGTGCCAGGAGAGTGGGAAACAGGAATTCCCCTACCCAGGGCATAAAAACAAATCCGTCTTCACATTTTTGATTAGGACGTCATGCCAAAATAAGCTTGTGGGAAGAGCCGTTGTTCTTGGCAGGCATAATAGGCTTTTATTTTTTTGAGATGGAGTCTCCCTATGTCCCTCAGGATGGAGCGTAGTGGGGCGATCTTGGCCCCCTCCCAGGTTTCAGTGATTCTCCTGCCTCAACCTCCCAAGAAGCTGGGATTACAGGCATGTGCCACCATGCCTGGATAATTTTTTTTTTTTTTTTTTAAGCAGAGATGGGGTTTCACCATGTTGGCCAGGCTGATCTCGAACTCCTGACCTCAGCTGATCTGCCTGCCTCAGCCTCCCAAAGTGCTGGGATTACAGGCATGAGCCACCGTGCCCAGCAGACATTTTTTTCTACTTTCTTTTTTAGTAGATAAGACAAACAAATGGCACAAAACTTTTTAAAAAATTAGACCATGAAAAGTAGAGGTCAATCCTACTCCTGACCTCAGGCTTCCAATTTTTTTCTCCAGGGACAACATTTGCAACTAGTGTCTTGTGTATTCTTTCAGATACATTAATGTATTGTATATTCTTTCAATGCCCACACAGGTGTTATTATTATTATTTAACACAAATGGCAATATATTTTATGTATAATTCTGCACCCCCCCCAACTTTTTTTTACTTAAGAGATCTCGGAGTTGGTTCCATATTGAGCTTATTTGTTCTTTTAACCACAAAAGTACTGTAAAAGTTTTATCTATCAGGTTTCCTGTCTTCACTGTTTTACTTCTCTTTTAGCAATTGAATACTGACTTAATTCAAGTTAGGTTTTTAAAGCTGTTGAAGAGAAAGATCCAATGTTTAAAAAAGCTACACCAAATATATTGAGCTCTGTAGGATTGGGACAGTTTTTATTGCCTTTGTCCCCTGAAAATAGGATGCTTTTACTCCTGCGTTAAAGTGAAAGACCAGACATGCAGGAAGCTTCCAGAACTCCCTCCCAGTGCATTCTGGGAGTCTGTGGCCATGATGGATTGATTGAACCAGCATTCTCCATGAGGGAATCTCTATGACTGAATAGGTTTCTTAACAATATGACTATAGTGCTACGTTATCCAAAATGGGAAATTGGGGCACAGTGAGACAAAACAGTATACCAAAGAAGAGTTTGGCAGAAATGCGGACAGATCTCAGACGCTTGCATGAAGGAGCACAATAGTCCTAATTTATCTTAAGAGATATTATGGAAAAGCAAGGGGGAAGGTGGAAGTCTAGGTCCAATCTTCATAGAAAAAGTCAGGGCCGGGCATGGCGACTCATGCCTGTAATCCCAGCACTTTGGGAGGCTGGGTGAGAGGATTGCTTGAGGTCAAGAGTTTGAGACCAGCCTGGGCAATATGGCAGAACCCCATCTCTACCCCCTCAAAAACCCCAAAAAACAAAAATTAATCAGGTGTGGTGGTGCGTGCCTATAGTCCCAGCTACTCAGGAGGCTGAGGTGGGGGAATCACTGAGCCCAGGGAGGCGGAGGCTGCAGGGAGCCGTGATTGTGTCACTGCACTCCAGCCTGGGTGTCAGAGTGAGACCCTGACTCAAAACAACAACAACAACAACAACAAAAAAGTCAAGTCTTCTGTTGTTTTTGTTTTCTCTACAGGCTACTGCATTTCTGCTTCACTGTTCCATTAAATATGACTTGCGAATTTCATTTGTTCATGTTTTTTTCCTAAGAATATGTCTTTCTTCCTCCCTCAGGTATCACATCGGTATCCTCGAATTCAAAGTATCAAAGTACAATTTACCGGTAAGTATTGTCAAAAGTTTAATTGATTCATATTTTTGAAAGAATCTTCTCTTCAGTCTCTTAATTTCCTCTAGAACACAAGATCTCTTCTTTTCCTAAGGGAAGGAATTAAATTCCAATTAAATCCCAGAATTGTTGTAGCCTGCATATTATTTTCATTAGGGATACAGATGTATAAAGAGAAAAGGGGATTAATTATTCATCAAATATGTGCTTGTCTCTGTACTAATCACTTTATGTTCCTCATTTAATCCTCCAAGGAACCTTCTGGGTAGAAATTATTTCCATTTCTTAGTTAGGGAAACTAAGGCTTTACTTCTTACAAGTCTGTCTGACTATAAGACACATTATTGCCTGCTAATTGTATTCTGGGGCAAGAGTTTACCTTAATGAAAGTTGGGGGAAGCCCTTGATAGAATAAAAACTTCGACTCCAGAGAGAGGATTGTTTGGGTCCATGATTAGTGCTAGCACAACCCCTAGTGGTTTCCACACGAATATTCATTTTTTAGTTAAGTTCTCCTGAGCCTGAGGGAAGGGAAGTATTTCTTGTCCTCCATAAGTGGTCCTCTTTTTCAGTTCAAAAGTATGTCCCTCTGGACTGGTACAAAGCAAGAATTACTGAATTGTGGCTAGCGGTGGGGACCTATTCTTTTGCCTAACAAAGGAACATGGGCCAGAACAGGGTGTGTCCAAGATGTGGTTACTTGGCTATTCAGGATGATTTTAATGCTAATAAGGAAATAAAAGAAGTTCAGGCTTTTTGGCTTGCACTTGGGATGGCCCTGCACAAAACAACCAAGTCTATCACTGCCTCCTACTCCACTTCCTCCTTTTCTTTCTCCTGTGGCAGTGACTCTTCCCAAAGTACCTTCCGGGAAAAACTAGCAACAGGAGGTAGAGAAGAGAAGCAAGTATATGCCCTTGAGCTCTTCCACCTGCAGCTTTGAGAGCCCACCCTGAATCCACAGATACGGTGTGCACAGCTGCATTATTAAACTTAAGTGACCGCTAACAAAGGCCACTAGTAACTGCTGTGGATAGGTCCAATGCCTGGGGCATGTGGAAAATTTGCATTTCATGGTCAGATGACAGAAAGGCAAGAGTTGAAAACAATTGCTTTAAGTCAAGCTTCAGAGTATGGGTAGTGTGCAGGGCTAAGGCATGGGGCACCACTGCCACCCTTTGCCCATAGTTCATCCACTGAGCAAGAAAGGAGGCACTGAAGTTGCCAATCCATCCTTGTTCTGAAAAATTGGGGAAACCCTGAAACCACCTGTCCTGCTATAGGTGCTTTGTGACAATTTCTGTAATCTCTCAGCTCCTGAATCTCAGCCCCATCTGAGACTCTGTTGGGCATTAGTGTTAACATTGCCTCTTCTTCCATTCCACAGGTAAAGCAGTTTCCACCCTGCAGGTAGAAACACAGTGCTCTCTTGCTTTTACTCCTTTTTCTTTTTTTTTTTTGTTTGAGACAGAGTCTTACTCTGTTACCCAGGCTGGAGTGCAGTGGCGGGATCTTGGCTCACTGCTTTTACTCTTTTCAAAATCTCTCCCTATCACTTTCTCTTCATCTGATTCCAGATGTATTGGAAGGTTGTTGCCCAATTCTATGCTTAGGAATTAATTAAACAAATTTTCCCCTATCCTCCCTAGAATATAAGAAGGAGAAAGGTTTCATCCTCACTTCCCAAAAGGAGGATGAAATCATGAAGGTGCAGAACAACTCAGTCATCATCAACTGTGATGGGTTTTATCTCATCTCCCTGAAGGGCTACTTCTCCCAGGAAGTCAACATTAGCCTTCATTACCAGAAGGATGAGGAGCCCCTCTTCCAACTGAAGAAGGTCAGGTCTGTCAACTCCTTGATGGTGGCCTCTCTGACTTACAAAGACAAAGTCTACTTGAATGTGACCACTGACAATACCTCCCTGGATGACTTCCATGTGAATGGCGGAGAACTGATTCTTATCCATCAAAATCCTGGTGAATTCTGTGTCCTTTGAGGGGCTGATGGCAATATCTAAAACCAGGCACCAGCATGAACACCAAGCTGGGGGTGGACAGGGCATGGATTCTTCATTGCAAGTGAAGGAGCCTCCCAGCTCAGCCACGTGGGATGTGACAAGAAGCAGATCCTGGCCCTCCCGCCCCCACCCCTCAGGGATATTTAAAACTTATTTTATATACCAGTTAATCTTATTTATCCTTATATTTTCTAAATTGCCTAGCCGTCACACCCCAAGATTGCCTTGAGCCTACTAGGCACCTTTGTGAGAAAGAAAAAATAGATGCCTCTTCTTCAAGATGCATTGTTTCTATTGGTCAGGCAATTGTCATAATAAACTTATGTCATTGAAAACGGTACCTGACTACCATTTGCTGGAAATTTGACATGTGTGTGGCATTATCAAAATGAAGAGGAGCAAGGAGTGAAGGAGTGGGGTTATGAATCTGCCAAAGGTGGTATGAACCAACCCCTGGAAGCCAAAGCGGCCTCTCCAAGGTTAAATTGATTGCAGTTTGCATATTGCCTAAATTTAAACTTTCTCATTTGGTGGGGGTTCAAAAGAAGAATCAGCTTGTGAAAAATCAGGACTTGAAGAGAGCCGTCTAAGAAATACCACGTGCTTTTTTTCTTTACCATTTTGCTTTCCCAGCCTCCAAACATAGTTAATAGAAATTTCCCTTCAAAGAACTGTCTGGGGATGTGATGCTTTGAAAAATCTAATCAGTGACTTAAGAGAGATTTTCTTGTATACAGGGAGAGTGAGATAACTTATTGTGAAGGGTTAGCTTTACTGTACAGGATAGCAGGGAACTGGACATCTCAGGGTAAAAGTCAGTACGGATTTTAATAGCCTGGGGAGGAAAACACATTCTTTGCCACAGACAGGCAAAGCAACACATGCTCATCCTCCTGCCTATGCTGAGATACGCACTCAGCTCCATGTCTTGTACACACAGAAACATTGCTGGTTTCAAGAAATGAGGTGATCCTATTATCAAATTCAATCTGATGTCAAATAGCACTAAGAAGTTATTGTGCCTTATGAAAAATAATGATCTCTGTCTAGAAATACCATAGACCATATATAGTCTCACATTGATAATTGAAACTAGAAGGGTCTATAATCAGCCTATGCCAGGGCTTCAATGGAATAGTATCCCCTTATGTTTAGTTGAAATGTCCCCTTAACTTGATATAATGTGTTATGCTTATGGCGCTGTGGACAATCTGATTTTTCATGTCAACTTTCCAGATGATTTGTAACTTCTCTGTGCCAAACCTTTTATAAACATAAATTTTTGAGATATGTATTTTAAAATTGTAGCACATGTTTCCCTGACATTTTCAATAGAGGATACAACATCACAGAATCTTTCTGGATGATTCTGTGTTATCAAGGAATTGTACTGTGCTACAATTATCTCTAGAATCTCCAGAAAGGTGGAGGGCTGTTCGCCCTTACACTAAATGGTCTCAGTTGGATTTTTTTTTCCTGTTTTCTATTTCCTCTTAAGTACACCTTCAACTATATTCCCATCCCTCTATTTTAATCTGTTATGAAGGAAGGTAAATAAAAATGCTAAATAGAAGAAATTGTAGGTAAGGTAAGAGGAATCAAGTTCTGAGTGGCTGCCAAGGCACTCACAGAATCATAATCATGGCTAAATATTTATGGAGGGCCTACTGTGGACCAGGCACTGGGCTAAATACTTACATTTACAAGAATCATTCTGAGACAGATATTCAATGATATCTGGCTTCACTACTCAGAAGATTGTGTGTGTGTTTGTGTGTGTGTGTGTGTGTGTATTTCACTTTTTGTTATTGACCATGTTCTGCAAAATTGCAGTTACTCAGTGAGTGATATCCGAAAAAGTAAACGTTTATGACTATAGGTAATATTTAAGAAAATGCATGGTTCAT